>NC_000008.11:144172402-144474480 GCF_000001405.40 Homo sapiens | reverse complement strand
ACTCCCAATGTGGTAATGCCCTTGGCACCACCACCCACCTCCTGTCCCCAGTGTCCGTCAACCAGCCCTGCCTACTGGGGGGTGGCCCCTGAAACCCGAGGGCCCCCAGGGCTGCTCTGCGATCTAGACGCCCTCTTCCAAGGGGTGCCACCCAACAAAAGCATCTACGACGTTTGGGTCAGCCACCCTCGGGACCTGGCGGCCCCTGGCCCAGGCTGGCTGCTCTCCTGGTGCAGCCTGTGAGGCTCTTAAGACAGGGGCCACTCCTCCCTCCCGCTCCCACCCCCACCTTGTTGACAGGGAGCCAAGGCGAGGCGGCTGTCTGCGACCACAGCAGCCTCGAAACACCAGGCAGCAGCCTTGCTGGGAGTCCACGGTGTTTATTGGGCCACCCCACGCATGGCCGTGGCCCAGCTGGGCACAACCCTCACCCTGGTCTGTCATGCCTGTTTTTCCTACACTCAGCGGCAAAGCTGCAGGAGCAGGGCTGAGCCTGGAATAGCCCTTCCTAGTCCCCTCTTCTCAGCCCACTACCCATCCATCAGTCACCAGCCGTCACCTCCCCTCCCGTGCTCCAGGCTGGGGGAGGGAGAGCCCAGTGGTGGATCCAGCCTGAAGTCCTGCCCTCTCTCATCTGTCTGGAAAGGAGGTAGCACCTTTTTCGGGAAACGGGTTAGGGAGTAAAGACTGCACCCTACATGGTCCTGGTGGTGGGGGGGATAACAGTAAAGGAATTTGCAACGTTTTAATGCCATGCCTGATTTTTGGGTCAGGAGTGGTGACTTGGGTAACCACTTGGCGGGGGGGCCTGGGATTCCCTGCTGTGTGCCGTGATAACAGCAAATGGTGATAAGGAGAAAGCCAAGACCTGTGGCCTGATGCAGGGCTGGGGGCGGGGGGTGATCACTTCAGCAGGCACAACACACTTCACTGGCTGCGGAGGTGGAGGGGTGACTCTGGGAGCTCAGGGGCAATGGATCCAAAGAGGCTAGGGAGCTTGTGCCCTGGGAGACGGGGTACAGGGACTTTACTACCGCCTCTGCCAGCAGAGACCTGGCCTGAGACCCCATGGGCAGGGCCGCGACCCAGGACTAGAGGGGCAGGCCCTCTGCGGGCGCGAGAGCCGAGCCCGAGCCGTTGTCGGGACTGGGGCATGGAGGACTGCCAGGGGACGGCGTAGGGGTGCAGGGGGTCCCGGTGAGCGGAGTGTCGGTGCTGAGGGAAGAAGGCGTCCCGGAGGAGCGCGGGACCCTGCGGCGCCGGGCTGGCCCCAGCTCCACTTGACCCACTCGGTCGGCGAACTTGAGGGAGCAGACTGTCTCCCCGAGATCCTCCGGCCGCGTGGAGATCTGCGGGCAAGAGGCGCGGGTGGGCGGGCCCGGGTGGGCGGCGACCGGCACGCACACACCTGCCCCGCCCCGGCGCCCACCTGCAGCAGCAGCACCGCGGTGGTGCCTGGGCCCAGCGCCGGCTGCAGCAGTCGCGTGAGCTGCGAGTCGCGGAAGGGCACGTGCGGCCGGTGGGCCCGCAGTGCGGCCATCACGCCTCCTAGCGCCAGCAGCGAGCGGTTTATGGTCTGGGCCTCCCGCAGGCGCCGGGCGCCGTCTGGGTCTCCCCGCGGCGGGCCGGCCGCCCCTGCCTTCCGTGCGCGTTCGGATCCCGCCAGGTCCACCAGGTGCAGCGTGCCTAGAGGGGCGAGCGAGCCCGACATGGGGGAAGGCCGGGCCTCGGGTGCTCTGGAGACTCCGCAGGGCTCAGGCACCGGCCGTGGTACCTGCGGTGCCTGGAGCGCGCGGTGGAGACGCCGCGCGCAGCGTCAGCGTGACCAGGGCATGCGAGCGGGAGCTGCGCTGGTTCATGGCGGTGGCGGCGGTGGCCCGGTTGCTCCTCCCCAGTTTCAGCATCTGGAAGGCGGGGCGAAGGGCTGGTCAGGTGCAGGGTCCCCGCCCCCAAGTGGAAGCACGGGGCGGGGTCTCGGAGAGCGGTGCAGCCCTACCTGGTGCAATGTCTCCAGGTTGGGCACGTCCCAGTGGGTGAGGCCAGCCACCTGGATCCCGCCCTGGCCTTCTGGGCCCTGCCTCACGGCCAGGCGCTCGGGAGGCCCTGGAGCAAGGAGGTCCCTGGTGAGAAAGGGGAAGGTCTTGGTTCCAGAATTCTCTGGAAATCCGGAAGGGCCCTGGGCCAGGGGTGGGGAGAAGGCCTCCCTGGTGGAGTAGCCCACCTGACAGCCTCATTGTAGATCTCCACCATGCTGAGTGTCACCCGGTGCTGCCGGCCGGCCCCCATCTCCCGGAACAGCGACTGCAGCGCCCTAGGAACTATGCCGGGGTCCTCAGGAGGGCCCTGAGGATGGGGTGGGGTGCACACCGGGCTCACATCCAAGTCATGCAGGGCCCCTGGGGCCTCTCCCACTGGGGCGTGAGCTCTGTCCCACCTCCATGCTGTAGGTCTTCCCGGTGCCTGTCTGGCCATAGGTGAAGATGCAGACGCTGTAGCCTCGGAGGCAGGACAGCACCGCAGGTTCCAGCTCTCTGAAGACCTGCGGGAGGCGGGAGAATGTGTTTTGAGTCCTCCCCACGTTGCCTGTTTATGCCCTATTTGGTGGGGTGGGGAGTGCCACGAAGGCAGGTGTGAGCAGAGCCTAGTCTCCTGGGAGGATGGCTCTAAGGGACCATGGGGGAGGGTGTGTCCTACAGAGACCCTCTGTCTCCCTAGAGAAGGTGGTGCTTGCAAGAATTTGCCAGGCAAAGAAGGGAAAAGACACAATGAGAAGAGGAACAGCCTATGCAGAGGCTCTGGAGTCCTGAAGACCACGTAGGAGACCTGGGGACAGCAGTTAAGAGCGCAGGTGTGGTGTCCTTAATGTGGAAGCCAACGTGAAAAAAAGAAAAATAAATCCCAGCATTTTGAGAGGCCAAGGAGGGTGGATTGGTTGAGCTCCGGAGTTTGAGACCAGCCTAGGCAATACGGTGAAATCCCGTCTGTACAAAAACTACAAAAAAATTAGCCAGGCATGGTGTTGCACATCTGTGGTCCCAGCTACTCGGGAGGCTGAGGTGGAAGGATCTCTTGAGCCCAGGAAGCAGAGGTTGTAGTGACCTGAGATTGCACCACTGCACTCCAGCCTGATGACAAAGTGTGACTGTCCAAAAAAAAAAAAATACATATACATATATATGTAGTAAAAAATTTTAAAAATGTTTAAAAGAGCCCAGATGGGCTGGGCGAGGTGGCTCACGCCTGTAAACCCAGCACTTTGGGAGGCCAAGGCAGGCAGATCACAAGGTCAGGAGTTCAAGACCAGCCTGGCAAACGCGGTGAAACCCCTGTCTCTACTAAAAATACAAAAATTAGCCGAGCATGGTGGCACGCACCTGTAATCCCAGCTACTTCGGAGGCTGAAGCAGGAGAATTGCTTGAACCCAGGAGGCGGAGGTTGCAGTGAGCCGAGATCACACCACTGCACTACAGCCTGGGCAACAGAGTGGGATTCCATCTCAAAAATAAAGAAAAAAAAAAGAGCCCAGATGTTGGGGCGTGACTGCACGGTTCAAACCTGGGTATGATTGGAGCTTACTCATTGGCCTTCCTGTGCCTCACTTTCCCCTGAGAGATAAGGGCTGCAGTGGCACCTGCTGTGAACACTTGTGGCAGTGCACCTAGAGGGCCGGCCACACCAGTACCTGGCTCACAAGGCGTGACCCCAGGAAGGGCCTGCAGGTACGGGGGATGGTGGCCAGCCAGGCCTGCTGGAGCCCAGGCACAGACAGGTGCTGAGAGAGACACAAGGTTAGGACATTCACCCCATTGGCACTGGACACCAACAGTCTTTTGAGCAACAACATGGCTGGCTTTTATGCCCAGAAGGTCGCTGCTAACAGGGTGGGCTGTCAGCTCTGTTTGAAGACAGCCACAAGGCTAGAATCTAGAATTCTGTGTTCTGTGTGGTCACTGAGGTTCCATGATTGGATGGAGGTGGCACTGAGGATGACATTCAGGAGCACATCATGGCACCACTGCAGAAACAGGAACACAGATGAGGGGCTTGTCCACAGATGCCTTTGGTTCAGACACATTGACTGAGAGGACCCTGTCCAGGACGGCTGTCCAGAGGACGGTGCACAAGGCATGCCCTGCGCAGTGCTGCAGTGTGGGGTGGGGCTAAGGCCAGAGGGATGTGTGGGATGAAGGAAGAAGTGGTTGGAAAAGAGGCAATCAGGGTGACCCTGGCCACCTGCTGGGCAGTCGTCCCCCTGTCCCTGTGAGGCTGGCAGGCAGCCTGGTTGGGAGTCGCTGCCATTCTGCCCCTTACCTAGTCTCCCCTGGCTCTGAGCTGCCATCTCCTTAGCTATGGGAGCTGTAGCAGCAAAGGGCATGTGCAGATGAAAACGTGTGTGAAAGTGGGGTGGGCTGGGGCTGAAGCCCCTGCTTTTCCACAGGTGTCTGGCAGGAAAAGGGTGGGGAAGGAGAGTGGGATCCAGGCAAGGCAGAGAGAGCACACTAAGACTAGAAGGTTGCCTCCTCACCCACGGCCCCCACCACCCACCGCCTGCCTTGGGGCCATAAAGCAATGAGGGGCCCTCATAGCTGGGCAAACCCTGGACCCCAGCAAAGGGGAGTGGGCAGGCAGTGAAGCCTGGGAGGAGGAGGCACCAAGCTGGGCTGCCTGCCCTGCTTCCCAGCCCCCTCGGTTCCCTTTCCTTCCTGGCTAGAGCCCAGCCACCCTCTCTCCTCCAGGTGGACACCCAGACTGGGAAGGGGAAACTGGAGCCTCTCCTGCTCTTCAGGGAACTCTGAAAAAGGGTCAGGATGGCTGCAAAGGCAGGCTGTCACCTCCTCCTGGCTGGCGTCTGGAGGGAAGACCCAGTCTAGGCGGAATCGACGATGGCGCCCCCGGTAGCAGGTGGTGACGGTGCCCCCTGGGCCAGGCTCCACACTCACAAGGCTAGAAGATGTCCCTGGCCTCAGCCGACACAGCACACGGATATTTCCTGCAGTGGGGATCAGGTCAGCATAATGCCTCGCAGACCCTAAAGCACAGAGAAGCTGCACTTCTTCCAGCCGCCCTCCCTGCCCCGCTAGGCTCCCAAGCCTGTCATACCCTTGAGTTCTGGCAGCCGCCCTGGGCATCCGGCTGGGGGCCCTTGCTGCCCCTCAGGGAGCTGAGTGCCAGGCCCTCCAGATGACAGTGCCCCCAAGGCCCAGGACACCTGAGGGAACAGGGATGTACAGAAGGCAAGGGGTCAGCCAAGGAGCTGCGGAGGTGGGGGGTGGGAGGGTCCTGAGAGCAGCAGGGAGCCCCCACAGGCCCGCTCAGCTGTGCTAAGCCACAACTTTCAGTGGCTCTGGGCCCCTGGGGACATCATTGAGTAACCCCAGGATAAAGCCCAGGAATGACAGGCAGGAACACCACATCATCTGTCTCCTCCGTGCTTCTGGGCAATGCTTTAAGAGTTTACTGTCAACCAAGTATGCATAGAATTAAAATAAGGCCCAGAAGTGGAATCCCACCCTGGGTCACACAGAAGCTGTTTGGGTTCCAGAGCCCCACTTATTAGTACAGCCAACTCCCCAGGAACGCCCCCGTCAAAAGAACAGTGAATAGGCTGCCCAGAGAGGAGGGGCTAGGCGGGGAGGGGTCCTGACCTGGCCCCGGGCCTCACTCAGCGAACCCTGACAGCTCTGGGTAAAGGTGCTGACCAAACCTCGGAGGTCCCCGCAGCCCTGACGCAGGCTGGCCATCCGTGCCCGAAGTCCTGGAGAGGGAAGTCTGTTGGAAGGGAAGGCCCAGCCTCCAGGGCCTCCCATGAGCCCCAACCCCAACCCTTACCTGCCAGCTGCCCATGCATCTGCTGTAGCTCACGCCTGCAGTTCTGCTCCGTCTCCTGCTGGAGCTGCTGGAGGGCCCCTTGAAGGCCCTGCAGCTGCACCTCCTGCACCCCCAGCTGCCCCGCCCAACCCCACCCCTGTCACTGAGGAAACAGGCACTTACCAGGCCCTGCCTCAGATAAGCCCCTCCCAAAACCCCAGCCCGCCTCACCCCTGAGCCATGGATCCCTGGGCCCCATGCCCACCTGGGCTCGGAGGGCTTCTGTGGTGTCTTGGGCCTCCTGAAGCCGGCCCTGGAGCTCTAGCAATGCCTCTGCCTCCTCCTGCGGGAGGGTGGGGGCCAGGAGGGACTCAGAGAGGGACGGTCTGTGGTACCATTTCACAGATGGGAAAGTCAAGTCAAGAGGTGGGCAGAGCTGGCTGTGAACCCATGCCTCCCAGCTCCACGCAGACCTCCTTCCCACAGTCCCTCTGCTCTCCTGGGGTCAGCCACTCAGAGGGGCCACGGAGAGGGGGGTCTTCCCATTGGCATCAGCCTCCCTGATGGGGCTGCCCTACACAGACCATCCCGGGAGGTCCTGAGGAGGCTCGGGCCCTGTGGCTGCATGCCAGGTGTGCAAGAGCCCCAGGCTGCAGGAACGGCTGCAGCTCGGGAGCAGAGTACCTGCGGAGCCCTGATGGGGGGCCCGGGGCCCCAGTGCAGCAGGAGGTCCCGCATGAGACTCAGGCTCTGCTTCAGGGCCTCGTTCTCCAGAGTCAGATGCTGAACCCTTTTCTCTGAGTCCGTCGCCCCCTGGTGGAGAGGAAACCTCGGCACTCACCTGAAGCACCCCCTCCATGCCCGGCCCTGCCAGGTCTCCCTGCAGCCTCACCACGCCCAGGCGCAGTCGACCCAACTCCTCCTCCTGCTGTTCCAGCTGCTGCTTCAGCTCCTCCAGCTGGGGAGAAGTAAGAGAGACAGGGTGGACCTCCTTTTTCTGGCGTCCCAGCCGGCAATCCCTTCTGGCTCCAGGGACCTCACCTGTCCCAGGATGAGCTGCTCCAGCCGCTGCCACGCCCTCTGATCCTCCTCCAACTGGAGGGGCTGCTGTCCCTGGGTCTCATCCCCCAGTGGCTCGCCTGGGACTGCGGTGAAGTGGGAAGGGCTTTCTTCTTGGGATGTGGATCCTGGAGTAGGGTGGGCCCAGTTAGCACTGAAGAGGTCTCTAGTCCAAATCTTCCGGAACATGACCCCGAACTCCAGGCCGCCCAGGTTCTACCGGGATTTGCTCCCTCCAGAGTTCTTCTTCAACTTACTGTCCTTTACTCACCATCTGGAGAGGGGGGCCGGACCCGAGGGGCTGGCTGAGTCCCCTGGAGCAGGGCCTGCCTCCCCCTGGGGCTTCGAAGCCATGCCAGAAGGGCCAAGAGCTGACTGGTCACTGTCAACAGTGAGGGGACCTCGCCAGACTGCGAAGGAGACAAGAATCCGAGCAGGGCTGTGAAAGCCAGGAAGGCCGGGGCAGGTGGTACCTGCCAGCAGCCCCCTCCGCCGCGCTCACCTGGCCCAGGTCCGCCGGGCCCCCGCAGCTCTCTTCCGCCCCCAGCTGGACGGAGAGGAACTCGGCGAGGCGCAGTAGGGCCTCTTCCAGGGACACCGCGGCCGCGCGGCCCTCGGCTGCGCCTTCCGACCCATCCTCAGGCTCGGAGCTGGCTGCCGGTCAGGGAGGAGGGCGGGAGACATTTCGGGTCACGTGCTTGAGCCAGGCCTCCGCCCCTCCCTGGGAGGTCCCGGCACCGCCCTCGCACCGCGGGACTCCCAGCCCGCACCTACCGGCCAGGCCGGTCAGCTCGGTCCACAGCTCTGGCGCGGGCAGGTCTGGGCGCCGGCGACCCCGGGGCTTGCGGGCTCTCTAGGGAGGGGGCAGGGGCGCCCCTGAGGAGGGGGGCAGGCAGCCTGCTGGCCCCTTCCCTCCGCGAACCGGGCCGGAGGATTGGGGCCGAAGTCTACGCTTCCAGCATCGGGGCCGAGCCGAGGGTCCTCGGCACGGCCCCGTCGCCCCGCGCCCCGTGCCCGCCCCCGCCCCGGGAACCTCGGCGTGGGGGTGGGGCAGGCGGCGGGAGACGACGGGCTGCACGGCCAGCCCCGCTCACCTGGGCGGGGTCCCCGGGCTCCGCGGCCGCCGCGGCGCCACCATCCCTGCGGAAGAGGCTGTAGAAGATGTAGATGAGCAACGAGTAAAAGGCGTACATGGGAGCGCGGGGCGGCAGAGGGCCCCGCTTCGCGCCGCCCCGCGTCCCCGCGCCCAGACTCGGCGCCCGCCCGCCGCAGTGCCGGTGCGCATGCTCGCGACGGCCGCCCCCACGGCCCGGCTCCCACGGCTGGAAGGCGAGCGCGGGGACGGGGGTACTAGAAACAGGTGCCCGCGGCCGCACCTGGAGACCCGCCGTTTCTCACGGCGCCGCCCGGCGCGCCCCAACCCCTACACCGCGGACACCGGGCTGAGAGCGCCCACGGCTCCCGCGACCCTCCTCTCGGAATCCCTCCCACCCTCCGCGTAGTCCCCCACCGCTCCGGTTTCGCGGAGCCTTCAACACGCCGGGGTTCTCCTTCCTCTCCCTACAGCCCCGCCCATCTCAGCCCCGCCCATCTCAGCCCCGCCCAGACCCCCCCTCCTCGCAGCCCCGCCCAAACCCCGTTCCTTGCAGCCTCGCCCAGGCTCCTCCCCTCTCGGTCCCTCTCAGTCTCGCCCAGACCCCTCTCCTCGCAGCCCCGCCCAGGCCCCGCCCCTCGCAGCCACGCCCAGACCCCCCCATCGCATCCTCGCCCAGGCCCCGCCCCACCCAGGCCCCCTCCCTCTCAGACCCGCCGCTCTCAGCCCCGCCTAAACCTTATCTCCCTCAGCCCCGCCCAGACCCCCCGCCCCTCGCAGCCCCGCCCAGACCCCGCCCCTCGCAGCCCCGCCCCGGCCCTTCTCCCCTCATCACGCTCCTTCCAAACCACTATGCCCACGCACGCACCCACCCAAACAGAGCGTTTTCTGGTCCCCGAGCTCCTCCCGACCCCACCCGCTCCTACGGCCTCCAACCGGCCCCCCCCAGGTCTCGACCCTCTCCCCCAGGCCTCGACCCTCCCCCCCCAGCCGCTCTAGCCCCGCCCGGCCGCTCTAGCCTCCGCTCCTCTCGCTGGTGGAGGTTCCCGACCGCGCTCGCTCCCGCAACTGGGGGCACGGCAGAGGAGGCAGGGCCGACGGCGGTGGGCGGTGCGTTGCGCAGGCTCGGGCCTCCCGCTCGCCGCTGCGTTGGGACCGCGCAGCCCGGTAACTGCGCACGGCTGGCCTCCCGGAGTCCTGCGCCGTCGCTCCTCCTGGACCCGGGTTCCCAGGACAACGCCTCCCGGAACGCAGGGAGCAGGCCGAGGCCGCCGCGTGGGCCTGCAGCGCCTCGCCGCTCTCTCTTCCCCAGGCCCGCACTCCCACTTGGGCTCCAGGGCCCCAGGGCTGACGTTCCCCCCAGCTTAGACCCTGAGTCGTTTTCCCCCGTTTCCCGGCTGAATTAGGTTCTTCTTCTCCACAGGTGTGTGCAGTGGCCTCAGGGATCCGGAAAGTCTAGGACTGAACTTCTCCTAACATCCAGTAATGGGGACCTGGAACCTGGGCTTACTAGAGTGCCGCGCGTAGGGCTCCAGGTCGCTGGCTTCTGCGCTTCCTTCCTCTCCAAAGTTGAGTATCTCCTATCTGTGTCCTCGTACATACTGCCGCCTGAGGTGCCATGGCCCCCAAGCCGGGGGCCGAGTGGAGCACAGCCCTGTCCCATCTGGTGCTGGGAGTGGTGTCTCTGCACGCAGCCGTGAGCACAGCCGAGGTGAGTACACTGGGGCTGAGCAGGGGCGCATCCCCATACCTCCCAAACCCCAAGGACCTAGTTTCCTGAATTAGAGAGAGGTTGGTGGGAAGTGCGTCTAAGACCAGGTCTCCATGGAAGCCCCAAACCCTTTCCTGTTTAAAAGGGTGACCCCGGCCTCTTTTTCCCACGTGTTCTCCCTTCCCTGTGTTGACAGGCAAGTCGAGGGGCTGCTGCTGGCTTCCTGCTCCAGGTCTTGGCTGCCACCACCACGCTGGCCCCAGGGCTGAGCACACACGAAGACTGCCTTGCTGGAGCCTGGGTGGCCACCGTCATCGGCCTTCCCCTTCTGGCCTTCGATTTCCACTGGGTGAATGGGGACCGCTCCTCTGCCAACCTGCTCCTGGGAGGAGGCATGGTGCTGGCAGTGGCTGGCGGCCACCTCGGCCCTGAGGGCCGCTCTGTGGCTGGTCAGGCAATGCTGTTGGTGGTCGCAGTGACCATCCTCATTGTAGCTGTCTTCACGGCCAACACTTATGGGATGTGGGGGGGGGCGATGCTGGGTGTGGCAGGCCTCCTGAGCCGGCTGGAGGAGGACAGGCTGCTGCTGCTACCGAAGGAGGATGTCTGTCGCTGGGCCTTGGCTGTAGGCAGCTGGGCTTACTGCCGGGCCCTGCATACACAGCGCCTCCAGTGGGAGTGACAGTTGGATACAGCCAGGCAGGGTTTCTGCCCTGCCGAACACTTTCCCTCCCACCTGCCTGCTCCTGGCGCCTTCTCCCTAGGGGTAGACTCTTCTGCCTACTGAAGTGGGTTTGCTGCACATTGACTGGTCAGGGGCAGAGTCTGGGTGCTGTCCTTTGGCCACGTGTGGGGACTTGTCTAGACCAGAATGAAAGGGACAGGGTCCCAGACACGTTTGGGGGTCCTGATTCTGGGCTGGACACGGTTGTGGATCCAGAGAAGAGGCCTAGTCTCCAATAAATCTTAGGAATTTTGCAGGAATATGAAAACTGCCCATTTTTGAGAGGGATTGAGGGATCTTTCAGTGAGCTTCCTAAGGCCCCTCAGGACAGTAGTCAGTTACCCTGACAGGGTATGTGCTGGAACTAGGATGGGGTCTCATGCAGCCCGGCCTCCTTTTGACTATTGTCAGGAAGACCCCTGGGCTGAGAAGACATAGCCCTGGGCCCTTACTCTCCAGGGACATGGTGGAGTTCCAGATATCCTGGCCTGGCCTGGCAGGTGGCCCTCTGGGGCAGTGACCTTCAAGAACTGAAGAGTAGGGTGGAGGCAGGGGAGGGCTGTACCACAGGCGTTTCGAGAAACGCACATCCTTCCCAGAGCTGATTCGCCCTCCTGTGTACCTCCGGCCTGTGGAAGCCAGCCCTATTCCCTAATACCTTCGTTTTCCTCAGTGGACCCCTTCAGTCTCCAACCCCAGGGTTAGAGGGGGTTCGGACGAGCAGAGGATTAGATTCCGGTGGGTTAGGGGTCTGGAGTCCCCTCTCCTGGAAGTCTCTCCGCTTGCTCCTGTGGAGACCTAAGGGGTCCCGCACCCGACAGAGAGGGGTGGCCGGCGGGATTTTTCACTTGTGTCCTTCCCCTGCGGGGAAGGGGGCGAGAGCCCCTAACACAAGCCTGAGTCTTGGGGGACAGAGACACAGGCACACCCCGCCGTAGGGGTCGGCGGCCGCCACTGGCTCGTGGAGCGTGGGTGCCGCGCCGGCGCCACAGCTCGCGTGGGCCTCCCTGCCCCCAGGTGCGAGTCCCTCCGCGACTCTCGCAGGCCGCGCCCCCTCCCCGCCCACCTTCTGCAGGGGCGGGCCTTCGGGGGCCCTCGCTCTCCCATTGGCTCTAGTCCCTGCGCTTTCTTGCCCCAAGCGGCGCTCCCATTGGCCCCGCGTGGGGCTCACGTGACGGGGAAGACGAGGGGGTGGTGGCGGCGGGGCGGGGGGAAGCGCACAGCGAAAACAAAGATGGCGGCCGTGCCGGGGTCGGTGGCCGCGGCGGCTGTGGGGCTACGCGCGGGCCGGGCCCACTGAGGCGGCGGCGCAGGGAGCGGGGCTGCGGGTTCGCGGCGGCGGCGGCAGGAGAGCGGCGGGAGCGCGCGGCGCCCCTAACTTCTAGTCGGGGGAGCGCGCCGGCATCCGCCCGCCGGGCCGGCCGGCCGCTATGTCCGGCGCCGAGGAGGCCGGCGGGGGCGGCCCGGCCGCGGGGCCCGCGGGCTCCGTGCCGGCCGGGGTCGGGGTCGGGGTCGGAGCCGGGCCCGGGGCGGCCGCCGGGCAGGCGGCGGCGGCGGCTCTGGGCGAGGCGGCGGGGCCTGGGCTCCCGGACGAGGCGGGCTTGGCGGGCGCCCGGCAGCTACAGCTGCAGGAGGCGGCCGGCGACCCCGACGCGCCGCCCAAGAAGCGGCTGCGGGCAGCCGAGGCGGCCGAGGCGGCGGCGGCGGCGGCGGCGGCCGGCAGCGGGAAACTGGAGGAGCGGCTCTACTCGGTGCTGTGCTGCACCGTGTGCCTGGACCTGCCCAAGGCCTCCGTGTACCAGGTAGGGCCGCCGGCCGACCCCGACCCGGCCCAGCCCGGGGCTGCAGCCCCCGCCGCGGGGCCCCAGGATCCGCGTCTCCTCGGAGGCCAGGCCTGCGGGGCCCGGCGGCCGGGAACCCTCTCTGGCCCTTACAGCCACTTCCTCGCCCAGCGGGGCTCCAGCGGCTGCTCCGAAGCTCCTCGTTGTCTTTCTCTCAGGGCTTTATTTTCCGCTCGGGACCCCCCTTTTCTGTTTTCTGATCCACGGTACTTCCCGATCTGAATCGCTTGTCTTCCGCTTACCTCTCCCTTCTTTTTTCTAGACTTCCCCACGGTCCCCTGAACACTCTCCCAACCCACAGCCTCAAACTGATCCTTAGCCCGCAACTGCTCCCCGCAACCCACCCGGTCCCAAGCTCCCTGGGCTCAGAGTCCTGTGCTCGAGAGCTCCTTCCCCATTCTTCCGGCAGCCACACCCCCGAGTTTGTCCCTCCACTCCTGAACATCCTATGGACGCCTCCTTTTCTACCCTCCTGGGTGGAAGAATCCTTTCTCTTGGTCCATTTCCAGTTCATCCTGAAGAACAGTAAGGAGAGGGGATTGCTGTTTGTCGGGATGAACCATTTGCAACAAGCCCCACAGTTTGGGTACCTTCTCCAGTCCCAGCCAAACCCCACATCCAACTGGACTTGCCATGCCCCACGCTAGGCTCCTGCCCACCTCACCCAGGCCAGGCCAGGCTTCCTAGGCAGCCAGTGCTCCAGGAGCCGGCCCACCCCTCCTCCCCCATCTTCACATCCGCATGGCAGTGGGACTCAGCCCTTAAGCAGCCTAGGGCTGTTAGGGTACCTGGCCCAGGTGGGTTTGACATGCCCTTTCCCAGGTAGCAGCAGGGACAAACTGGTTGACACCCAGAGGCAGAGTACAGTGTCCCCACCTTCCCTGTGTCTTTCCCTCTCTTTCAACTCCCCAGTCCCTGTGAGAAATGAAGCAGGTTCTCTGTCAGCTTTCTTTACACTTACAGGAGCTGGAAGTAGCTAATGGGGCCTTGTTTCCCTGCTTGTGTTTGAATTGGGGGCCTGGATGAGGAGCTACTTTTGTAGCAGGTGGTGTAGGGCTAGTCTAGGTTGCCATTTCTCCAAACTCTGGATCTCCAAGTCCTTCTTGCTGTGGCATGACCTTGTCGGGAGGACCCCAGTGTGCCTGGGTGGGGAGAGGGCACTGGCTCTAACCCACCCTCCTGGGTGTCAGGCACCAGGGCCAGCTAGGGGAGCACTTTTCAGAGCCACTGGCTCCCAGAGTTAGCAGTTACTCCTTGGCTTTGGCAGTGCCTCAGCTTCCAAGATGTGCCCACTCTCCAGCTCCTTTTTCCTGGCTCACAACCTTCGATCCTCCCAGGCGGAAGAACTCTCCTTTTTTTTGAGACGGAGTCTCACTCTGTCACCCAGGCTGGAGTGAAGTGCCACGATCTCTGCTCACTGCAACCTCCGCCTCCCGAGTTCAAGCAATTCTCCCTACCTCAGCCTCCCGAGTAGCTGGGATTACAGGCGCCTGCCACCATGCCCGGCTGTTTTTGTATTTTTTAGTAGAGACGGGGTTTCGCCATGTTGGCCAGGCTGGTCTCGAACTCCTGACGTTGGGTGATCCGCCTGCCTCGGCCTTCTGAAGTGCTGAGATTACAGGCATGAGCCACTGCGCTTGGCCAGAACTTTTTCTTGGATCTCGAGGGAGACTCCAACAAGCCAAGCCAATGGTGTGAGGCCACGGGGGAACAGGGAAGTCTCCTTGTCTCCCCATTGGTGGGTGGGCTGGAGCTGTAGCTGGACCTGGTGGTGATGGGCCACATGGTACTGGTCCCTGGTGCACTGCATCCCCCATCTAGACTGGCCCGGCACAGAGTGATGGCTCTGCTTCTGACCGGAGCTCCTGGTGACCAGGCCTCTGAGCCTAGCTGGTTCAAACCGGCCTGCACTGTGCAGAGTGGAGTTCTGCTCTGGGCGGCCAGAGGCAGGGAGCTGAACAGGTGTAATGGAGACCGAAGGCGCTGGGGCTGCCCTGGCTGGTGGCCCTCCCTGGCCTGGGGGCTCTGTTCAGTGACTTCCCTGGGAACAGAGCAGCTGAGCGAGGAGTGCTGTGGGCACAGGCCTCCCTGAATGCTGCGAAGAACACCTCCGGCGGGTGGCTCTCGGCTGTGAGTGGTGCCCCTGGAAGGTCAACACAGACCTGGAGACCTGGGCTCTGGCCTGCTCTGCTCCCTGGAGAATCTGGGCACAGATGGTGTGGGCCCCCACATGCTGCCTTCTGCGTGTCCCTGGTTGGGCCCATGCTGGCCATCACCCCAGCTTGGGTTCAGTCTACCATATTCTACTAGCTTTCCTTGGTGACCACGTTGATTGGCTGTCTCGAGCCAGCCAGTGTCAGGAATGCAGCAGGTTCCACCCTCTGTTCCTGCTAGAACGCTTTTCCTGACCCCAGCAGAACACATGGCTCAGGGTGGGCACCAGCCAAGCTGGGGGCTGACTTAGACAGTCCCTGACTCTGGTGAGAAGAGGGGAGTGGCCATGCTGAGCTTTGTGTGTTCTCCCTGGCACTGGGGCTGTGGGGGACAACTCCATGGGCCTCTGGAATTGGCTGGGTCCTCAGTAACTCGAGAGCTTGTCATCCAGATACCAGATGCCACCAGTGCTGGCAGGGAAGCCTCGGGTGGTGCCCCAGGTCTGAGCCTTTGGGCCTGCAGGGCCAGCTGACCCATGGGCCTGTGCCCGTACGATGATGCCTCACAGGCTGGGAAACCTGCTTGGGTGTCAGACTGAGGCCCTCATGCAAAAGGTTTCCGCCACCGCCGAGTCCTGCCTCACGTCAGGTTGGGGCTGCAGCCAGTACAGCAAGACTCAGCTTTTATGTTCTCTGTGTGGGTGTTAGATATGTTCTGGGGGACTGGCCTGACAAGGTGTGCAGCCACCTTCTGGAGTCTCAGGTGGGTGGCAGGAGGGCTGGTGGGGCAGCAGTTACACCTGTGCAGGAGCTTCTGGCCTGACCAGGCCGCGCAGGTGGTCAGGTCGTTCCTGCCGGCTCCCTGCTCTGCGGCCCGAGGGCAGTGTGGCCTGTTGGCACCTCTGCCCATGGGGCACCTCCTCTGGGAAGAGACAGCCTCAGCGGTGCCCGGGACGTTGCAGCCGCAGCCTCATCCCTGACTTCTCTCCCTCCATTTTGGCCCTTCAGACGAGGCCCAGTGTGATGCTGCGTAAGACAGACCTGGCCCTGACCCTTCCTGCTGCTGTCAGATGAGGCCCTGGGCCTTGGTGCTGGCACCTGGAGGAAGGGACTGCGCATTGTTCCCACCCCTCATGGGGCATTCTTAAGGCAAAAACGGGCTCACTCGGGTGTAAGTGCCGGGCAGGGGCCTCTCACAGATGTGGTCCAGCCGCTCCCTCTAACTCGGCCCTGCACAGTGCCCTGCCATTCCCATGCTCTCCTGCCTGAGGTGTCCTCTCCCTGCCCCTGCCCACCTCTTGGGCCCGGCAGAGGCAGCGCCCCCACTTTGAGACTTTGTTCTCTCCTTGCTACAAGGATCCCCTCCTGCCCCATCTGACCAGGGTGTGTCCACTCTGTTCTGTGGGTGGGTTGGTGTGTGCCGTGGCCCTCCCGCCTGTAGCGCCCATGTCTCTATGCCACATGTTGACAGTCCATTGATAACAGCCCAGGAAGCAGAGATGGCTCCTCTCTGCCCGAGCCCCACACCCCCAACCAGGCCAACAGTGTGCAGTCCTGGGGGGGTGGAGTCACCATCCACATGTCCAAGGAGCTTCGGGCCCCTCTTCCCCAGTCTCCTGGGCAGCAGTACAGGACTGCAGCTGACTCGTTCTTTGAGGTGAGGAAAGTGGCAGAAAACATCTTTGTAAATACGTCTGCTTAGGTATCTAAAACACAGGAGCAAGGAAGATGTTCTGGAATCTCTGGCTAGTTGGAATTTTTGTTTTCTGTGGTGGTTATCATTTGAGTTACTTTTAGATCTAAGCAGCCTTGTTCTGAATGTGGGCCCGACTCTGGGGATTGATTGGCCACCGTTTGAGGTCTGACAGCAGTAGCAGGTGAGGGACTTCAAATCCAGCCTGGGTGGAGGGTTCGAGTCCTGGCTTCATGCTTAACAGCTGTGCGGCCTTGGACAACGTGCCAGTCCCTCTCAGACCCATGTTTGATTCGGGAGGTTAGGGGCCGAGCACGCGGGGTGCATGGGGTGTGCCCTGAAGCACCACTGGCCCTGGTGAGGCCTTGCCTGCATGCAGATGGCAGAGGAAGGGGGACCTCCAACTGGCTGAGCAGCGCTTTTGGGGTTTGTGCCACAGGGAAGCCCTTTGGCTGCATTTTGGCTCTGACGACCTCTGTCAAGGGCCTGTGGGTCCCTGACCCCTGGGTGAGCGAGGGCACTGCTCCCATGGGCCTGGGCACTGTGCCATCCTCCAGTGGCAAACAGGAGGTCCCCAGGGTCTGAGAGAACCATGCAGTCCAGGTGTGAAAGGGGTCCTACAAGGTCAGCTGACCATAGAGACCTTGGGACCACCAGGAAATCGTGGGGGCCCTCAGCCAGGGGATGGGGTCAGGGCTCCTTGAGCCTGTTCCGCCCATCTAGCTCCCCTTTAACCCCAGGGAAGAAGTAGCTCAGGTGGAGACCCTGGGTCTGCATGGGGGTCACGTGAGCTGCCTGTAGCCAGCAGGGGGGAGGGCTGGGTGCTGTCCTGAGGATGCAGGTGCAAATGGCCATTTCTGGGCCACCTGTGTGTATCAGCATCTGCAGAGGGGCCTGGGGTCTGGCTCCTGGGGTTGGCAGCCCCAGGGGCTCTGCCATGGCTGCCCAAGGTGGTGATATTTCCTGTCTGCCTGTTGGGTGTGGGGCAGTGCCACCCTGTCCCATCCCACCTCATCAGCACAGAATGAAGCTGGTCCTATACTCATCACCTGTGCACATGAGGAAACTGAGGCCCCAAGAGGGGAGCCCAAGGTCATATTACTGGGGATCTGTGGGCTGGCGTCTGAGCCCAGCACTGTGGCTTCAAGCCCACATCTGCCCTAGGAGGGCCCAGGAGGCCCTGTGATGTCATTCCCCCGTGATGTCATTCCCCCATGACATCATTCCCCTGTGATGTCATACATGTGACGTCATTCCCGTGCTGTCACCACATGATGTCATCCCCTGTGGTATCACCTCTGTGATGTCAATACCTCTTTTAATGTCATCCCCATGGTGTCATTCCCCCCATGATGCCATCCCCCCATGATGTCAGTCCCCCATGATGTCAATTTCCCACAATGTCATCCCCTGTAATGTCAATACTCCCTTTGATGTCATCCCCGTAATGTCATCCCCTGTGATGTCATTCCCTCATGATGCCAGTGTGATGTCATCTCTGTGATGTCATTCCGTGATGTCACCCCCCATGATGCAATTCCCCTGCAATGTCATGCCCCTGTGATGTCATCCCCCGGTGATGTCATCCCCCCATGTGATGCCAGTCTCCCATGATGTCCCCCCTGTGATGTCATTCATGTGACATCATCCCGTGATATCATTCCCGTGATGTCTCCCCCATGATGTCATTCCCCATGTGATGTCAATTTCCCACGATGTCACCCCTCTGACATCATCCTCTGTGATGTCTCGCCCATGATGTCATCCCCCATGGCGTCATTCTTGGTCGTGGGGGGTTGTGGATCCCCTCCTCTCCCCTCCCTTGGGGTCTTCCTGGCTGGTGGGGAGAGGTGGCCTGGCCTGGGTGCCACAGCAGCTGCTCTGGAAGGTGCCCGGGCTCTTGGGGGCCTTGGCCCACGCCATCCCCTGGACTGTGCGGCGCCCTCCAGGGCCCAGCTTCTGTTGGGTGTTGGGCACAAGTCAGAATCAAGTGCATCTGGCCAGATGCTGCCAGGGCCAAGGATGCAGCTGCCTGTGGCCTGGCCTTGGTGTAGAGCCAGAGTCTTGCGCAGGGGCTGAGGGGACCCAGATGGTGGGGAGGCTCCGGAGCATGTGACCAGGGACCGTCCTGCTGTGGACAGACCTCCTGGGCTGAGTGTTGGTCGGGACCGGGCCATGCACCTAGAGATGTCCTTTGACCAGTGGGGAGGGTCTGGGGGTGAGTGTGGCTGTGTCCCTTGGCTACTGGGCCAGTGTAGTCCAGGGCACTCTAGGGACTCCCTGTGTTCTGACTTGAATGGAGCTATTGGGGCTGAAGGGGCAATGGCCCTGTGTCTCCTCGGAGCTTGCAGGTCCTCTTGGAGGCCCAGAGAGAGCCAGAGGAGGGCAGGGTCACTGCTGCCTCCTCATGGTATGGAATTGACTGAGCCCATGCTGGGATCTGGAGGCCCCAAAGGAATGAGGCCTGTGGCCAGGGGCCGGCCCAGGAGCTGGGGTGGCTTTCGGGGGAGAGGCCCGCAGTGCTGGGAGGTAAGTGGTGATGTGCTTGGCAGCCTCAGTGCTCCCTTAGGAGGGTCTAGGACCCCACCTCGAATCTTCCTGGGCTATGCAGAGCCAGGAAGAGAGGCCAGGTGGCCTTGGTGGGTGGCATTAGATGCTCCAGCCCTGCCTGGAACTCCCTTGGGGGTCGGGCCACAGCCAAGAAGAGTGCTGTTTTGCCTGTGCTAAGGCCACTGTACGTGCAGAGCTGGACCCAGAACCTCGTCCAAGGCCCCCGGCAGTCTCACCAGGAGGTGTTTAGAGCTGGCCACGTGGAGTGGCATACCTCCGGGGGGCGGGGGGCTGTGAGAGGACAGTGGTGTGGGCCCTTGGTCTGTGCCTCCCACAGGACAGCTGCTTCAATAGCATCTGTGCCCCCTCCTGCCTGTAGTCCACCCACCACTGACCCCTGGACTTGGCTGGCGGATTTTCACACCTTCTCCTGGGGGCAGGTCTCAGCTTGTCCCCAACCCAGTCAGAGCCAGTCTCACTCCCTGCCTCAGGCAACTGTGTATGTTTTAATTTTTATTTATTTATGTATTCATGAGATAGAGTCTCACTCTGTCTCCCAGGCTGGAGTGTAGTGGCACCATTTCGGCTCACTGCAACCTCCGCCTCCCGGGTTCGAGCCATTCTCCTGCCTCAGCCTCCTGAGAAGCTGAGATTACAGGCGCTCGCCACCATGCATGGCTAATTTTTGTATTTTTAGTAGAGATGGGGTTTCACCATGTTGGCCAGGCTGGTCATGAACTCCTAACCTCAGGTGACCTGCCTGCCTCGGCCTTCCAAAGTGCTGGGATTACAGGCATGAGCCACCGCCTGTAATTTTAATTTTTAACCAAACTGAGAACTTGAGGATTGAATGCAGGTAACGGGTGGTGTTCATGTGGATGTGGATTCCATGAAAGAGGGCTTTGTCCTCACTGTCGGTTCTCCACATGTAGGTCCTTTGACTCAGCAGGCCTTAGGCCTAGTCCACAGGTGCTGAGTGAACAGCCCCAGCGTCTGACAGCTCCTTAGCTTGGGGTGCACAGGCAGCTGAAGCAGTAGGATGGCAGCTCAGACTTCCCAGGGCCCCACGTGTGCAGGGCTGGCCTCCCAGCACCACCAGGCAGGGCCGGCCTCCCAGCGCCACCAGGCAGGGCCCTGTGAGTGTCCCCTCCCTGACACACACCTTGTAGAGAGGCTGGGCCTGGGCAGGCTGCTCTGCTGCACCACATCCCATTCTCAAGAGGGTCCCAGGTCCCAAAGGAAGCCTGTAGCCCAGTGGCTTTCTGGAGGTTTGCATGGCTGGCAAGCCTGGGCCGGCTGCTGGAGAGGCATCAGGACAGGAGCAACTCTGCTGACTGCTCCCCTCAGCGAGCTCTAAGAGTCTTTGGGTGGGAGGCACATCACATCCCTGTCACTCCTGGCTGGCCCTGGAATGCCTCAGCCCACACACCCCACTCCAGCCAGGGCTGTGGGAACTGTGTCTGCTCAGGTACAAAAGGCTTTGTTTGTTCTTGGACCTCTTGGTTCTGGTCTGGGCTTCCCACCTCCCATGCTGTGAGCCCCCACGGGCTGGGACCGCAGCTTGCCATGTGTCTCTCAGTGGCACCAAGTGGACGCTCGAGGCTTATGTTGAGGGAGTGAGAGCCAGGATAGGCCACTGGGCGTGCTGGGAGCCCACACAGGCAGGGAGCCCAGCGGGAGGTGCCCTGCTCCTGCCAGCCCCGGTTACCCCAGCAGGCTCGGCACCCACTCAGAGCCCCCATTTCTGCTCCCCAGGCACTCCCTGTGTGCCTACCTGCCCTTGTCCTTGTCCTGGGCCAGCTTGGCTCCTGCCTCCCAGCTCTGAGGAGGTCTCTGCAGGTAGCCAACCTCCCTGGACGAGGGGGCAGCTGCCTCCTCTCACCTGGGCTCACCCTGAGCCAAGTCCTCTCAACCCAGGATAAATGGCCTTTCTGAAGGCCCAGAGAGCATGCCTGCCCCAGTGTGGGAGCTGCATCCGCTCCCCACCTGACAGTGATGGCCAAGAGCCCAGTGTTCCTGGAGGGCTCCCAAACTCTGGACCTGTAGGGGGGTCAGGGCAGTCGCTGGTCCCTAAGGGAAAAGCGTGACCCTCGGCCCCAGGTGGCTGAACCCGTCACTGCCAGGGCGAGCTGTCACCTCTGTGAGCTGATGAGGCCTTGCTTTTAGGACCTCTAATCTCTGCAAGAACCCAAGCTGGCTCTGCCTGTTTCTCCTGAGCAGCTCGCAGTGTTCACCACACTCCAGCACGACTCGGGACAGGCACGTGCGCCCCTCTGCACCAGCTGGAGTCCCTCAGGACACCTGGCTGGAGCTGATGGGCATGGGCGGGTGTGTGCGAGCATGAGCCCGCAGGTCTGTGAGCTTCGTCTCCCTTTCCTTCTTCGCAGTGTACTAATGGTCACTTGATGTGCGCTGGCTGTTTTATCCACCTACTAGCAGATGCCCGGCTGAAGGAGGAGCAGGCCACGTGCCCCAATTGTCGTTGTGAGATCAGTAAGAGCCTCTGCTGCCGGAACCTGGCCGTGGAGAAAGCCGTGAGCGAGCTGCCTTCAGAGTGTGGCTTCTGCCTGCGCCAGTTTCCCCGCTCCCTCCTGGAGAGGCACCAGAAAGAGGAATGCCAGGACAGGTAACTGAGGGTCAGGGGCTTAGCCTTACAGGCGGGGCCCAGGACTGCTGGGAGCCCACCCTGGTGCAGCAGGGCCCTGTGCAGGGTGGTCTGGCTGTCTCTGCTGTCTGGGCCTTGGGGACCACCTGTGTAGCCCAGTGACGGCCCTGTGGGAGGGTGCCTGCACAGGATGGGGACAGGTGGGTTTTGCACCCAGTTGTTATCCGGACATGAGCCTAGCCTTCCAGTGCTCTTTGTGGCTGTGGGGGAGCCCCTTGAAGGGCCCAGGACAGCGTGTCCAACGCAGGACCTCAGGGAGCTTGGTGTGAGGGTACACTGCCCATGGCTACCCATCCAGTGGAGGCAGCCACCAAGTCTCCTGCAGTGAGGCTGTGCAGGACCACCACTGCCAAACAGAGGAGAGAACCACGCCATGGTGCGGGGCACACAGGCTCAAGCTTGCACTCTTCCTTCCCCTCTCTCTCCCTTTTTCTGCCTGTCTCCTTTCTCTCCACATGCTGCCACTCTGACCTCATCCTGGGGGGTGGGCTCACAGTTACGTGTGTCCTGCAGGAAGGGGTTCTTAGCTGGATGGAAGCCATATGGGAGGACAGCTTGTTGCAGCCTCCTGTTCGGGGCTCAGTCTGTGAGTGATGTACCTGCCTCCCCCAGGGTAACCCAGTGCAAGTACAAACGCATCGGCTGCCCATGGCACGGCCCCTTCCATGAGCTGACGGTGCACGAGGCTGCGTGCGCCCACCCGACCAAGACAGGCAGTGAGCTGATGGAGATCCTGGATGGGATGGACCAGAGCCACCGCAAGGAGATGCAGCTGTACAACAGCATCTTCAGCCTGCTCAGCTTCGAGAAGATTGGCTACACAGGTGAGGCGCCCCGCCGCCTGCTGCATGCCACACAGGTGTGGGTTGGGGGGCTGGCAGCCAGGAGTCTGGGGGCAGCAGGCTCTGGGCACTGGGCACTGACAGCGCCGGACAGCCGGGCTCTGGACAAGCTCCCGGTGGACAGGTGGACACCTCGGTCGAGAAGACAGGCCGGAGACTGAGTGGAAGGAGGGGCCGAGGCAGACCCCAGGTGCACACCTGTGTGGCTCTCACAGCAGCCCCGCCCACCTGTCCTCGCCACCCTGGCTTCACCATCCCTGCAAGGTGGCATCTCACTGTGGGGCTCCAGAGCCTCAAGACAGTCAGGGTCTAACCAGAAAGTGGGCAGGTCTCAGGGGGCCTGGGAGCTAGGGGCCTGCCCCTCGGACCCTGGGGCAAGAAGAGCACCCTGCCGAGTGAGGTCCTACCTGCAGGCAGTCACTGCCCCGGCCATGGGCCTCTCAAGGCTGGCACGAAGCCATTCAGGGAGAGGGCTCCACAACAAGCTGAGGGTGCCCGACTCAAACTGTAGAACCGGGAGTGGACACCCACAGACGCCCAGGCTGGATGCGTGCGCAGGCACACTGGATCTCGTGGCTCTCTGGGCCGCTGCCACCGCCTTTGAACGTGTCGGGGAGCAGGAGCCAGGCCAGAGCCTGGCCCAGAGGACAGCGAGAAGCACCTGTTGATGCTGGGGCCACTGGAGGAAGCTCCATCCCTCTACTCTCAGCCCACACCAGGCGGCCAGCTCAGAGCACCAGGCGTGGCGCAAGCAGGGTGGTCGTGGGCAGCCAGTCCCGCCCTGCTGCCTGGACTGTGCCCAGCGGGATGTGGGCCCGAGCAGGCCAGAGAGGCCGAGGGCCTGGGGTCTCTGCGGCAGCCACAGCCCGTGGTGAGTAGCAGCCTTAGCTGTCCTGGAGATACCGGGGCCTCGTGGAGTCTAGGCAGGCTGGGGCACTGTGGCTGTGGCCGTGGCCAGGTGAGAAGCCCCATTCGCGCAGGAAAGACTGGCCACCTGGGAACCCACGCCTCCACGGAGGGACTTGCCGGCCACAGGCTGTGGGCTGCCCAAGAGGACTGTGCAGGCAGGGCTGCCTGCTGATTGGCAGCTCCGGATCAGGCCCGGTGCCTGCAGACCTGGTGCTCCCCTCGGGCAGGGCTGGGTGCCGCAGCCGCCTGCTGGCTTTTCTGGCAGCTCCTCTGTATCAGAACCAATAAAGTGCACTTGTTCTCGGAACCGCATCCTGTCTGTGTGTCTGCTTACCCCGCCCTGGGGGACACCCGGGGCTCGGGGCGGTGAGGGAGGCCAGCGTGGGTCGGGCACGCCTGGGGTGTGGCCTGACACGTGCAGCCTCTGGACTCTCCAGCTAATCCATGTTGATTCTGTTTGTGGTTGTTCCCCTCAAAGCTTGTGTGCACCTCCATTTGCCATAGTTGCGTTTGGCTTGCTTGTGACAAGCAGAGCCCGGTGTCCGGGTAAGTTGCCTTCCTCCCCGGCTGAGCCTGCCCTCGGCCTGGTCAGGGAAGGCGTTGCTGCCCAGCCCTGCCCACACTAACAGCCGGCTCTTTCCGGCCCTGTCTGTCTCCACAGAGGTCCAGTTCCGGCCGTACCGCACAGACGACTTCATCACGCGCCTGTACTATGAGACGCCCAGGTTCACAGTGCTGAACCAGACGTGGGTCCTGAAGGCTCGAGTCAACGACTCGGAGCGTAACCCCAACCTGTCCTGCAAGCGTACGCTCTCCTTCCAGCTCCTCCTCAAGAGCAAGGTCACGGCACCGCTGGAGTGCTCCTTCCTGCTGCTCAAGGGCCCCTACGACGACGTGAGGATCAGCCCCGTCATCTACCACTTTGTCTTCACCAACGAGAGCAACGAGACGGACTACGTGCCACTGCCCATCATTGACTCCGTGGAGTGCAACAAGCTGCTGGCTGCCAAGAACATCAACCTGCGGCTCTTCCTGTTCCAGATACAGAAGTAGGGCGGGGCCTCAGGATGTCCGAGGAGCCCACGGGCGGCATCCCAGCACCGCTGCCCTGTCCACCTGGCTGGCAGCTGCTTCACAGGACTATCTGATCACTTTAGCAAAGGAGGAGAACAAACGAAGCCAACACAGGGCAAGTCTGCATGCGTGCGCGACGGGGCCCCCGCCTCCGGCTCACCCCCCCGACCCCTGCCTCCCCTCCTTCCGAGGGCCGCCAGAGGCTGGGCTGACCCGAAGAGGAGACGGTGCACCAGGCGCCCCGAGGCTCAGAGACGGTGGCAGCAAGGAGGCCGAGAGGCACAGCGACCCTGCCCCAGCCCTTCTGTGCAGTCAGGCGGCGGTGCTGCTCCATCCCTGCGGGTTCCGGCGGGGCGCGGGGGCCTTGCTGACATCAGACGGGATATCCGAATATCTGATAGCAATTAAAAGGCAGCCTTGTTTCGTACTTTCTGTTTTGTTCGAGGGGAAGGCATGGCTGTGAATGGACAGCGTGGGGGCTTTGGTTTGGCCTGGGGGTCAGAGCCTGCCCCGCCCCCATCTGTGTGCCCGCACACGTCCCCCGAGGAAAGACTCAGAGACACTGCCTCCCCCTACACTCTGTCATGGGGTCTTGAGACTGAGGCTTGGGCAGGAAGATCCAGGTAGGGTCGGGGCTGCCCTGGCCAACCGGCCGCTCCCAGGGAGACAGGACTCAGCCACCAGGGCTCAGCAGGCATTTTCCGAAAGCAGGGTGAAATTGTCTCTTCCCAGGAAAAAGATTAAACTCCTTGCAGGCTCTTGGATAAGTTACACAATTTTAGTGAGAAAGAGTCTATTTACTGTAGATTCAGCCTTGAGGGCCCAGCGTCCCCAGGCTGTGTGGAAAGCTTGGGTCAGTGCTTGGGCGCCTGGCTGGGTGAGAGTCTGAGGTGTGTCCCCCATGCTGCTCTCGGGGTCCTGCTGCTGGCCCTGCATTCAGGGCTCGCTGCAGAGGTCAGAGGTTGGGCAGCCCAGCTTCTCACCTGGAGGAGGTGGGCCCTTCCCATCCTCACCCTGGCCGCCCCCTGATGTGCCCCGTGGTGGCTGAGCAGGGCTGGCCTAACAGGATGGGAAGGAACCCTGCCTGGAGGGGTAATCCCTGGTCCTTTCTTCCCCTGGGACTCCCAGGGCTACTGGGAAGGATACAGCTTGACGCCCCCACCTTTGCTTAGGAGATGTGGCTCTTCCGTGATAGCTTTTTGTTGCTTCAATACCAAAGAACTGGTTTCCTCTGCTCCAGTCAGGTGCATTAACTTGCCTCACAGCAGCCCAACCCGCCCCCACTGGCTGCTGGGGCCTGGCCCACATTGTCCTGTGCTTTGCTGGTCACGGGTCGAGGGCTGAGAAATGGAGAGGAACTGGGGGCAGAATGTAAGCGCCATCATCCGGGCGGCTGACCATGGCACAGCCCAGCATGACCCTCCCAGTCAGCTCTTCCCTCCCGGGCCGCCGCACTGCCCCTCACGGGCTGAAACTTTCTGGAGCTGTTTCTGAGAATGCTGTGGGTTTCTACTCCCAGGCCAGGGCGTGTGGCCTGCTGGGAGTGCCTCGCTGCCGGAGCCTTATCTCCTGCAGAGCTGATGTGGCCTGGCCACCAAGGGCATGGGAAGGCCCCATGTTTGGTTTTCTGCTGACCACAAAGAAAGACCCCACCCAGCCCCCAGCACATCCTTGGGAGCAGCTGCCTCTGACTCTGGCACCACCAGGGTGAACTTGGGCACCTCAGGGCTGCGCTTTGGGGCTGTCCTCCCTCATGCTCCACCCACAGGCGCAGAGGGTTGGGCTATGGCTCTACATCTCTTTGGAAGCCCGACGCCCTCTAGCGTAGTGTTTCTGGGTCCAAGGTGATGGTGTGGGGCGCACGGGTGGGGCGGGCTTGCCCTGTCACCTGTTTGGTTGTGTGTGTGAGAGACTGACTCAACGGAGGGACAGGCCCCAGCATGTCTCTGGGGTGGGGAAGGTGGGAGGCTTGTTCTTCATGGGGACAGCCAGGCTGGGACGCCAGGGGCCTGGAGGCAGACGTCTCTGCAGGTTGGGGGGCCACGTGGAGAAAGGAGACCCGGGGCTGGTTGAGCTCCTGCAGCCCCACCTCCGCAGTCCCGGGGCAACCAGCCCTGTGGGAGTTCAGGATGGGAGGGGCTGGCCTGAGGGCAAGGGCAGTGTCCACACAAGGCCCTTCCAGATGTGGGATGTGGGTGCCTCAAGTCTGCAAGTGCGGCCCAGCGTACTCAGCAGGCATCTGCCCTGTGACCATGACATGCAGCAGCTGAGCCTTATGGCCTGGGGGAGCCAGGCACCTGGGAGGACCACGGTGGGTCCTCGGCCACCGGGAACTGGAGCACGGGCTTCCCGTGGCGTTGCCAACGTGGGCCACACATGACAGGACCGCCAAACACACGGCTTGTGTCCAAGACCCTGAGACATCTTGACGTCCCGACCTGCTCCTTTGTCTTCTCTGAGGATGGGGGCGTGGGGGTCCACACTCCGCAGATGTGGGGGGCATAGCCTAAGCCAGGCCCCACCCTTCTCCCTCCCTTGTCTCATCCCCACCCCCTGGTGAGCACCACATCCCTCATTTATAAAAATAGGCCAGGCACGGTGGGTCACGCCTATAATCCCAGCACTTTGGGAGGCCGAGGCGGGCGGATCACCTGAGGTTAGGAGTTTGAGACCAGCCTGACCAACATGGTGAAACCCCATCTCTACTAAAAATACAAAAATTAGCTGGGCGTGGTGGCGCGCGCCTGTAATCCCAGCTACTCAGGAGGCTGAGGCAGGAGAATCGCTTGAACCCAGGAGGCAGAGGTTTCAGTGAGCTGAGATTGTGCCACTGCACTGCAGCCTGGGTGACAAAGCGAGATTCCGTCTCAAAAAAATAATAATTTTTTAAAGAGCAGAGCAAGAAGTGTTTTTACCATTGTTGGAAATGACTTATGTGTCACTTTTGTGGTCTGCGTTCTCTTTGGATATTTTCTGTATGTAACAACTGTAGTTTAAAAAAATATTCCAACCCATGTTTTGTCTGTGTTTCCTTACCAGAAGACAGACACACAGCTGGGCCTTCTGGGCTCTGCTGGCCTCCCCTGCTGCCCTCAGCCTGTGGCAATCTGCACCAGGCCTGCAGCCCTGCACAGCACTGCCTGACGTGTGTACCTTGTCTGGTTACTGGGGAAACAGGCACAGAGAAATTGGGTTGTCAGCCGGGCATGGTGGCTCACGCCTGTGATCCCAGCACTTTGGGAGGCTGAGGCGGGTGGATGACCTGAGGTTGGGAGTTCGAGACCAGCCTAACCAACATGGTGAAACCCTGTCTCTACAAAAATACAAAAATTAGCTGGGCGTGGTGGTGGGCATCTGTAATCCCAGCTACTCAAGAGGCTGAGGCAGGAGAATCACTTGAACCTGAGAGAAGGCGGTTGCAGTGAGCCAGAATCACGCCATTGTGCCCCAGCCTGGGCAACAAGAACAAAATTCTGTCTCGGAAAAAAAAAAAAAAAAAAGAGAGAAATTGGGTTGTCTCTGAAGGGGAATTCGGCTTCCAGGAGCTGGGCTGTCCTGTGGACCCTGGGGCTGAAGGGGATACTTAATCGTTGTCCAGGTAGCTCAGGGAGCCCCTCTGGTGTCCAAGCCACCCTGTCTTCAGCTGTTCATCTGAGTCCTCTGATTCTGAATCTCACTCCCCACTCCCTCCCTCAAGCCTCACTGTGCCCCTCACACACCTCACCAGCTTGCCCTCCAAGTAGTTGCCTTGGCTCAGAGCCATGCTTTGGATGGGCAAGGGGTTGGCAGTGCAGACCTCCACAACCTGTCCTCACACCCAGGCCTGCCTGGATTTCCTGCCTCCTGCAGCTTGTGACTGCACAGGTGTGCAGGCTTGGCCTGGTCCCACCCCTGCAGCCTTGGAGGCACCGAGGCCCAAATCTGCCCAGTCCAGGGGCCACGCCAGGAGGCCAGCGCTCTGCCGTCAGCCTGAGGAGGGCTCCAGCAGCCTTTACTGGACCCAGGGACCTGTCAGTGCATCACACCACTCTCTCCCCAACAGATCTCTCTGGCTGAGTTTTGCCCAACGACTTGCTGTAATTACGATGGAAATTAACTCATCTATCTTCCACTCCTGAGGCTCCTCAGTTGGACTCTGTGCACCCAGCCTCCTCTGGGGCCTCTGGGAAACCAGCCACTGCACCTGAGTGCAGTGCTGGGTGTGCTGTGTAGCCGGGAGTCAGATACCCAAGGCATGGCAGGTGTTTGGTCCTCAAGGTAATGGGGGATAGCAAGGGTATTTTAGAGGCCTGGGTGCCCCATGTCACAGGATTCTAGACATAATTTTGCAGTTGTTTTCTCTCTTTCTTCCTTTTTTTTTTTTTTTTTGAGACAAGAGTCTCGCTCTGTTGCCCAGGCTGGAGTGCAGTGGCGCCATCTCCGCTCACTGCAAGCTCTGCCTCCCGGGTTTACGCCATTCTCCTGCCTCAGCCTCCCCAGTAGCTGGGACTACAGACACCCGCCACCACGCCCGGCTAATTTTTTGTATTTTTAGTAGAGATGGGGTTTCACCGTGTTAGCCAGGATGGTCTCGATCCACTGACCCCATGATCTGCCTGCCTCAGCCTCCCAAAGTGCTGGGATTACAGGGGTGAGCCATTGCGCCCGGCCCTCTCTTTCTTCCTTTCTTTCTTTTCCTCCCTCCCTCCCTTTCTTTTTTTTAAATAAAGATGGGGTATCGGGCTGGGCATGGTGGCTTACACCTGTAATACCGGCACTTTGGGAGGCCGAGGTGGGCGGATCACAAGGTCAGGAGTTTGAAACCAGCCTGGCCAGCATGGTGAAACCCCGTCTCTACTAAAATGCAAAAATTAGCCGGGCATGCTGGCACGCGCCTGTAGTCCCAGCTACTTGGAAGGCTGAGGCAGGAAAATCGCTTGAACTCGGGAGGCGGAGGTTGTGGTGAGCCGAGATCACACCATTGCACGCCAGCCTGGGTGACAGAACGAGACTCCGTCTCACACACACACACACACGAAAGATGGGGCCTCACTATGTTGCCCAGGCTGGTCTCGTACTGCTAGGCTCAAGCGATCCTCCTGACCGGGCCTCCCATAGCGCTCGGATTACAGTGCGGGCCACTGTGCCCGGGCTACTTCTGCAGCTGAAGCACAGGTTCACTGACTCTTCCGAGAATACAGCTGGCATACACATTGCTGAAACAATACTTGTTCACTATGGAAAGCACATTCCCCTCCCAAAACAGTCCTTGGGGCCGAGTCCCCAAATGTGACCCAGCTGCGTTCTGCGGAGGAGGAGCGCGCCTGACACCTTATTACGTCCCCACAGCCAAATGCTCGTGAATTTATCGTCAGTCTATCTGGACACTACGTTCGTTTTTAATAGTTGCGCCTGTGAGCAGGCTGTGTGTGTGAATTTCGGGAGGAATTGGGGCGGCGGCACAGCTCGTCCACCATGAGTAGCGCGGGCGGCACGGGGGCTGCAGCCCAGAAGACCCCACCCAGGGCGCGCTGCGACCCCGGACGGGCTGGCTCCGGGCCCCCGGCCTCCCGCGTCCCCGCCGCCTACGAGGAGGAACGGGGTCCCCACCAGGCACTCCCCGGGCCGGGCAGAGGGCTCCACGCGCGGGCCAACCCGGCGTCCGGGAAGACGGCCCCTAGGGTGGGACGCCCCAGTTGTCGCCGCCACCCCGCCCCAGCTCCTCCCGCACGAGAACTCCGAGGATGCCGCGGGCGGGCCGACCGTACTTCCCGGAATGCCCCGCGCCCGCCGCCGCCGTCGAGGGGCGGGGCCTGCGTGTCGGCGGCGAGGGGCGGGGCCTGCGTGTCGGCGGCGAGGGGCGGGGCCTGCGTGTCGGCGGCGAGGGGCGGGGCCTGCGTGTCGGCGGCGAGGGGCGGGGCCGCGGCGCAGCGCGGGAAGTCCGGATCCCGCGGCGATCCGAGCATGAGCCTGGAGCGCGAGCTTCGCCGTAAGTTCCTCGGGGACCCCTTCCTCCGGGGGCGCGGAGGCTGGGGAGGGCTTGGGACTCGGCCCCGGCCCCGGACCCCGCCGCGGAGGCCCAGCCCTCCTCTTCCTCCCACAGAGCTGAGCAAGGCGAAAGCCAAGGCGCAGAGGGCCGGGCAGCGGCGCGAAGAGGCCGCGCTGTGCCACCAGCTGGGGGAGCTCCTGGCCGGCCATGGTGAGCGCCGGGACCAGGAGGCGGGAGGCAGGGCCGGGGCCCGGGCCCGGGCCGGGATCGGGGGCCGGGGGGCGACGGGCTCTTCCGGCAGACGCCGCCCCAGGGCCGCCCTCGCACCCGCGACGCCTGCCAGGCCGTGCTGTGCCCCCGCCTAGGCCGCTACGCCGAGGCTCTGGAGCAGCACTGGCAGGAGCTGCAGCTTCGGGAGCGCGCTGACGACCCTCTGGGCTGTGCCGTGGCCCACCGCAAGATCGGAGAGCGCCTGGCCGAGATGGAGGACTACCCGGCTGCCTTGCAGGTGCGGGCGCCCTCACTGGCCTCGTCCAGCCCGGTCGGCCTCTGGAGCCCTTTTCTGAGGAGGGAGGCCTGGTCTTCGCCGTCAGGAGCCTCGGGCTGGAGGGGACACCTGACCTGACGCAGCCTTGCCTTCACCGCCCCGGGCCAGTCCTCCGGTGGGGACCCCACAGCCTTTCCTGGGACTGGGGCAGGAGTAGGTTTCCTGGCACCAGAAACCATTACTGAACGTTATTTTAGCTGTGTTTGTGTTGGGGGAGGTCAGGCCCCATCCCAAAAGCTCTCCCTGACCCTGGCTGCTGGAGGCAGGACTGCAACCCCCCCGCCAACTCCCAGCTGCCCCTCCCCACGTGACAGCGTTGGCTGCATACAGCGTGAAGCCACTGTCACCACAGAGAGCCCTTGGCATGCAGAGGAGGGGCACGTGTCTGGCCTTGGCCTGCTCTGTGGGGGTTAGGGGGAGCAGGCTCTTTCCTTAGCAAGAACAGGGTCTCTGGGAATCTGGCGGTGCCGGTTTGCTTGAGGCGGAGTCGGCTCACAGCAGTGACTTCCTTCCACACTCAGCACCAGCACCAGTACCTGGAGCTGGCACATTCCCTGCGCAACCACACGGAGCTGCAGAGGGCCTGGGCCACCATCGGCCGCACCCACCTGGACATCTATGACCACTGCCAGTCGAGGGATGCTTTGCTGCAGGCACAGGCTGCCTTTGAGAAGAGCTTGGCTATTGTGGATGAGGAGCTGGAGGGTGGGCAGACCCCTCCGCGTTTTCTGCCTCCTGAACTTCGGGCCGAAGAGGCTGCAGCCCAGCACCCCCGCAGCCTCCTTGGGCAATCCCGTCTTCTGGAGCCCTCCCTTTGCAAGGCTCTTGTGTGAGGGGTGCATGCCCCGCTCAACCTTTCCCCTGGAGATCGTCAGCTCTTTATCCACTCTGTGCTCCATCTGCCGCAGGACACTTGCACCCACCTCGGGAGGAGGGAGGGGGTAGGAGAGGCGCTGCACAGGCCCCAAATGGGGCCCAAAGCTGGAAACCCCATGTGGGGAGGAAGTGGCTGAGTGTTTGGGGGGGTATCTTCCAGGGACACTGGCCCAGGGAGAGCTGAATGAGATGAGGACCCGCCTCTATCTCAACCTGGGCCTCACCTTTGAGAGCCTGCAGCAGACAGCCCTGTGCAACGATTACTTCAGGAAGAGCATCTTCCTTGCGGAGTAAGGCCCTGCCCCGCCCCAGGAGGGAGTGGAGTCCCTTGTTCCTGGAGGAAGTAGTTAGGGGAGTATTTTTCCCAGAGTCCTCCTGAGAGAGCAGTCTGGCTGGGCCTCATCCCCCCACCTCTCACACCTGTGCCACACACTGGGAGAAGGCCAGGCATGGTTAGGGCCCTGAGACCACAGCATGGCAGGGCTGGGGCCCGTGTGGCATCAGCAGCTGTCATGGACACTCCTGGGTGCTCAGTGGTCGTCACCCCTCTGCAGGCAGAACCACCTTTACGAGGACCTATTCCGCGCCCGCTACAACCTGGGCACCATCCACTGGCGCGCGGGCCAGCACTCCCAGGCTATGCGCTGCTTGGAGGGTGCCCGGGAGTGTGCGCACACCATGAGGAAGCGGTTCATGGAGAGCGAGTGCTGCGTGGTTATTGCACAGGTACCCGCTGTGCGTGGCTCCGAGCTCAGGCTCTCGTAGATTCGGGCCTTGGGGATTCTGCAAAACCTTTGCTGTCCTTTGCTCTCCAGGTCCTCCAAGACCTGGGAGACTTTTTGGCTGCCAAGCGAGCCCTGAAGAAGGCCTACAGGCTGGGCTCCCAGAAGCCTGTGCAGAGGGCAGCCATCTGTCAGAACCTCCAGCATGGTGAGCCTGGGGGTGCGAATGGGGCCCTGGGAGGTGTGTGCAGGGGTGAGCCTGGGGGCGGGGTGGAGTCCCGCCAGGTGTGTACAGGGCTCTCTCCCTCACAGAGGAGGCCTGAGCACCTGTCCTTGGAGGCAGCAGCTTCAGCAAGAGGGGCAGGTACCCCTACTTCCTGACAGGAGAAGACCCCCTTTTTTCTCTGAGCTCAACACAGTGTGTCAGGGGCAATGAAAGGGCGGCCAGGAGACCAGCTGGGCTTTTATTTCGCAGCCACCATCTTCATTGGCAAACTGGAGACAGTAGTTGTACCCCTAGCCTCCCAGGGTGGGAGAGGAGATGGCACGCGTGGTCCAGGAGTGCTGATGGCAGAGACCACCATTGGAGGTTGGCAGCCGTCAGCCCTTACTTTGAGCCAGGCACCATCCATGTTGTGTTGTTTTTTTTTCTTGAGACGGAGTCTCGCTCTGTCACCCAGGCTGGAGTGCAGTGGCATGATCTCGGCTCACTGCAAGCTTCGCTTCCCGGGTTCATGCCATTCTCCTGCCTCAGCCTCCCGAGTAGCTGGGACTACAGGTGCCCGCCACCACACCCGGCTGATTTTTTGTATTTTTAGTAGAGACGAGGTTTCACCATGTTAGCCAGGATGGTCTCGATCTCCTGACCTCATGATCTGCCCGCCTCGGCCTCCCAAAGTCCTAGGATTACAGGCGTGAGCCACTGTACCTGGCCCCGAGTTTTTAAGTGTGTTAGTTCTTGTGACCCTTGAGACCAGTCCCCAAGATAGACCCTGCTATTAACCCCCACACCAACAGGCAGGCAGAGGTGTGGAGAGAGTGGGGGGGCCACCACAGGGCTCACAGCTTGCAGGTGGTAGAGCTGGGGTCAGGGCCCCCTGTGCTGCCCCCCTGCATGAACCTCTTCCCGGCAGTGCTGGCAGTGGTCCGGCTGCAGCAACAGCTGGAAGAGGCTGAGGGCAGAGACCCTCAGGGTGCCATGGTCATCTGTGAGCAGCTAGGGGACCTCTTCTCCAAGGCAGGAGACTTTCCCAGGGCAGCTGAGGCTTACCAGAAGCAGGTGTGTGGCCCCGGCTGGGTGGGAGGGAAGGGCCAGTGAGGTTGACGAGGCCTGGCCAGGGTGGCAGCCCCTGGCCTCACTGGCACTGCCCCCAGCTGCGTTTTGCTGAGCTGCTGGACAGACCGGGTGCTGAGCGGGCCATCATCCACGTGTCCCTGGCCACCACACTGGGAGACATGAAGGACCACCATGGGGCCGTGCGCCACTATGAGGAGGAACTGAGGCTGCGCAGCGGCAACGTGCTGGAGGTGAAACCCTTGCTCCCCGCCCGAATGCAGGTTCACCCATGTCTCTGCCTCAGGACTGCCGTTCTCAGGGTGGCCATGGACAGGTGTCCTTACTGGACGGGCAGCTCCTTCCTAGGACCATCCACCCTCGGCAGCTGGGAGGCCGGGCTCCCATTTCGTCTGGGCAGCCGGGGAAGCTTGACTGGGGCCCGTTGGACGCAGACAGCGGCAGCCCCCGACCCTGTCCTTCCTCCTGCTCCAGGAGGCCAAGACCTGGCTGAACATTGCACTGTCCCGCGAGGAGGCCGGCGATGCCTACGAGCTGCTGGCCCCGTGCTTCCAGAAAGCGCTCAGCTGTGCCCAGCAGGCCCAGCGTCCCCAGCTGCAGGTGCGAGAGCCCATCCCACCCATACTGGCTCCCCGGTGAGCCCAGCTTCGTTGCAGCCTGCCTGCCCCTTGTGCCCCATCCCCATCTTTCTCTGCGTCCACAGCCCCCAGTCCTGAGCTGAGCATCCCTCTGCTCCTCAGAGGCAGGTCTTGCAGCATCTCCATACCGTGCAGCTGAGGCTGCAGCCCCAGGAGGCCCCTGAGACCGAAACCAGACTACGGGAGCTCAGTGTAGCTGAAGATGAAGATGAGGAGGAGGAGGCGGAGGAGGCGGCAGCCACAGCGGAGAGCGAAGCCCTGGAGGCCGGCGAGGTGGAGCTCTCAGAGGGCGGTGAGGGCCAGCGGCACCTTGCATTTCCCTGGGCCTGCTCTGGGCCGGGCTGGAGAGGGGTGTGCTGTGCTGCTGTGGAGCCTGCTTAGGGCTGTAGCAGGAACAGCCACAGGCAGGCAGGACGGCCAGTGCTTTCCCGGAACTGGACAGAGAAGGTGGTGACCCGCAGGGAGCCTGGGGCGGCCTTGGCCTCCTGGAGGAGACAGTGGTTGGGAGTCGAGTGAGTGTCAGCTGGGGCATGGTCCCGTTAGAGAGGCACGTGCCATCTGGGGCCAGGGGTGAGACGGTGCACTTTGAAGAGCCCCGGCTGCCTCTGCAAGAGCTGAGCACCTTCCTGAAACCCTTCAGAGCAGGCTTGGGTTTCCTCCAGAGGCTGGCGACATCAGCTGCACGGAGGGCAGGCATGAGGGACTGGCTGGAGCGGGGCTTGGACTGAAGCCATCTTGGCCGTGGTGCAGGGAGAGAGGGCTGAGAGCGGGGTTAGCGGGTAGCTGGGAGGCTGGTTTCTGACTGAGTGGTGGGTGGCAGGAGCCTGTCCATGAGGCCTGTTGGGGGGTGTTCCAGGGAAGGCTGTGACTTCAGCTCTGAACTCGAGGGCGTCGTTAGAACCCTGAGTGGCCAGGCAGCTGTGGGAAGTTGGGGCCTTGCCAGGTTGGTTGCTGGGGGGAGGTGGATCAGGATCTAGAATTTTGGGGAATGCTGCTCAGCTGGTGGGCACAGTGAGGAGCTGCGGAAAGACCCAGAGGCAGCTGGCAGGGTGTGAAGGGCGTGGTGATGAGGGGTCACCCGAAGCAGGGACGGAGGCGGGTGTGTCTGCTGCCTAGGCAGGGTGGAGGCTGCAAGGTGCAGGATACCCAGGCTCCAGGGCTGACCTGGCCTGACGACACAGCTCAGGAGATGGGGGTGGATAAGGCGTGGGGTGGAGGAAGACTGGCCCACGAGCCGGTCTGGGCGTGGGGATGAGTGGCTGGCGCATGGACAGAGGGGGCCTCGGGCAGGCCTTCTGTGGGAGGGCCAGGCGTGGGTTAGGGCAGAAAGCTCAGGGGTGTGTCTCAAGTGGGCAGAGGGATGGTGGGCAGGAGCAGGGTCCCAGCAGGGTCAGGGAGACATGGAGGCAGCGCTGGGACCATTGCTGAGGAGCCCCCAGAGCCCAGCAGCCTCAGAGCTCAGCCCTCCCGTCTCTGGCTCCTTTGTACCTGGGAGTTTGGGGAGCTTGCAGCAGGGTGGGGGCTGCTAACCTTCACCTCCCACGGACTCCCCTGGGGTGGGCTTGGCTCTGTTCCAGAGGACGACACCGATGGCCTGACCCCGCAGCTGGAGGAGGACGAGGAGCTTCAGGGCCACCTGGGCCGGCGGAAGGGGAGCAAGGTGAGGACAGTGCCCTGCCCCCACCCACCCCGCTCAGCAGCCCTGCCAGCTCCTCACGCCCCTGCCCTGTGCTGGGTTGGCTGTGCCCACAGTGGAACCGGCGAAACGACATGGGGGAGACCCTGCTGCACCGAGCCTGCATCGAGGGCCAGCTGCGCCGCGTCCAGGACCTTGTGAGGCAGGTGGGCCCCGCTCTGGGACGTGGGACAGGCTGCCTAGCATGGAGGAGCTGTGCGTTTGTGCCGGATCCCCTATCTCTGTAACTCTCAACTTCCTCATCTTCAAAATGGGGCCCCTTAGCAAGCATGGTGGCACTTGCCTGTGGTCCTAGAGGCAGGAGGATCACTTCATCCTGGGAGGGAGATTGAGGCTGCAGGAGTCGCGATCATGCCACTGCACTCCAGCCTGGGCAACACAGTGAGACCCTGTTTCAAAAAAATTTAAAAAGCGGAGGCTGCACGGGGTGGCTTATGCCTGTAATCCCAGCACTTTGGGATGCCAAGGCAGGCAGATCACATGAGCCCAGGAGTTCGAGACCAGCCTGGGCACCCTGGCAAGACCTTGTCTCCAAGAAATTTAAAAATTAGGTGGATGTGATGGCGTGTGCCTGTAGTCTCAGCTGCTTTGGAGGTTGAGGTGGGAGGGTTGCTTGAGCCTAGGAGGTGGAGGCTGCAGTGAGCCATGATCTTGCCACTGCACTCCAACCTGTGTGACAGAGCAAGACCCTGTCTCAGAAGAAAAGCCACAGGCCGGGTACAGTGGCTTATGTCTATAATCCTAGCACTTTGGGAGGCTGAGGCGGGCGGATTGCCTGAGGTCAGGAGTTTGAGACCAGTCTGGCTAACATGGTGAAACCCTGTCTCTACTAAAAATACAAAAATATTAGCTGGGTATGGTGGCACATACCTGTAGTCCCAGCTACTCGGGAGGCTGAGGCAGGAGAATCGCTTGAACCTGGGAGGCGGAGGTTGCGGTGAGATGAGATTGCGCCGCTGCACTCCAGCCTGGGTGACAGAGCGAGACTCTGTCTCAAAAAAAAACACAAAAAAATGGGGTGCCCAGGCTGGGCGCGGTGGTTCATACCTGTAATCCCAGCACTTTGGGAGGCCAAGGTGGGCAGATCACGAGGTCAGGAGCTTGAGACCAGCCTGGCTGGTCTCAAAAAAAAAATGGGGTACCTGCTGTGTGGTATGCATCTGTGTTACAGCTAAGTTGGTCAGCCTGGCCAGGATGGGGGCTAGCCCATGGGCTGAGATCTGGGCACCTTCCCGCCCCGCCTGCCTCATGCCCCTGCGACCAGGTGCACTGTCTCCCCACAAGGGGACCGGGCAGGCACAGAGGCGGAGGATATGCTGTGGCTGGTCCACCTGTCTCAGGGGGAAGCATGTCCTTCACTGGTGACACCTAGGCCGGAGGAGGAGAGGGCAGGGCCACGGACTTGCTCTGGGCTCTAAGACTGAGGCCCTGGGCTCAGCTTAGGCTGCAGAGCTCACGGGGCTGGGGCCAGGCTGTGAGGTACACAGGGCCAGGCTCCTTCCTGTCCTTGGTCACAGGGCCACCCCCTTAACCCTCGGGACTACTGTGGCTGGACACCTCTGCACGAGGCCTGCAACTACGGGCATCTAGGTGAGCAAGGGACAGAAGGAGCCTGGCGCACCTTGGTGGACACGTGGGGCGAAGAGTCAGTCCTGGCGGGGCATCGGGAGCTGGGCTTACGTCTCCTGGTCTGCAGAAATTGTCCGCTTCCTGCTGGACCACGGGGCCGCAGTGGACGACCCAGGTGGCCAGGGCTGCGAAGGCATCACCCCCCTCCACGATGCCCTCAACTGTGGCCACTTCGAGGTGGCTGAGCTGCTGCTTGAACGGGGGGCGTCCGTCACCCTCCGCACTCGAAAGGTGAGCCTGGTGGGGCAGAGGGCAAGGGCGAGGTTATGGGGGCTGCTGTGCCCCTGCTCAACTGATGCCACACAGGGCCTCAGCCCGCTGGAGACGCTGCAGCAGTGGGTGAAGCTGTACCGCAGGGACCTGGACCTGGAGACGCGGCAGAAGGCCAGGGCCATGGAGATGCTGCTCCAGGCGGCTGCCTCGGGCCAAGGCAAGCAGGGCGTCCCTTGTCCCTGGGGTTGCTGTGCCTACGCTGAGAGTCCCCGGGCCCTGATTTCGGGAGATGCTCCATCACAGGTGGAGCGGGAGGTGCCGGGCCCCTGCCTCAACACGCATTCTCTCTCCCACAGATCCCCACAGCTCCCAGGCCTTCCACACCCCAAGCAGCCTTCTGTTTGACCCCGAGACCTCTCCTCCTTTGAGCCCCTGCCCAGAACCCCCCTCTAATAGCACTAGACTCCCAGAGGCCTCTCAGGCCCATGTCAGGGTCTCCCCAGGGCAGGCGGCACCAGCCATGGCCAGGCCTCGGAGGAGCAGGCATGGGCCAGCCAGCAGCAGCAGCAGCTCAGAAGGCGAGGACAGCGCAGGCCCCGCACGGCCGTCCCAGAAGAGGCCTCGGTGCTCGGCCACAGCACAACGGGTGGCAGCCTGGACGCCTGGCCCCGCCAGCAACAGGGAAGCAGCCACAGCCAGCACCAGCCGGGCAGCCTACCAGGCAGCCATCCGGGGTGTGGGCAGTGCTCAGAGCCGGCTGGGGCCTGGCCCACCGCGGGGCCACAGCAAAGCCCTTGCCCCCCAGGCAGCGCTCATCCCGGAGGAGGAGTGCCTGGCCGGGGACTGGCTGGAGCTGGACATGCCCCTGACCCGCAGCCGCCGGCCCCGCCCCCGGGGCACTGGAGACAACCGCAGGCCCAGTAGTACCTCTGGGTCGGACAGTGAGGAGAGCAGGCCCCGTGCCCGAGCCAAGCAGGTCCGCCTGACCTGCATGCAGAGTTGCAGTGCGCCAGTTAACGCAGGGCCCAGCAGCCTGGCTTCAGAACCTCCAGGGAGCCCCAGCACCCCCAGGGTCTCAGAGCCCAGTGGGGACAGCTCTGCGGCAGGCCAGCCCTTGGTGGGTATGCAGACCTGGAGCAGAGCCCTCTCCCCACTCCGGGCAGGCAGGTGTAGGGTGGAGCCCACTGTGGCTCCTGACTCAGCCCTGCTGCCTTCACCTGCCAGGGTCCGGCCCCGCCCCCTCCCATCCGGGTTCGAGTTCAAGTTCAGGATCATCTCTTCCTCATCCCTGTCCCACACAGGTGAGGCATCGCCTGCCCTACCCCGCAGCCCACCTGTGCAGCTCCATGCCAGGGTGCTCGTGTTTGCATGTCAGGGTGGGGCGTGTGACGAGGGCTCCCTGGTGTGTTCCAGGAGGATCCTGTGGCCCCCAGGAATAGCAGAGGGGCTGGTGGTGTGCTGGGCTGCAGGGAGAGGAGGGGCCGGCTACCTGGGAATGGGAGAAGCAGCTGAGGGGGCTTCTGGCCCTGGGCAGGGATGGCGGGTCCCTGGGGCATTACCCCGGCTGTGTGCAGGCAGCAGCAGCAGCGCCTCTGTCCCTGCAGCAGTGACACCCACTCTGTGGCCTGGCTGGCCGAGCAGGCGGCCCAGCGCTACTACCAGACCTGCGGGCTGCTGCCCAGGCTCACCCTACGGAAAGAGGGGGCCCTGCTGGCCCCACAGGACCTCATCCCTGATGTGCTGCAGAGCAATGACGAGGTGAGCCGCAGAGCGGAGGGGGAGCCAGGGCCTCAGGCACCGGGAGCCCCCGGGTGGCTCATGGCTGCAGAGCAATGATGAGGTGAGCCGGGGGAGCCCCCAGGTGGCTCATGACGGTGCCTTCCAGGTGTTGGCTGAGGTGACTTCGTGGGACCTGCCCCCGTTGACTGACCGCTACCGCAGGGCCTGCCAGAGCCTGGGGCAAGGTGAGGGCCAGGAGAGCTGCAGTTTCTGGGTGAGGTCGTACAAGGGGGTTGGGCACACAGGCTCCACCAGCCCGGTTCATTCCTGGGCCTCGGGTGTTTTGGGGTGCACCTCCCCCAGCCTGGTGGGTGCTGTGTCCTGCACTTGGATGTGTGGGTGGAAGGGAGAGGACAGCCCTCAGCCCCCATGATCTGCTGACAGGGAGATGGCAAAAAGCAGCCGAAAGCCTGGAAAGTCAAACCCAAGGAGGAGGGCCTGGCATGGGCTGGGAGCTGCTGGGGAAGCTTCCCAGAAAGCTTGTCCCGGGGGGTGTGGAATCTGGCAGTGACTGGTGGAGCTCAGGGTGCTGCAGACCCACCCCGGCCCCCAGGGCCTCACAGTGCTAGACCCACAGGCATGTGCGAGTGGGCTCTACAGCAAGTCTGGTGGGTGACCCCTGGGGCTGTTGAAAAGGGGCTGCCTGGTTTGCCCTCTGGGATTCAGAGGGCAGAAAGGGCCGGCCTTACCCTGGTGACATCACATCCCTCCCGCAGGGGAGCACCAACAGGTGCTGCAGGCCGTGGAGCTCCAGGGCTTGGGCCTCTCGTTCAGCGCCTGCTCCCTGGCCCTGGACCAGGCCCAGCTTACACCCCTGCTGCGGGCCCTCAAGCTGCACACAGCACTCCGGGAGCTGCGCCTGGCAGGGAACCGGCTGGGGGACAAGTGTGTGGCTGAGCTGGTGGCTGCCCTGGGCACCATGCCCAGCCTGGCCCTCCTTGACCTCTCCTCCAATCACCTGGGTCCCGAAGGCCTGCGCCAGCTTGCCATGGGGCTCCCAGGCCAAGCCACCTTGCAGGTATAGGCACAGAGAGCAGCAGGCCCTCAACAGCGGGGAGTTGGGGTTCCCATTCTGCAGGTCCCTGGGTGGTCTAGGGTAGTTGGGAGAGCCAGCCAGTGCCCGGCTGTAATAGGCTATGCCAGGCAAGGTGGGGAAGAGACTGCCAAGCCAAGCCCCAAGGGGGACCCTGTCCGTGGGACTGCTGGGGGCTCACTGCCAGCCTGTGTCTTCCACAGAGTTTGGAGGAGCTGGACTTAAGCATGAACCCCCTGGGGGACGGCTGTGGCCAGTCCCTGGCCTCCCTCCTGCACGCCTGCCCCTTACTCAGCACCCTGCGCCTGCAGGCGTGTGGCTTCGGCCCCAGCTTCTTTCTGAGCCACCAGACAGCACTGGGTAGTGCTTTCCAAGGTGAGCTGACCAGGCACTCCCTGTCCACTCCCTAGCCCTGGGGCATTGAGGGTTTCCAGGACTTTCAGAGGGGGCCCAGGCTGGGCACACAGGGGCAACACCTGTGGTCCCAGCTACTTGAGAGGCTGAGGCGGGAGTATCGCTTGAGCCAAGAGTTCCAGGAAAGCCTGGCCCACATAGTGAGACCCCATCCCTTAAGAAAAAAGCGTCTAGGCCGGGCGCAGTGGCTCACGCCTGTAATCCCAGCACTTTGGGAGGCCAAGGCGGGCAGATCACGAGGTCAGGATATCGAGACCATCCTGGCTAACACGGTGAAACGCCGTCTCTATTAAAAATACAATTAGCTGGGCGTGGTGGCCGGTGCCTGTAGTCCCAGCTACGCAGGAGGCTGAGGCAGGAGAATGGCATGAACCCGGGAAGCGGAGCTTGCAGTGAGCCGAGATCGCGCCGTTGCACTCCAGCCTGGGCGACAGAGCAAGACTCCGTGTCAAAAAAACGAAACAAACAACGTCTAGGGGCCTGGGATGCCAGACCTGGCTCTCCGGGAGGGCCTGGCACCTGGGAGCAATAGATGGATGTGTGGGTACAGGGTCTGCCTCCGAGGGGCGTCTGGTGCCCACCCAGCCAGGCTGACCCCCGCAGGACACACCGAGAGCAGAGTCCGGGCAGCTAGTGTCCTGTGGTCCCCATCCCGTGCTCGCCAGCTGAGTGCTGTTCGCCTGAGGCAGTTCCACTGTGAGCCCACTCAGGCTGCAGAGACTGGGGTCCCAGTGCCAAGAGGCTGGGAATTGGGTGTCATCCAGGGGGAGTGTAAGGGGGGCAGCAATGGTCAGTGCACTCCCCTGGCACCCCCACTGTGCAGAGGCATGTGGCCCAGGACCGTGTGGTTGTGGGGTGGGAGAGGGCAAGTTGTCCAGAACTGGGGGCAGCCGAGCTTGGAAGTCTGGCCCCGCCCTCCCAGCTGGGAGAATCTGGGCGAGAGCCTTTGCCTCTGCACTTGCCACCCCACCCTGCGAGCACTGCGGTAGTGGTTTCCCCAAAGGGGTCCTGAGGGTTCTGGGCCCAGAACTTGGGGTGGGTACAGGGCTGTGGCCACGTGGGGCTGACGGATTCTGGCCCCGGTGCAGATGCTGAGCACCTGAAGACCCTGTCCCTGTCCTACAACGCCCTGGGAGCCCCTGCCCTGGCCAGGACCCTGCAGAGCCTGCCCGCCGGCACCCTCCTGCACTTAGAGCTCAGCTCCGTGGCAGCCGGCAAGGGTGATTCGGACCTCATGGAGCCTGTATTCCGATACCTGGCCAAGGTACGAGGTGGGGAAGAACCCAGAAAATACTGAGCCTCAGAGGCCAAAGGTCCCAGGGTTGCTGGGAGGAGCTCGCCTCTCCCCAGATTCGGGCTGAACTCGCTGAGGGGCTCTACAGAGAGAGTTAGAGGTTTGGAGGTTTAGAAAAAACAGCTGGGGGGCCAGGCGCGGTGGCTCACGCCTGTAATCCCAGTACTTTGGGAGGCCGAAGGGGGTGGATCACAAGGTCAGGAGTTCAAAAGCAGCCTGGCCAACATGGTGAAACCTTGTCTCTAGTAAAAATACAAAAATTACCCAGGCGTGGTGGCGGGTACCTGTAATCCCAGCTACTCGGGATGCTGAGGCAGAGAATTGGTTGAACCCGGGAGGCAGAGGTTGCAGTGAGCCTAGATTGCACCATTGCACCCAGCCTGGGTGACAGAGCGAGATTCCGTCTCAAAAAAAAAAAAAAAGAAAGAAAAAGAAAAAAACAGGCTGGGCGTGGTAGCTTACGCCTGTAATCCCAGCACTTTGGGAGGCCGAGGCGGGCGGATCACGAGGTCAGGAGATCAAGACCATCCTGGCTAACATGGTGAAACACCATCTCTACTAAAAAATACAAAAAATTAGCCGGGCGTGGTGACGGGCTCCTGGAGTCCCAGCTACTTGGGAGACAGGCAGGAGAACAGCGTGAACCCGGGAGGCGGAGCTTGCAGTGAGCCGAGATGGCGCCACCGCACTCCACCCTGGGCGACAGAGCGAGACTCTGTCTCAAAAAAAAAACAAAAAAAGAAAAAAACAGCTGGGGGAATGCTTTTGTACAGCTGCCTGTCTCAGGCTGTGAATTCCTGCCCACCAGATAGGACCCGGGACTCAGGGTGATCTTGCCCCCCGCCAGGAAGGTCCCAAGGGGCACACTAGGGCCCCTGATGCTCTCTCCTGGGGGGTCTTCCAGGCACAACTGGGACCCTATTATTTTCACACTATCACGTGCAGAGTGTGACCCACATCAGGAGAGGTGTTTCCTTCCGATCTCCAACTTGATGGGGGACTCTGCTCCCTTCTGGGCCCCTGGGTGTGGTGCACCTGCTGGGAAGCAGGCAGGGCAGGTGCGCCACTCCGTTTGGCCCCCTTGGGCCTCTGCTCATGTCCAGGAAGGCTGTGCTCTAGCCCACCTGACCCTGTCTGCAAACCACCTGGGGGACAAGGCTGTTAGAGACCTGTGCAGGTAACGCCCTTTCCCTGCTGCCTGCTGACCTGGGGGTCTGATCTCATGGCTCTGGACCCTATGGGAGAAGGGCCACAGAAATGGTACCAGCTCCTCCTCCCCAGCACATCCCAAGACCTGGCTCCTTCGGTTTCCACCAGCCTCTCAGGCTGCCCTGGAAGGCAGACTACCCTCTGGCTTCTTTCTTAGCATGGGCCTGTGGCTCTTGAGAGCACTCCTCCGGGGGTGTCCTTGTCATTCCTGTGCCTCGGCCCACATGAGGGCACTGCTCTTATGACCTGGAGCCTCAGTCAGCTCTCTGGGGAGTGTTGAGAGGAGCCCAAGCTGGGCCAGGCACACCCAGAGCTGGCCACTGTGGCCCTGACCCCTGGGAAGGACCCCCAACCCTAGAGGGCCACCTGCTACTGGGCCAGGCTGAGGCAGAGCCCCTGGGTCTGGCCCGAGGCTCCCTGAGCTGGCATTTGTCTGGGCAGCTTTCCTAGTGTTGGGGCACAGCCTCTCTGGAAGCCAACCTTTGCACTTCTTCCCATGTTATCTCAGATGTCTCTCTCTGTGCCCCTCACTCATCTCACTGGATCTGTCTGCCAACCCTGAGATCAGCTGTGCCAGCTTGGAAGAGCTCCTGTCCACCCTCCAAAAGCGGCCCCAAGGCCTTAGCTTCCTTGGCCTGTCAGGTGAGTGCTGGTATGGTGGCCACGCCTGCCATGTTCGGCCTTTTCAGGGACCTGCCTGAGACCCAGGTGCCTCCTCCTAAGGGGCTGTCACTGCTACCAGCCAGGCAGCAAGGCTGGGCTCCATGAGGCTGGGGCAGCAGGGGGCAGAGTGACAGTGACAGAAAAGGGGCATGATCCCAGCTCCTAAAACCATGGGTTAGGGGGCGAGGTGGGTATCTGCCTCTGGTCTCTCCAACCCAACCTTCAGAGCAGACTATGGTAGGCAAGACCCTGTTCCACAGGGACTTTCTTCTTGTCCCTGGCAGGAAAAGGGATCCCAAGGTCAGGGTGTTGAAAGCTGCCAAGGGACCCTCCTACTTCCTGGCAGGGGCTCCTCTGACACAACCCTGCCCAGGGCTGTGGTCTGATTTAGCTTGTTCTCTCTTGAGCCACATCAGGGCAGTCCCCAACCTGAGCTGTCTGGAAGACAACCCCAGGAAGGGCTTTGATGACCTGGCTTGCCCCACTGGGGCCGGGGCAGGCTGTGCCCTCCAGGGGATGAGGGCTTAAGTGAATGTGCACGAAGCGGGGCTCTGCTTTCTTCCTGTGCCCCCTCCCCTTCACCTCCCAGGGCCAGGCCGCCTTTTCCAGGAAGGCCCCCGAGTGCTGGTGTGAGACCCCTTCCCCACACCTCAGTTCCTGGCATCTGTACCTTCCCACCCAGCTCCCTGAATTCCTGAGCTTAGTGTTCTCTTGATCCACTCAGGCCCACGATGTACAGATTTGCAAGCAGATCCATTATGTCCTTCTTATGGGTGGGGAGACTGACGTGTAGGCATGGACTTTGAGATCGGGCACTGTCAGAGGTAAAGAAGGGAGCCACCCTTCCTCCTGTCTGACCGCTGGCTGTGCAGATGATCCCACCCCTTCCTGGAGAGTCATGGGGCCTCTCCGGAGCTCTGCCCACTGCCCCTCGCTACAGCCCTGGGGCCCTCAGCGAAAGCGAGTTTGTTCCCTGGAGCCTGCCGCGGGCACCAGGACGCCGCCGGCCCCCGCAGCGCTGAGGTCTGCCCTCTTCCCCTCCGCAGGCTGCGCCGTCCAGGGTCCCCTGGGCCTGGGCCTGTGGGACAAGATAGCCGCGCAGCTCCGGGAACTGCAGCTGTGCAGCAGACGCCTCTGCGCTGAGGACAGGGACGCCCTGCGCCAGCTGCAGCCCAGTCGGCCGGGCCCCGGCGAGTGCACGCTGGACCACGGCTCCAAGCTCTTCTTTCGGCGCCTCTGACCCTGGCGCTGCCTTTCCCCACCCTCACCGAAGCCCCTAATAAATGAAGCTGCTGGCCGGGCGCGGTGGCTCACGCCTGTAATCCCAACACTTTGGGAGGCCCAGGCGGGCGGATCACGAGGTCAGGAGATCGAGACCATCCTGGCTAACATGGTGAAACCCCGTCTCTACTAAAAATACCAAAAATTAGCCGGGCGTGGTGGTGGAAGCCTGTAGTCCCAGCTACTCCGGAGGCTGAGGCAGGAGAATGGCGTGAACCCGGGAGGCGGAGCTTGCAGTGAGCCGAGATCGCACCACTGCACTCCAGCCTGGGCGACAGACCGAGACTCCGTCTCAAAAAAAAAAAAAAATAAAATAAATGAAGCTGCTGCCTCCCTCCCCGTGGCTGCCTGGCAGGCGGGTGGGCGGGGTAAGACCGGGCTTCGAGTCTGCTGCGCCGGTTACGTCCCGGGGGCTGCGCGGCTGGAGGGAATGTCCCGAAGTCCGGGCGGGCGCGGGCGCAGGCGTGAGGGCTGAGCGCCGAGCTGCCGATGGGGACGGAGGGGCGGGGGGTCGCCCCGACGCGCGCAGGCGCAGACATGAGGGGCGAATGCCGAGTCGCTGACCGAGCGCACCCCGCCCCCGGCGCCATCTTCCCGACCGCGAGCCGTCCAGGTACCCGGGGCCCGGCCGGTGGGCGGGGAAGGGGCAGAGTGGGGAGAGGCGACTCAGGGCCTGGCACCCTCTGGGCGCGCCTAGGCCCCGGCACAGCTTCGGCTGAGCGCCGCAAAAGTCACGTTATTGGCATGTTCTAGAAACTGGCTTTCCTTGCTCGTTGTCCACTCTGCGAGGTTGTTTTGCACATTTGCTTGTGGCCGCAGAACGTCCGCTTTCGCTGTTAGGCAGAAGCTCCTGCGTGGTTGGGGCGGTTGGCTCCTCGGCGCTCTCCTGCCTGGCGGCTCCGTGACGGCTGCCGAGCAGCCTCGGTCCCCACCCCGCGGCTCGCAATGGCCTCGACCCTCGGAGAGCTTGACCCAGACGTTCCCTACCTACATGAGCGGCGACGCCCTTTCCCGGCTCTTCCTCGGCTGGGGCGCCCCAGGGCTTCGGCGCGGGCGGCCTTCCCTCACTTCTGCTCTTCTCCCATCCCCGGTAGCACCGTCCACTCCCAGTTAGCCGGCTCAGCGCTGCTCTCCCGGGCCTCTCCACCGAGAGCTTCCTGCGCCTGCCCGCCAGGCCCGCTCCTCCTCCCCTCTCCGTCTGAGTTTATCTTACTGCCCGGCCCATTGGGCCAAAAACAGGGGTGTCGTTCGTAACTCCTTTATTTTAATCCTATCTCAAATCCCTCGGCGGATCTGACGGCTCCACTTTCAAAGAGAGAACGTCTGGAGCTGGCCCAGCTTCCGTGCTAGGCAGGACCCTCCCACGGGCCCCGCTCCCATTGTTTCTCCACAGCTCGCTGCCCAACTAGGGGCACCTCTCCATCTTCATTCCCTAGGACCCCCTCTTTCGAGAAGCTGCACCTTCAGCTTGTTGGTTCCTCCAAGTTCATGCCTACTTAAAGGCGGGCTGTTAAGTGTGTTGTTTCCTGTGCCCCAAACTCTCCTCGTGGGCCATCAAACAGCTGCCTGCCGCCCTCATAACCTCCCTCAACCTCCAGCTTGAACCACACTCCACTGCAGCCCCCGCCCCGCTCTCCTGAGTGTCCATAGTACCTCACTTTTTCTGGTAGCCCCTATAGCACCCTGTGTGTTCACCATTATTGAGCTTAGGAGAGCTCTTCATGGAGCCCTGGGTCTCCAGGACCTGGCACTTACGGGCTGTCTTTTTTTGTCGGTTTTTTTTGTTGTTCGTTTGTTTGTTTTGAGACAGGGTCTTGCTCTGTCTCCCAGGCTGGAGTGCAGTGGCTCGGTCTTGGCTCATTGAAACCTTCACCTCCTGGGTTCAAGCGATTCTCCTGCCTCAGCCTCCTGAGTAGCTGGGATTACAACCGTATGCCACAACGTCCGGCTAATTTTGTAATTTTAGTAGAGACAGGGTTTCACCATGTTGGCCAGGCTGGTCTCAAACTCCTGACCTCAGGTGATCCGCTCACCTCGGCCTCCCAAAGTGCTGGGATTACAGGTGTGAGCCAGCGCCTGGCTTAGGGGCCATCTTTGAGTCGGCCCTGGCTCTGCTCCCCAGGTCTCAGTGCTGTGCCCCCCCCAGAGCCTAGAGGATGTTTCATGGGATCCCAGCCACGCCGGGCATAGGAGGTGAGTGTGGCTGGAAGGGCGCAGGCTTTCAGCCGCTTCTGCAGGGGCTGACGGGCAGTATTGGGTATTGGGGATCGGGGGTGGGGAGGTATCTGACCCTGCTCTCGTACAGCCTTGGGGGTGGCCAGGGGCTAAATAGTTCATTGCAGGAGCACTGAGGGCTCAGAAACCTCCAGACAGAACTGGCTTGGTCCTGCTGGGCAGAGATGATGAGCTTCGGTGTGGCCAGAACGGTGGGGGTCCTGGGCACCCTGTGTCACCAATCCCAGGGGAGAGGCTGTGTGTGGTGAGCCTTGTTGGCACTGCATCATGAGCCACGAGCAGGGCGTGGCCACTGTTGTGCAGGTGACTCCGCCAGGGAGCCATGGTGGAGCTGGGGAGCTGGGCCTGTCATGCGGTCCCCCGGGGAGCCGCAGTGGAGCTGGGGAGCTGGGCCTGTCATGCGGTCCCCCGGGGAGCCGCAGTGGAGCTGGGGAGCTGGGCCTGTCATGCGGCCCCCGGCTTCTCAGAGGTGTTATCATCAGGTCCCCCCACACACTGATAGGGGTGAGGTTGGAACCTCTGTGCTCCAGCTCCCTCTGGGCTCTTTGGGACCCAGCCTGGGAGGCCTCAGGGAGGAACTGAAATGGAGACTGGGACTGGAGTCTGCCCTTGGGTTCCCTTTGGGGCCAGCCTGCCAGCTCTCTGCCTTCTCTTGCAGCCCCTGGGAACAAGCCGGAGCTGTATGAGGTGAGTGGTGGGTGCCCACCCGGCCGGCATTGGCCAACAGCAAATGCCTGTGTGGCCTCACCAGGGTCCTGCAGCCCCTGTTGGCACTGGCCCACAGAGCCCGCTCTCTCCGGCAGGAAGTGAAGTTGTACAAGAACGCCCGGGAGAGGGAGAAGTAAGTCCAGGCGCCCAGGCTGTCCCAACACACCCATGCGCATCTGGCTGCCCTGGGGCAGCCCCTCCAGACCCACCCCAAACTGAGGGGTGGGAGGACGCAGGGTCAGTCTGGGGAACTGTTCCTGAGGCACTCCAGGATGGAGCAAGAGGTGGGCAGAGCGCCCGCAGTGGCACCTCCGGGCAGGGGGTAGCACTCTGGGCTCTAGGCTTGGCACCCCGGGGCCTGGCCCGATAGACAGGTGTGTCCTCAGGTACGACAACATGGCAGAGCTGTTTGCGGTGGTGAAGACAATGCAAGCCCTGGAGAAGGCCTACATCAAGGACTGTGTCTCCCCCAGCGAGTAAGAGCCCACGTCCTGGGAGGTCTGTTCCTGCCCTGGGGGGCTTGGGTGCTCCATAGGCAGCAAGAGCAGGCGTCTGTCAGGCTGGGAGGCACCCACTTGTGTGGGGCCCACCCAGCGTGAGGAGGGTGCCCCTGGGTCTCAGCCAGGGAAGTCCTGGGGGCTGGTGAGGGAGGCGGGCAGAGGCGCAGCTCCTGGGGTGTCATCCGGCCCACTCCCCCACCCTCATCCCCCAGCACAGGCAACCTTAAAAAACGGTCGAGAGGCTTGGGGATGTCCCAGGATCTTTTGGGGGGGCTTTGTTCAATGAAGTGACAAGACCGTCACAGGCCACCGCACAGGACCATGAGCTGTGGATGCGGCCATCACAACAGAGGGCTGGTCGCTGTGGTTCAGAGGGTGGGCAGGGGTTGGGGGCCGGGGTCTCCACCTGGAGCCGAGCTACAAGCCCCACTACGTGCTCAGGGCCTCACCCCCAAAAGCTACTAGCAGCCCCTCCTCCTTGCTCGGCCTGCCTTTGCCTGTCGCCTGGTCCTCTCTGGAAGCTGCTTTGCCTCTGGACCAGCCGAGGGGGTAGGATGAGCTGGGTGGGGCTGGTCCCATGCTTGGGCAGCAGCTGACCTCTCCCTAGGTACACTGCAGCCTGCTCCCGGCTCCTGGTCCAATACAAAGCTGCCTTCAGGCAGGTCCAGGGCTCAGAAATCAGCTCTATTGACGAATTCTGCCGCAAGTTCCGCGTGAGTGCCTGGTCCTTCCACCCCCATGGGGCGAGACTGTCGGGCATGGGTATGGGGTGCCAGAGGGCTCTGGCCACCTGGGGCTTGCTGTCCTGAGAGCCCCAGCACCCATGTCACCCCCAACAGCTGGACTGCCCGCTGGCCATGGAGCGGATCAAGGAGGACCGGCCCATCACCATCAAGGACGACAAGGGCAACCTCAACCGCTGCATCGCAGACGTGGTCTCGGTGCGCCCCAGCCCCCAGGGCACGTGGTTAGGAGAGCCGAGGCTGCCTGCTGCAGCTGGGCACGAGCGTAGGGTCCTGGGCCTCCAGAGCTGAGCAGCACTCTGACTTGCTGGGCAGAAGGGAACCCCTTTAACTAGGAATGAGGGGTGGGCAGCATGCGGGGACGCCCCCAGGCCACCTGGACTCCTGTCGGGGGGATGAGCACAGGGTGCGTTCTGGCGGGGTCCTGGCCTCGGGAGAGAGTGTGGGTGTGGGCCCACCCTTCAGTTCCCACACAGCTGTCTGGGCAGCCAGGACCTCGTTCACCCAGGAGGCCTGCAGGGTTTGGGAACAGAGTACAGTGAGGAGGCCCAAGTGACAGCTGTGGCTGAGGAGGGGTTGGGGCCCGTGAGCCGTGGGGCCTCCCGCACCCGTGGACACGCGAGCCTCATGTGCACACCTGCCCCCAGCTCTTCATCACGGTCATGGACAAGCTGCGTCTGGAGATCCGCGCCATGGATGAGGTGCGGGTATTGGGCTGGCAGGGGGCCTAGGCAGGAGGGGATGGAGCCGGCGTCGGGGTCCCAGCCGCTGTGTGTGTCTCAGATCCAGCCCGACCTGCGAGAGCTGATGGAGACCATGCACCGCATGAGCCACCTCCCACCCGACTTTGAGGGCCGCCAGACGGTCAGCCAGTGGTGGGTGTCCCTCCCAGCCAGGCAGAGCCCCGCAGTGCCCGAGACCCTCCCAGCCAGGCGGAGCCCCGCAGTGCCCCTGAGGCCCTCAGCCCCCACATGCCCTGTGCTGCACTCCCAGGCTGCAGACCCTGAGCGGCATGTCGGCGTCAGATGAGCTGGACGACTCACAGGTGCGTCAGATGCTGTTCGACCTGGAGTCAGCCTACAACGCCTTCAACCGCTTCCTGCATGCCTGAGCCCGGGGCACTAGCCCTTGCACAGAAGGGCAGAGTCTGAGGCGATGGCTCCTGGTCCCCTGTCCGCCACACAGGCCGTGGTCATCCACACAACTCACTGTCTGCAGCTGCCTGTCTGGTGTCTGTCTTTGGTGTCAGAACTTTGGGGGCCGGGCCCCTCCCCACAATAAAGATGCTCTCCGACCTTCCTGCTTGGGTGGCTCCCCCAGGCCTGCCCTGTGTATTCTCTCCACCCTCCTGGGACTCTCAGCATAGAGCCCCTCTCGCCTACCCTCCCCCGACCTGTGTGGTGGCCCGGCCCTGGCTCTGTCCCTGCCACTGCATTCCTCATGGCCTGCATCACTCAGTGACGGCTGCTTCCCTGGTGGGCTCTGCCTGGGCACATAATAGGAGGCAGGGGCGTTTCCATAGCCCCGAGGCCTGGAGAACAGGTCTACCACCTGGGCCAGGCGTGGCTTGACTCTGGCCACAGGGGAGGCTGCCTGCCACCCCTCCCCACGCCTCACTGAAGCCCAGGGCAGCACCAGGTCTTCTGAGTGCAGTCAGGTCCCAGCACACCAGGCCAGGCTGGGCTCAGAGGCGGGGTGCACTTCATGCTGTCAGCTGCTCCACACCCACCTCTCCACTCGGATGACTGCACCCTGGCCCAGGACTCCTGACTTATCTGCAGCTCCAGCCAATTACTCATTGGGTGGGAGTTTGTCATGCCCACCACCAGGGCCTCTCCCCAAGCCCCTGGGCAAAGCCCAAGAGTCAAGGCTGGGCCTGGTGGGGAGGCAGCGGGTGGTGGACGCCGTCCATTCCACAGCGTGTGCTGCACACCTGCTGCTGCCCCCAGGGAAAAGCAGCAGACCACACACCACACCTCTGGGTTCCAAGAGCCGCGTGCTTCACATCTTAGCAACTATGCCCTCAGGATAAGGGACGTGCCAGGGTGTCATTGTAGAATTTTTCTCTCTTAGCGACTGAGAATGCCAGAACCTCTTGACATCTGTGGCATCTAGAGCCGGTGGAATGAGGTGTGTAGAGAAAGGCAGATAGTGAAAATCAAGTCGCTTGGATTTCCGTGGGGGCTTGGGACATCATGGAGGCAGGTGGGCTCTGTGCACAGGCTGAGTGGGGACTGCCTCTCAGACGGCCAAGGGGGGCCGTCAAGCAGGATGACGATGTCAGTGGCTGGAGAGGGAGGCTGAGTCCCGCCAAGAAGCCGGAGGACTGGCCAGGGGCACTGCCATGGGAAGTGGGAAGAGACTGACCAAGGAGCCAGAGAAGAGCCCCCAGGACAGCAGGATCCAGGACACCCAAGGGAGTTGAGGAAGGGCACTGTCGGGTCGGGCCCTGGGGCTCGATGTCCTTGACAGGCACATGTGGGTACGGGGTGCTTCGAGGGAGGACCAGCACCCAGAAACGTGTGTGTGTCAAGGGGGGCAGGTGGCCAGGAAGGGTCATTTTGATCTTTTTTTTTTTTTTTGAGGAGTCGCTCTCTCTCGCCCAGGGTGAAGTGCAATGGCGCGATCTCGGCTCACTGCGACCTCCACCTCCCGGGTTCAAGTGATTCTCCTGTCTCAGCCTCCTGAGTAGCTGGGACTACAGGGGCACGCCACCATTCCCGGCTAATTTTGTATTTTTAGTAGAGATCGGGTTTCTCCATGTTTGGTCAGGCTGGTCTCCAACTCCCAACCTCAGGTGATCCGCCTGCCTTGGCCTCCCAAAGTACTGGGATTACAGGTGTGAGCCACTGGGTGCCAGGCATGTATTTTTTTAAATTTAATTTTTGTTTTTTTTTTTTTGAGACGGACTCTCGCTCTGTCACCTAGGCTAGAGTGCAATGGTGTGATCTCGGCTCACTGCAACCTCTGCCTCCAGGGTTCAAGCAATTCTCCTGCCTTACCTTCCTGAGTAGCTGGGATTACATGTGTTGCCACCATGCCCAGCTAATTGTGTATTTTTAGTAAAAACAGGGTTTCTCCATGTTGGTCAGGCTGGTCTCCAACTCCTGACCTCAGGTGATCTGCCGCCTTGGCGTCCCAAAGTATTGGGATTACAGGTGTGAACCACCGCACACGGCCTGTTTTTTTTTTTTTTTTTTTTAATTTTAATTTTAAATTTTTTATTTGAGATGGAGTCTCCCTCTTTCGCCCAGGCTAGAGTGCAATGGCATGATCTCGGCTCACTGCAATCTCCGCCTCCTGGGTTCAAGCAATTCTCTTGCCTCAGCCTCCTGAGTAGCTGGGACTACAGGCGGGAGACACCATGCCCAGCCAATTTTTTTTTTTTTTTTTTTGAGACAGAGTCTCTCTCTGCCACCCAGGCTGGAGTGCAGTGGCACCATCCCTGCTCACTGCAAGCCCTGCCTCCCGGGTTCATGCCATTCTCCTGCCTCAGCCTCCCAAGTAGCTGGGACTACAGGCACCCGCCACCACGCCCAGCTAATTTTTTGTATTTTCAGTAGAGACAGGGTTTCACCATGTTAGCCAGGATGGTCTGGATCTCCTGACCTCGTGATCTGCCGGCCTCCGCCTCCCAAAGTACTGGGATTACAGGCGTGAGCCACCGCGCCCAGCCGGCTAGTTTTTGTATCTTTAGTAAACACGGGGTTCCACCATGTTAGCCACGCTAGTCTCAAATCCTGACCTCAGGTGATTCGCCCGCCTCAGCCTCCCAAAATGCTGGGATTACAGGCGTGAACCACCGTGCCCGGCCTATTTTATTTTTTTTACTGTGATAAAATATAGCAAATTTTGCCATTTTAACTGATTTTAAGTACACAGTTCAGGGGCATTAAGTGTATTTACATTATTGTACAACCTCACCACCGTCTACCTCCAGAACTTTTCCATCCAAACAAAGTAAAGCTCCATCCCCATTAAACACTCACACACATTCTCCCCTTCCCAGCCCTGGCAGTCACCCTTCTTTCTTTTCTTTCTCTTTTTTTTTTTTGAGAGAGAGTTTGGCTCTGTCGCCCAGGCTGGAGTGCAGTGGCATGATCTCAGCTCACTGCAGCCTCAACCTCCCAGGTTCAAGTGATTCTCCTGCCTCAGCCTCCCGAATAGCTGGGACTACAGGGGTATGCCGCCAGCCTGGCTTAAGTTTTGTATTTTGTTGTTTGTTTGAGTCGGAGTTTCGCTCTTGTTGTCCAGGCTGGAGTGCAATGGCGTGATCTCGGCTCACTGCAACCTCCACCTGCCAGGTTCAAGAGTCGCCTGCCTCAGCCTCCTGAATAGGTGGGATTACAGGCATGTGCCACCATGCCTGGCTAATTTTGTATTTTTTTTTTTTTTTTTTGAGATGGAGTCTCGTTCTGTCGCCCAGGCTGGAGTGCAGTGGTGCAATCTCGGCTCACTGCAAGCTCCGCCTCCCAGGTTCAAGAGTCGCCTGCCTCAGCCTCCTGAGTAGCTGGGATTACAGGCATGTGCCACCACGCCCGGCTAATTTTGTATTTTTTTTTTTTTTTTGAGACGGAGTCTTGCTATGTTGGCCAGGCTGGAGTGCAGTGGTGCAATCTCGGCTCACTGCAAGCTTCGCCTCCCGGGTTCACGCCATTCTCCTGCCTCAGCCTCCCGAGTAGCTGGGACTACAGGCGCCCGCCACCACACCCGGCTAATTATTTTTATTTTTAGTAGAGACGGGGTTTCACCGTGTTAGCCAGGATGGTCTCGATCTCCTGACCTCGTGATCCGCCCGCCTCAGCCTCCCAAAGTGCTGGGATTACAGGCATAAGCCACCACGCCCTGCTGGCTAATTTTGTATTTTTAGTAAAGATGGGGTTTCTCCATGTTGGTCAGGCTGGTCTGGAACTCCCGACCTCAGGTGATCCGCCTGCCTTGGCCCTACAAAGTACTAGGATTACAGGCATGAGCCACTGGGTGCCAGGCATGTATTTTTTTTAACTTATTTAATTTTTTGTTTTTTTTTTTAGACAGAGTCTCGTTCTGTTGCCCAGGCTGGAATGCTATGGTGCGATCTCGGCTCACTGCAACCTCTGCCTTCCGGGTTCAAGCAGTTCTCCCGCCTTCGCCTCCTGAGTAGCTGGGATTACAGGCTCCTGCCACTATGCCCAGCTAAGTTTTGTACCTTTTAGTAGACAGGTTTTCACCATGTTGGCCAGGCTGGTCTTATACTCCCAACCTCAGGTGATCCGCCCGCCTTGGCCTCCCAAAGTACTGGGATTAGAGGTATGAGCCACTGTGCCCGGCCTGTATTTTTTTTATTTATTTTAAAATTTTTTGTTATTACTATTTTTGAGACAGAGTCTAGCTCTGTCGCCTAGGCTAGAGTGCAATGGCGTGATCTCAGCTCACTGTAACCTCTGCCTCCGGGGTTCAAGCAATTCTCCCGCCTCAGACTTCTGAGCAGCTGGGACCCCGCCACCATGCCTGGCTAATTTTTGTATTTTTTAGTAGAGATGGGGTTTCACCATGTTGGCTAGGCTGGTCTCGAAGTCCTGACCTTAGGTGATCTGCCCGCCTCGGCCTCCCAAAACCCTTTTACTTTCTGTCTCCATGAATTTGACTGGCTGGGGTCCTCACATCAGTCAGATCACACCGTCCTTGCCCTTTTGCGTCTGGCTGCTTTCGTTCATCACAGTCTCCTCCAGGTGCATCCAAGTCACGGTGCAGGCCGGTTTCCTTCCTTTTTCTGGCTGAATCGTGTTCCACTGTGGATGAACCACGATGTGTTCACTCATGCGCGTTTGGATACTTGAGTTGCTTCCATCTTTTGAATAGTGCTGCCATTGAACGTGGGCTTTTTTTTGTTGTTGTTTTTTTCTTTTTAGAGTCAGGGTCTTGCCAGGTTGCCCGGGCTGGAGTGCGTGATGCGATCGTGGCTCACTGCAGCCTCCACCTCCTGGGCTCAAGCAATTCTGCCTCAGCCTCCCGAGTCGCTGGGACTACAGGCACCCACCACCACTCAGGGTGCCTTAATTTGTTTTTGTGTTTTTAGTGGAGCTCGGGTTTCACCATGTTGCCCAGGCTGGTCTTAAACTCCTGACTTTAAGTGATCCCCCCGCCCCGGCCTCCCACAGCGCTGGGATTACAGGTGTGAGCCAGCGTGACCAGCCGGTGTTGTTTTTAAGATGGGCCAGTTGCAGTGAGCTTGTTGGATGACAGAGTGGGCCTGAGGGGCAGGAGAGTGCAACCCGTCTGCTCTGGGGAAGCCGGCCTTAGGCTGGGGCATGGGCAGGTGAAACCCTCAACAGCTGCTCCTGGGCTACGGAAGAGAGTTTCTGCTGGGAGGGGTGGGGTCACATGAATGGAGGGAATGGAGGAGGCCTGTAGCCCAGCACTGAGGCCTACTGGGGAGGCAGCTCAGGAAGGCCACAGAGTCAGGCCCAGGCCAAGACCTTTGCCCAGAAGCTAAAGTAGGCCCTTGAGCCTATTTTAGCATGGGTGGCCTCCAGCCAGCCCATTGGTCCTGGGGTGGTGTGGGAGGGAAAGGGCCAGTTTGGGTCCGCAGCATCTTCAGGCTGTGTGTAGAGCAGCCCCCTCATGGTCCTGGGACCCAGAAATCATCTGCACCCCCAGCAGGCTCTGCACCCCCGGCAGGATCTGCACCCCCGGCAGGCTCCCCTAAGGGCCCCCAGAAGGATACCACTGCGGGTGGGCCCAGCCAGAGGAGCACCATGAGATCCGCTTGGTGGGGTGAGGCCGGCAGGGGAAGCACCCTGACCCCAGGACACTGGGCTCAATGCCCGCCCTGCCCCGTCCCACCCTGTGTATGGCGGGACAGAGTCCTTGGGCCTCAGGCACCCAGCTCCCCACCCCAGCCCCACCCACAATGCTCAGGGTCAGGCTGGCTGGACCGGGCGGGAGGTGGCATCTGGACTCCCCCTTCAGAAGGCAAAGCTGCCCTGAGATCTGCCTTCCCCTTCCCCCAGACTTCCTGCCATCACCACCACGGTAGAGATAAGGCCTCTAGGCTCAAAGGCCAGAGAGGGAGCCCACAGAGAGGGCAGGGCTGGGAGCCACAGCCTCCCTGCCCCCGGGGCTAGAGCTGGGGTCTTGCCCCAATCTTATCCTGACCCAAGCTCGGCCAGGTGGCTGCCAGGGCCCAGCTCCGTCTTCCTGTTTGTCTGTGTTGGAGCTTCCTGGGGCTGTCTCCGGCCTAAGGGAGCATGATGCAGCAGGCACCTTTTCAGTTTCTTTGACTCCATCGCAGTCCCCAACAGGGACCACAGCCCAGGACCCAGGAGGAGGGAGGTCCATGTCCCCACCCCCAACAGGGGCCACCGAGGGTGTCTGGGCAGCCTCTGTTGGGAGGGGCAGAGGCAGGGACCTGGGAGCTCTCAGGCTCTGGGGGCATCTGTGCACCTCTGCCCTGTGTCCCCCAGCTTGGAGGCAGCCCCCAGATGGACAGCCAGAAGGGGACACCCCAGCCCTGCCCCACAGCTTGGGGGGCAGCAGGCAGAGGACAGAAGCCCACCCAGGCTGGCCTGGCGTGGTGAGCCACGCCGGTAATCCCAGCACTTTGGGAGGCCAAGGCGGGCGAATCACCTGAGGTTGGGAGTTCAAGACCAGCCTGACCAACATGGAGAAACACTGTCTCTACTAAAAATACAAAAGTAACCGGGCGTGGTGGCGCTGCCTGTAATCCCAGCTACTCGGGAGGCTGAGGCAGGAGAAGCACTTGAACCCGGGAGGCGGAGGTTGCCGTGAGCCAAGATCACGCCATTGCACTCCAGCCTGGGCAGCAAGAGCAAAACTCCAACTCGAAAAAAAAAAGACCACCGAGGCTGCCTGTCCAGGGGAAGGGGCCCAGCCCTCGACCCCCACAGGCAGTGGCTCCAGGCTGTTGGGGAGGATCTGCCACTGGAATGGTTAACCCAGGCATCTCCAGCAGCCAATCACAGAGCTCTGCAGGAATACCTGGGAGAGGTCCTCATGCAGCCCGGGCGGGTCCTAGCCCAGCCCCAGTCTGGCCCTGGACAACCCCAGCAAAGCCGCCCTCAGCCAGCCCAGAAGCACTGGGCCTTGGCCACAGCAACACCCACTGAGCACGCTGGGAGCTGAGTATGGCGTCCCTGGTCTCGCTGGAGCTGGGGCTGCTTCTGGCTGTGCTGGTGGTGACGGCGACGGCGTCCCCGCCTGCTGGTCTGCTGAGCCTGCTCACCTCTGGCCAGGGCGCTCTGGATCAAGAGGCTCTGGGCGGCCTGTTAAATACGCTGGCGGACCGTGTGCACTGCGCCAACGGGCCGTGTGGAAAGGTAACAGCCCCACCCGACGGGTCCCCCAGCCCTGGCCTCTTCCCGCCAGCTCCGCCCTGCCAGCCGGCAGCAAAGGGCCCTGGGCAAACTCCAGGAGGCGGAGGAGGCTAGTGGCAGTACCTGGGCACCCTGACCCTCCCCACAGGCCAGAGCCCACCCTCCTGCTCATGAGGGCAGACAGGCCTTTCCAGGGACACAGTCCCTCTTCTCCCCAGGACCCCAGGGCCAACTCCCCCTGCCGGCCCTCTGCCATCAAATTGGCAGTGGCTCCAGGGGAGTCCCCTGGGGATGGGGGACCACTGTTGGGGACCCCTCTGCGTGCACCCCTGTAGTTGGGGAAGCAGGACAGGGGCCTGGGGAGACGGAAGGGCGCCAGGGGTTGAGAGAGGATGGTGGACGTTGTTGGACTTGAAAGGGAAACAGGCCCTCGGGGAAGCCCCTGGCCAGGCCTGCCTCTCCCCTCCCTGGTGGGCCCAGCGCCCCTGCTCACTTGTCTCTGCCCACAGTGCCTGTCTGTGGAGGACGCCCTGGGCCTGGGCGAGCCTGAGGGGTCAGGGCTGCCCCCGGGCCCGGTCCTGGAGGCCAGGTACGTCGCCCGCCTCAGTGCCGCCGCCGTCCTGTACCTCAGCAACCCCGAGGGCACCTGTGAGGACGCTCGGGCTGGCCTCTGGGCCTCTCATGCAGACCACCTCCTGGCCCTGCTCGAGAGCCCCAAGGCCCTGACCCCGGGCCTGAGCTGGCTGCTGCAGAGGATGCAGGCCCGGGCTGCCGGCCAGACCCCCAAGATGGTGAGGGAGAGTCCAGGCAGACCAGGGGAGTGGGTGAGGAGGGTCCCACGGCCCATGGGACCCGGCCTGGCTGCAAAGCCTTCGGGGAGCCTGGGGGCCTGGGGAGACGCCCAGGAGTCGGCCTGCGGCTGGGGATTCACAACGTGGGGCTCACTACTGGGCAGTTGGGAGCCTGTAGGAGCCCCGGGAGGGACCTCATGAGGGAGGAACCCAGAGGCCTGAGTGGGAGCCTGAAGCAGCTGGGCCCGGCAGGGAGGGCTGTGGCTCCAGGGAGGGGCGGGGCTGGTGGGGGCAGATCCTGTAGTTGGGGTGGGAGATGCATCCAGGGGCAGCGGGGTGGATGGCAGAAGGTCACACCAAAGGCTGAGGCGGAGGCCCCCTCTTCCCCAGGCCTGCGTAGATATCCCTCAGCTGCTGGAGGAGGCGGTGGGGGCGGGGGCTCCGGGCAGTGCTGGCGGCGTCCTGGCTGCCCTGCTGGACCATGTCAGGAGCGGGTCTTGCTTCCACGCCTTGCCGAGCCCTCAGTACTTCGTGGACTTTGTGTTCCAGCAGCACAGCAGCGAGGTCCCTATGACGCTGGCCGGTGAGGCCTGGGCTGGGCTGTGGAGGGGGGCACCCCCGAGTCCCCAGCCTCCACGTCCCTGGGGGGCAGGGCCGGAGCCCACACAGACTCGCGGTGCCAACTCTTCTCCCTGCCAGAGCTGTCAGCCTTGATGCAGCGCCTGGGGGTGGGCAGGGAGGCCCACAGTGACCACAGTCATCGGCACAGGGGAGCCAGCAGCCGGGACCCTGTGCCCCTCATCAGCTCCAGCAACAGCTCCAGTGTGTGGGACACGGTGAGCTGCGCCCTGGGGTAAGATGGGGCCTCACCGGGGTCTGCTTGGGCCCCTGAGCCTGTCCTGCCACCCCCCAGGTATGCCTGAGTGCCAGGGACGTGATGGCTGCATATGGACTGTCGGAACAGGCTGGGGTGACCCCGGAGGCCTGGGCCCAACTGAGCCCTGCCCTGCTCCAACAGCAGCTGAGTGGAGCCTGCACCTCCCAGTCCAGGCCCCCCGTCCAGGACCAGCTCAGCCAGTCAGAGAGTGAGTGCCCACGCCGACATTGTGCTGGCAGCACAGAGGTGGAGCCCGTGTAGGAAGGAAGGAGTGGCTGCCCAGGATGAGGGATGGAGAGAGTGAGCAGGGGCTGGAAGTAGAAACAACAGACACAGGGGAAGGTGGCGTCGCCAGGAGAGTGGGGCTTTGAGGCAGGAGGGTCAGCCTGAGTGAGGGCCTGGCCCACACTGACGGCCTGCAGCTCTGGTGAGCAGCGCCCGGGAAGCAGGGGCTGAGTCTGGAAGAAAAGCTCTCACAGCCGCCTCACCCGCCCCCAGGGTATCTGTACGGCTCCCTGGCCACGCTGCTCATCTGCCTCTGCGCGGTCTTTGGCCTCCTGCTGCTGACCTGCACTGGCTGCAGGGGGGTCACCCACTACATCCTGCAGACCTTCCTGAGCCTGGCAGTGGGTGCAGTCACTGGGGACGCTGTCCTGCATCTGACGCCCAAGGTCTGCCCCCACAAACCCGCGACCCTGGCCCTCCGTTCCCCACCATGGACTCCCAGGCCGTGCCCTCCCAGGGACCTTACCCACCCCACCTCCTGACCCCTCTCCCTGGGTCTTGGTGGGAGGCGCCCTGGGACCTCCCCCCCAGCCCAGCGCCCCTACTCCCCAGGTGCTGGGGCTGCATACACACAGCGAAGAGGGCCTCAGCCCACAGCCCACCTGGCGCCTCCTGGCTATGCTGGCCGGGCTCTACGCCTTCTTCCTGTTTGAGAACCTCTTCAATCTCCTGCTGCCCAGGGACCCGGAGGTCAGGCTTCTTGGGAAGGTACCCGGCGGGTGGGTGTGCTGGGGGCCTGGTGGACACTGAGCACCTACCCTCACAGGACCTGGAGGACGGGCCCTGCGGCCACAGCAGCCATAGCCACGGGGGCCACAGCCACGGTGTGTCCCTGCAGCTGGCACCCAGCGAGCTCCGGCAGCCCAAGCCCCCCCACGAGGGCTCCCGCGCAGACCTGGTGAGTGGGCGCCAGATGCCCCATCCCACGCGGAGCCCCTCCCACCGACCCCTTCCCACGCCCACACTCCCAGCCCCACCCCAGGCCTGCGGCTCCGCCTCCCGCGGTGATCTGGGGCCCCGCCCCGCCCCACCGCGTTCCTCCTCCACTTCCGGGCGGGACTTACTCAAGGCTCCTCCCAGGTGGCGGAGGAGAGCCCGGAGCTGCTGAACCCTGAGCCCAGGAGACTGAGCCCAGGTGAGCCCAGGGGGCGACCCCGGAAGGGCTGGGGGATCTGGGGTTTGTGTGGAGCGCGGGTGGGGCCCAAGGCTTGGCGGTAGGCGACAGGCCACGCGAACCCACGGGCCTCTGCGCCCGCAGAGTTGAGGCTACTGCCCTATATGATCACTCTGGGCGACGCCGTGCACAACTTCGCCGACGGGCTGGCCGTGGGCGCCGCCTTCGCGTCCTCCTGGAAGACCGGGCTGGCCACCTCGCTGGCCGTGTTCTGCCACGAGTTGCCACACGAGCTGGGTGAGCGCAGGCGGGGCCTGGAAGGAGATGGGCGGGGCCGCACGGGGCTGGGAGGGGAGACCTGGAACAGGTGGGCGGGGCCTGGAAGATGGGCGGGGCCGCACCTGGCTGGGTGGGGAGACCGGAAACAGGTGGGGCGGGGCCTGGAAGGTGATGGGCGGGATCTGACGGCTGGGCGGGGAGACCGGGAACAGGTGGGCGGGGCCTGGTGGTAAGAGGGCGGGACCGAAAGGAGGTGGGCGGGGCATGTAGCTAGGAGGGCGGAGCTGTTAATGTGGACTCGCCCGCAGGGGACTTCGCCGCCTTGCTGCACGCGGGGCTGTCCGTGCGCCAAGCACTGCTGCTGAACCTGGCCTCCGCGCTCACGGCCTTCGCTGGTCTCTACGTGGCACTCGCGGTTGGAGTCAGCGAGGAGAGCGAGGCCTGGATCCTGGCAGTGGCCACCGGCCTGTTCCTCTACGTAGCACTCTGCGACATGGTCAGGATGGCGAGGGGAGGGGCTGCTCTGGGCCGGGAGCTGAGCAGAGGAGCTGAGCAGGGGCGCTGACCCGGTGCCCACTTGCTCCTCAGCTCCCGGCGATGTTGAAAGTACGGGACCCGCGGCCCTGGCTCCTCTTCCTGCTGCACAACGTGGGCCTGCTGGGCGGCTGGACCGTCCTGCTGCTGCTGTCCCTGTACGAGGATGACATCACCTTCTGATACCCTGCCCTAGTCCCCCACCTTTGACTTAAGATCCCACACCTCACAAACCTACAGCCCAGAAACCAGAAGCCCCTATAGAGGCCCCAGTCCCAACTCCAGTAAAGACACTCTTGTCCTTGGAGCATGGCTGTGCTCTCCTTGCTGGGTGGGAAGGGCCCTCAGCTGAGAAAGGACAATTGCGGCACTGCCTTCTCCCCATCGGGGTGCCTCGAAGCCAGGAGAGCTGCACTCAGGACCCCCAGGCAGCCAGCCTCAGGTGCCCCCTCTTTGATATGGAGACCCTGCCTGCCTGAGGAGTGGGGTCAGGGAAATTCACCCGGGTGTGTGGGCAGCAGGTGGGACCTGTCCCCAAACAGGAATCAAACTTGCTTACCTATAACTGCTTACACAGCCGAGGGCTTATTTCTCTGTCATGGAAAGCAAACCTGGAGATCGTCAGACCAGAGTGTGTGGCAGCCCACGGTTCCTGGGACGCCAGCCTCTTCTGACTCTGAGGCGTTAATCCTGAGTGCCTGTGTGGTGGCCTCCTAGGGCTACCTTAACAAAGCCTACCATAAACTGAGTGCCTTAAAACCAGAAACTTATTCTCACAGTTCTGGAGGCTGAAAGTTAGGAATCAAAGTGTCAGGAGAGCAATGCTCTCTCTGAAGTCTCTAGGAAACAGTCTGTTCCATGAGCCTTTCCTGGCTACTGGTGGCCCCAGGTGTTCCTTGGTTTGTGGGCAGTATGACTCCAATCCCTGCCTTTGTCTTCACATGACCTTCCCTCCCCTCCCCTCCCCTTTTCTTTTCTTTCTTCTTTTGAGACAGAGCTTCACTCTGTCGCCCCGGCTGGAGTACAGTGGCACCATCTCGGCTCACTGCAACCTCTGCCTCCCAGGTTCAAGCAATTCTGCATCAGCCTCCCGAGTAGCTGGGATTACAGGCACCCGCCACCACGCCCAGTTAATTTTTATATTTTTAGTAGGACGGGGTTTCACCATGTTGGCCAGGCTGGTCTCGATCTCCTGACCTCAGGTAATCCACCCACCTCGATCTCCCAAAGTGCTAGGATTACAGGTGTGAGCCATTGCGCCTGGCCCACATGACCTTCTTTCTTGTGTTTCTGTCTCTTCTGATTATTTTTATTGTATGTGACTCTTGTCACTCAGGCTGGAGTGCAATGACGCCATCTTGGCTCACTGCAACCTCTGCCTCCTGGGTTCAAGTGATTCTCCTGCCTCAGTCTCCTGAGTAGCTGGGATTACAGGCATGCGCCACCACCCTGGCTAATTTTTGAAGGGAGCCAGCCCCTCCACACCTGTGAGTATTTCTCATCAGGTGGGACGAGAGACTGAGAAAAGAAGACACACAGACGAAGTATAGGGAAAGAACAGTGGGCCCAGAGGACCCAGCATACGGAGGACCTGCATCAGCACCGGCCTCTGAGTTCCCACAGTATTGATCATTATTTTTACCATCTTAGCGAGGGGAGTGTAGCAGGGCAACAAGTGGGGAGAAGGTCAGCGCGGAAACATGTGAGCAAAGGAATCTGTATCATGAATAAGTTCAAGGAAAGGTACTGTGCCCGGATGTGCACGTAGGCTAAATTTATGTTTCTCTTTACCCAAACATGTCATTGTAGCAAAGAGTAACAGAGCAGCAGCGCTAGATTTATGTTTCTCTTTACCCAAACATCTCAGTGTAGGAAAGAGTAACAGAGCAGTATTGCTGCCAGCATTCTTGCTTCCAGGCAGTTTTCTCCTATCTCAGAATAGAACAAAAGGGAATGGTTGGCTTTACAATGAGACATTCCATTCCCAAAGACGAGCAGGAGACAGAAGGCTTCCTCTTATCTCAACTGCAAAGAGGCCTCCCTCTTTACGACTCCTCAGCACAGACCCTTTATAGGTGTTGGGCTGGGGGACGGTAAGGTCTTTCCTTTCCCATGAGGCCATATCTCAGGCTGTCTCAGTGGGGGGAAACCTTGGACAATTCCCAGGCTTTCTTGGGCAGAGGTCCCTGCGGCTTCCCGCAGTGCATTGTGTCCCTGGTTAATCGAGAATGAAGAATGGCGATAACTTTTACCAAGCATACTGCCTACAAACATATTAACAAGGCACATCCTGCATAGCCCTAAATCCATTAAACTTTGATTCATTACAGCACATGTTTCTGTGAGCACAGGGTTGGGGCTAAAGTTACAGGTTAACAGCATCTCAAAGCAAAAACAATTTTTCTTAGTACAGATCAAAATGGAGTTTCTTATGTCTTCCTTTTCTACATAGACACAGTAACAATCTGATCTCTCTCTCTTTCCCCCACAGTTTTTGTATTTTTAGTAGAGACTGGGTTTCACCATGTTGGCCAGGCTGGTCTCGAACTCCTGACCTCAGGTGATCCGCCCACCTCGGCCTTCCAAAGTGGGATTACAGGCGTGAGCCACCGCCTCCTATTGACTTTTAAAAGGCGGTTGAGTGTGGCTCAGGGGTCACACGCCTGAGCATCCAAGTGGCCCTTCCCCCACTGCCCAATGAGCAAGTAGATTTGGATGCAACAAAAACACATATTTCCACGCCATTTTCTTGGGCGTAACGATACTTTCTTGTTTTATTTCTCATGATTCCGTTTCTAGGTCCTAGGCCCGTGCCTGATCCAGGATCCAAGCTCCCGGAAGCTGGCACTGGGCCCGCCCTGGGTAGGCAGCAGTGAGCAAGGCGGGCGGACAGCGCTGGGCTCGCGGGGTCCTGCGTCCTCCGCGGGAGTGTTGGCGGCGGGGGTCGCTCTGCGCGGGGACACTGGGCAGAGGGGGCGTGCGGCCTCTCTAGGAAGCTTTCTCGGAGCCCCAGACACTGGCGAGGCGCCGCGCCCCCTCTTCTGGATTCCGGCGCGCCCCCTGAACCCGGGAGCTACGAGCGGAGTCGCTTCTCCCTGCAGCCGTCCTGGGTCTGGCGCGGACGCACCCCCCGGCCGACCCCGAGCCGCTGCAGCCGGCGCCCCTGCGGCTTCCAACCCGCGCTGCTCCGCCCGCAGCGGAGGCCCCGCACTTCGCGCGCTAGGGGTTTGGGTTCCGGACGCCCAGCCCGGAGCCGAGCCGCCAGCCGCCCGCATCCCGGGCCACTAGGGCCCGCTGTCGCCCCTGCAGCCACGCTCACGCGGCGGCGCTGCGCAGGCGCAGAAGCCCGGAACCTTCCCGCCCAGCTTCTGGGCCCGGCCGGACTGAGTTCGCTGCTGTCCCGGTTCCTCTCGAGTCGGCTCCAACTGCCAGGTGGGCGGCCGGGCGGGCGGCCGAGGCGGCAGCGCGAGGCCGGGGAGGGGCGCGGTGCGGGGCCGGGCTCCTGCGTGGGCGACCCCGCTCACCCTTCCTCTCCCGGCCTTGCGCAGCCCGGGTTGGCGCCATGTACGCCGTGTACAAACAGGCGCATCCGCCCACCGGTCTGGAGTTCTCCATGTACTGCAACTTCTTCAACAACAGCGAGCGCAACCTGGTAGTGGCCGGGACCTCGCAGCTCTACGTGTACCGCCTCAACCGCGACGCCGAGGTAGGTCGGGCCCTGGGAGCCCTCCCGGCTGTCCGCGACGTGGGTGCTCTCACCGCCCCCGGTTGCAGATGGAAGAGCCAAGCCCCAGACAAGTTGAGTGATTTGCTTAACGTTCCTCAGCCTGAGGAGCCAGGACATGACCCTGAATCTCTTGTGCTCAGATCCTTTCTCACAGCTGCTACCCTGTTCTGCCTCCCTTCCTACCCCACCGGGAAGGGCGCGCTGCCCTAGCCGTCTTGTTTGCTCTTCCGTTTTTTCAGCAAGTTGTTCGGAAGGAGCGAACGCCCACTGTGCGCTGGGTAGCAGAGATACCATGTGAACCACACCTGCAGACACTTGGGGAAGGGGAACATCTAAATAAACACACCTGCCCCTGCAGCAAGTGCTGCTGCGGGAATAAAGGAGTGAAGGAAGGAGACTGTGTATTTCCAGTCGCATGATCAGAAGAGCCTGTCTGAGGCAGAGCGGGAGTTTGTCGGGGGAAGGACATTGGTAGCACAAGGAACAAGGCCAGGTCTAGGATGGGGACAGACTGTTGACAGGAGTCTTGGTACAGTGGGGCACACGCCTCAAGGGTTTGGGAAATACAGTGGTGTTTTGGTTGCCGGAGGGTTGAAAGCTGGTCCAGGAAAGCAACTTGCAAGAGGCAGTTTCTCCATTGCTCTTGAAGGGAGGAGTACCTCTTACCCAGGCCCAGGGATGGTGAGAGGAGGGTGTTCCAGGCAGAAGAAACAGCCTGTGCACAGGCCCAAAGCAGTTGAGGGTGGAGAGACATGCACAGTGTGGCCGTGGTATAGACTGGATGTGGTGGTGGGGATGGAGGGAGGTAGGCCGTGGTCAGGACTATTCTCCACAAAGCAGGGAGGAGCCACAAGAGGGTTGTGAATAGGGGCTGACCCAGCAGGCAGATGGGTCAGAAGCTCAGGCCAAAGGAGGCCAACCCTCCTGGGCACCTACCCCGGCATACATATGTATTTGCTGGCCAGGGCTCCTGTCCTCTGAAGGCTTGACGAGGGCTGGAGTTTCTGCTCCTAACACACTATTGGCAGGAGGCCGCAGTTCCTCACCACATGGGCCCCTCCCTGGGGCAGCTCACAACATGGCAGCCTCCCTCACAATGAGACACCCACCAAGACTGAAGCCACGGCGAGTCCTGTAACCGAATCTCAGGCTGGGTGCACTGGCTCACACCTATAGTCCCACACTTTGGGAGGCTGAAGTGGGATGACTGCTTGAGGCCAGGAGTTCAGGACTGGCCTGAGCAACATAGCAAGACCCCATCTCTACAAATAATTTTTTTTTTTGTTTTTCCTGGTGAGACGGAGTCTTGCTGTGTCACTCAGGCTGGAATGAAGTGGTGTGATCTCAGCTAACTTTAACCTCCGCCTCGTGGGTTCAGGCAATTCTTGTGCCTCAGCTCCCTAAACCCTCCACCAAGTAGCTGGGATTACAGGTGTGTGACACCACGCCCGGCTAATTTTTTTTTTGTATTTTTAATAGAGACAGGGTTTCGCCACATTGGCCAGGCTGGTCTCAAACTCCTGAGCTCAGGCAGTCCACTCACCTTGGCCTTCCAAAGTGCTGGGATTACAGGAGTGCACCACTGTGCTTGGCCCAAATATAAAATATAAAAGTTAGCTGGGCATAGTGGCCTGTGTGTAGTCCTAGCTACATGGGAGGCCAGGGTGGGAGGATCGCTCAAGCCCAGGAGGTCAAGGCTGCAGTGAGCTATAATTGCACCATTACACTCCAGCCTGGACAACAGAGTGAGACCCTATCTCAAAAAAAAAAAAAAAAGGCCAGGCACGTTGGCTCACACCTATCATCTTAGCGCTTTGGGAGGCCGAGGCAGGTAGTAGATCACCTGAGGTCATGGGTTCGAGACCAGTCTGGCCAACGTGGCAAAACCCTGTGTCTACTAAAAATACAAAAATTAGCTGGGTGTGGTGGCAGGCATCTGTAATCCCAGCTACTCAGGAGGCTGAGGCAGGAGAATTGCTTGAACCCGTAGGCGGAGGTTGCAGTGAGCCGAGATTGCACTCCACTCCAGCCTGGGTGACAGAGCAAAACTCCATCTAAAAAAAAAAAGTAGTAGTAATACACTGTTAACCTTCTGTCATATTCTGCTGGTCATATCTACCAACCCTGGTGGGGGTTGCGGAGGGTGCAACACCTCCCAGCATTCACTGCAGAGGACATTGTGCTGCCTTGGATGCTGGCCACCGTAGATTGGCTGAGGTGCTCATTCCACATCAGGTAGCAGTGCAGAGCAGGAAGCGTTGTGCTGCCTTGGACGCTGGCCACCGTAGGTTGGCCGAGGTGCTCATTCCACATCAGGCAGCAGTGCAGAGCAGGAGGGTGTGTGCAAGAGTCTAGAATTGAGGATTGAGGTCTGGTATGGAGGTCAAGTCAGAGTCTTCAGCCTGGGGTTGGTGTCTGCCCTTGGAAACTGGTTGAGATCACCCAGAATATAGACAAAGACAGGGTCTTGGGGCACCCCAACATTGAGAGATTGGGGAGATGAGAGGCCATGAAAGAGCTGGAGGTGGCATGGCCTGGAAGGCAGGGGGAAAGCTGGACAGGGCCCTGGAGGCCCAGGGAAGGCAGCTGGGAGGGACTCGACACTGGGTCCCACGCTGTTGAGCCTCAGGTGATGCCTGGTGACTGACAGGGCAGTCTGGTGGGCACGAGGGGTTGTGGTCTGAATGGAGCAGGGGTAAGAGCCCAGCAGGGGAGGAGAGTCAGTAACAGTGAACACAGACAACTCTGGAGGAGATGTGCGTAAACTGAAGCAAGAAATGGAGCCATAAATAGCAGGAAAAGAGGTTTTCTTCTTCTGTTTTGTTTTTTGTTTTTAAGAAACGGGGTCTTGCTATGTTGTCCAGGCTGGCCTCGAACTCCTGTGCTCAAGCCATCCTCCTGGGGTCAGTCTAGTCGTGGCTCTGTAACTAACTGCCCTGGAATATGCAAACGAGGTCTTTTATCATAATCGCAGACCTGGAAGCCAGGTTTTCAGGGATTCATCAGAGTGTGGGGAGCCCTTGGCTCTCCTCCACCAGGGCAAGCCTTGACAGGGATGACTTGAAGAGCTGGGGACAGGCTAGATGTGTCTTCCCCTACCCCCACACCGTCCCTCCACTCTCCCCTGTCCCCAGCATGGCTAGCTTGGTTTTCCTGGCAGCATGGTGGTGTTGGTGTAGTTGAGCTTCTTGCAGGAACTCAGAGCCCTAGGAGGCTAAGGCAGAAGCTGCCAGTCACTTTAAGGGCTAGACCAGGAGGGCACCGTCCCTGCCACCACAGTCTGCCCTAAAGGCAGCCTCCAGCCCAGATTCACCTGGAGAGGGAGGGAGACAGCCACCTTTCATACAGCTGTCTTTTTTTTTTCTTTTTTGAGAGAGAGTCTCCCTCTGTCACCCAGGATAGAGTGCAACAGTGCGATCTCAGCTCACTGCAACCTCTGCCTCCCGGGTTCAAGCAGTTCTCCTGCCTCAACCTCCCGAGTAGCTGGGATTACAGGCGCCTGCCACCACACCCAGCTAATTTTTTGTATTTTTGGTAGAGATGGGGTTTCACCATGTTGGCCAGGCTGGTCTCGAACTCCTGACCTCAAGTGATCCACCCGCCTTGGCCTTCCAAAGTGCTGGGATTACAGGTGTGAGCCACGGAGCCCGGCCAAGACATTCCCAGGTGTTTAGATGAGACATTTGTATTTTTGACAGGAACACCACAGAAGAGGCAAACAGCAGCCCCATCAGCTTTCAGGAGGCGGCGGAGGCCTTTGCCTCATGACTGGATGCTGATGCTTTGATGCTTGGTTGGGTAGTGTTGGCCTGGATTCCCCCACTGTAAGGTTATTTCTTCCTTTTGTAACTAAAAGTATCTTGTAGGGACTTATTTTGAAACCCTGTAAACGTCCTCTTATTCAGATTTTCAAGGTTTTTTTTTCTTTCTTTCTTTCTCTTTTTTTTTTTAGACGGAGTCTCGCTCTATCACCCAGGCTGGAGTGCAGTGGCACAATCTCGGCTCACTGCAAGCTCCACCTCCTGGGTTCAAGCGATTCCCCTGCCTCAGCCTCCTGAGTAGCTGGGACTACAGGCGCCCGACTAATGTTTTTGTATTTTTAGTAGAGACGGGGTTTCACCGTGTTAGCCAGGATGGTCTCGATCGCCTGACCCCGTGATCCGCTTGCCTCAGCCTCCCAAAGTGCTGGGATTACAGGCGTGAGCCACCACGCCCAGCCTTTGGTCGCTATTTCTTTAGCTATTGATTCTGTCCCCTTTCCCCCAACATGCCAGTTAGACCATTTGACTATGTACACATTTTTCTTAAAATCCTTCTGAGTGGTGGCCGGGCGCAGTGGCTCACGCCTGTAATCCCAGCACTTTGGCAGGCCGAGGTGGGTGGATTGCCTGAGCTCAGGAGTTCAAGACCAGCCTGTCCAAGATGGTGAAACCCCGAGTCTACTAAAATACAAAAAAAAAAAAAATTAGGCGTGGTGGTGGGCGCTTGTAGTCCCAGCTACTCGGTAAGCTGAGGCAGGAGAATGGCTTGAACCTGGGAGGCAGAGCTTGCAGTAAGCCAAGATTGTGCCACTGCACTCTAGCCTGGCGACAGAGCAAGACTCCGTCTCAAAAAAAAAAAAAATTCTTCTGAGTGGTTACCCCTGTTTCTTGCATGTACACAGAAGTGCAGTTGATCTCTGTATATTGACCTTATACTTGGCAGAGTGGATCAGGCGTCCTTGGCTGGTCCTGACCAAGAGGGAAAACTTCTTTTTTTGTTTGTTTTTTTGAGACCAAGTCTCTCTCTTGTCCCCCAGGCTGGAGTGCAATGGCATGATCTTGGCTCACTGCAACCTCCGCCTCCCGGATTCAAGCGATTCTCCTGCCTTAGCCTCCTGAGTAGCTGGGACTACAGGCACCTGCCACCACACCCAGCTAATTTTTGTATTTTTAGTAGAGACGGGATTTCACTATGTCACCATGTTGGCTAGACTGGTCTCGAACTCCTTACCTCAGGTGATCCACCCACCTCGGCCTCCCAAAGTGCTGGGATTACAGGCGTGAGCCACTGTGCCCGGCCTCAAAAGGGAAAACTTGTAATGTTTCACTCCCAGCACCACATTGCTGTAGACTTTTTGTAGATACCCTTTATTTGATTAAGGAAGTTGGGCGCGGTGGCTCATGTCTATAATCCTTGCACTTTGGGAGGCCAAGGTGGGTGGATCACCTGAGGTCAGGGGTTCGAGACCATCCTGGCCAACATGGCAAAACCCTATCTATTAAAAATACAAAAATAGCCGGGCATGGTAGCACATGCCTGTAATCCCAGCTACTTGGGAGGCTGAGGCAGGAGAATTGCTTGAACCCAGGAGGCAGAGGTTGCAGGGAGCTGAGATCACACTACTGCCCTCCAGCCTGGGTGACAGAGTGAGACTCTGTCTCAAAATTTAAAAAAATAAATAAATTAGTCAGGTGTGGTGACTCACATGTGGTCCCAGCTACTCAGGAGGCTGAGGTGGGAGGATCACCTAAGCCCAGGAGGTCGAGGCTGCAGTGAAACATGATTGCTCCTCTGCACTCCAACCTGGGAGACAGTGAGGCCCTATGTCAAAAAACAAAGGCCTGGCGTGGTGGCTCATGCCTGTAATCCCAGCGCTTTGAGAGGCCGAGGTGAGTGTATCGCTTGAGGTCAGGGGTTGAAGACCAGCCTGGCCATGGCAAAACCCTGTCTGTACTAAAAATACAAAAATTAGCTGGACGTGGTGGTGGGCGCCTATAATCCCAGCTACTGAGGAGGCTGAGACAGGAGAATCGCTTGAACCTGGAAGGCAGAGGTTGCAGTGAGCCAAAATCACACCATTGCACTCCAGCCTGGGCAACAAAGTGAGACTCCATCTCAAAAAAAAAAAAAAAATTTTCCTCCTATTTTTGCTTTACTAGGAGTTTTTATCACGAATGCCTTTATCAGATGCTTTTTTTGTATCCACTAAAATGACATGATTTTTCTCCTTAATTTTGACAGCATGGTAAGTTTAGCGATGGCTGTTCTTGCGGAAATCTAGTTTTGCGTTCCTGGAATAACTCAACCCAGTTGTGTTACAATACCCCTGCTTGTCACTGGGCTCATCTGCAGGCGTTTTGAGGAGGTTGGTGTCACTTCCTGTCCCACCTGTCTGTGGGCTGTTGGGGTGGCCTGAGCCACCTGCGGTGCCGTCAGCCCCACATGAGTGGGTGTGTGTTTTTTTTTTAAGTGTGTCATTACTTCTGAAACCTTTGGTAGAATTTGCGGGTGAAGCCCTGGAGTTGCCCTTGTCGCTGTGAGATGGGTATTGGTTTGTGGATGCTTCTTCTGTATCTCTTAACCAGCTTCCAAGATGCCCTCCCCATAGCACAAGTCCATCGTGAAAAATGACCTTGAGGTGGCTCACGCCTGTAATCCCAGCACTTTGGGAGGCTAAGGTGGGCGGATCACCTGAGGTCAGGAGTTCGAGACCAGCCTGGCCAACATGGTGAAACCCTGTCTCTACTAAAAATACAAAAATTAGCCGGACATGGTGGCACGCACCTGTAATCCCAGCTACTTGGGAGGCTGAGGCAGAATCACTTGAACCCGGGAGGCAGAGGTTGCAGTGAGCCAAGATCACGCCACTGCACTTCAGCCTGGGTGACAGAGTGAGACTCCGTCTCAAAAACAAAAAACAAAAAACAAAAAAAAACAAAACAAAAACCACTTTTCCCTTGCCTTGAGGCAATGGCATATAAATCTGCTAGCTAGTTAAACTAGCTACCTAGTAGCAAAGAACACACAGCCTCTTATCATTCTGGGAGGGCAGTGAAAAGGGAGGAGATAGAGAGGCAGCCTGGGGGAGCCCGAGGCGTCAGGATAGCGCAGGGCTTCCTCTTCTCTAACAGGCACGCAGATCAGTAGCTACAGATACCCCTTGGCTCTGGCTTCCTGCCCTGTGACATTTGGACCCAGGGGCCGGGGCTGGGCTGCTGTAGGTGTGCAACCAGGCAGGTTTGGGGGTGTGCAGACACAGAGTGCACTCTAACCCTGAGTGCTTGCCGCACAGGGCCTGGCTGCTAGGGAGCCGTGAGGTAGGGGCTTCCTGGGGAGGGGCCTGTGCCAGGGCTGGGCCGTGGGCATGAGAGCGTGAATGGGGGTCGCTGTGGGGGGCTGTGCACAGCTGTCTCCAGAAGCCCTTCTCCCTGCTGCAGAGAGGGTTTGGGCAGAGCTCCCAGGAGGCAGGGGCCAGGCTTGGTGGTCTTTTCTCGTTCCCCGGATGAGGTGAGCTGCCAGATGTGGCCCCTCACTGCCCTGTCTTTCTCTCCCCTCCAGGCTCTGACCAAGAATGACAGGAGCACAGGTGAGTGTGGTGGGGCGGCCTGGGGCTGTGCGGGTGCCAGGCATGGCTGGGCCCTGACCCTGAGCCCTGGTGTCTCCCCTAGAGGGGAAGGCCCACCGGGAGAAGCTCGAGCTTGCTGCCTCCTTCTCCTTCTTTGGCAACGTCATGTCCATGGCCAGCGTGCAGCTGGCAGGAGCCAAGCGGGATGCCCTGCTCCTAAGCTTCAAGGATGCCAAGGTGAGTGGTAGGCTTGGTGGGGTAGGCCTGGCCAAGGCGTGGGAGTGGGTGCCAGGGCCTGGGTACAGCCGTTGGTTGCCGGGGGCGACACTGTCAGGACCGGCAGTCGGCAGCCACGGCTGTGCCCTCTGACCGCAGCTGTCTGTGGTGGAGTACGACCCGGGCACCCATGACCTGAAGACCCTGTCACTGCACTACTTTGAGGAGCCTGAGCTTCGGGTAGGGCCGCGCTCCCGCCCCCGCCCAGGCCCCGCCCAGCCACCCTCCCTCCCCCTGCAGCTGGGTTCTGTGGCCCCAAGTGTTTCCCTCGGGGTCTCCTATGCTGGGCCTGGCTGATGCCCCCTCTGCCCCCAGGACGGGTTTGTGCAGAATGTACACACGCCGCGAGTGCGGGTGGACCCCGACGGGCGCTGTGCAGCCATGCTTGTCTACGGCACGCGGCTGGTGGTCCTGCCCTTCCGCAGGGAGAGCCTGGCTGAGGAGCACGAGGGGCTCGTGGGTGAGGGGTGAGTGCCAGCTGAGGCAGGCTGTGGTGCTGGGGTGGGAGGCGCCAGAGCCCGAGCTCCCCTCCCCGCCTCCCCTCCTCTCCTGCTGAAGCCCCTGGCCCCCCAGGCAGAGGTCCAGCTTCCTGCCCAGCTACATCATCGACGTGCGGGCCCTAGACGAGAAGCTGCTCAACATCATCGACCTGCAGTTCCTGCATGGCTACTACGAGCCTACCCTCCTCATCCTGTTTGAGCCCAACCAGACCTGGCCTGGGTGAGCCCCCTAAGGAGGCCCCTCTGCACTGTGGGCCCCCTAGCTGCCTCTGCCTGGGGTGGGGCCCATGGGGTTTAGGGCGGGGCCTATGGGGTGTGGTGGGGCTTGCTCGGGAGGAGCTGGGCCTGGGTCTCTGCGGGGAGGCAAGGCCCTTGGCTGACCCACTGGCGTCCCCAGGCGCGTGGCCGTGCGGCAGGACACGTGCTCCATTGTGGCCATCTCACTGAACATCACGCAGAAGGTGCACCCCGTCATCTGGTCCCTCACCAGCCTGCCCTTTGACTGCACCCAGGCTCTGGCTGTGCCCAAGCCCATAGGTGTGTGTCCTGGGAGTGGATAGGGGAGTGTGTGGAGAGAGCACTGAGCCTGCCCACCAGCCTGTGTCCACCTCCAGGTGGGGTGGTGGTGTTTGCCGTCAACTCGCTGTTGTACCTGAACCAGAGCGTCCCCCCGTATGGCGTGGCTCTCAACAGCCTCACCACAGGAACCACGGCTTTCCCGCTTCGTGAGTGTGGGGTGGCTGGGGCGGGGGGGGCCCGGGGACGGCTTGGGCCTGCCTAGTCGGCCTGACCACCCACCCCACAGGCACCCAGGAGGGTGTGCGGATCACCCTGGACTGCGCCCAGGCCACCTTCATCTCCTACGACAAGATGGTCATCTCCCTCAAGGGCGGCGAGATGTGAGCCCCTCCCCCGCCCATGAACTCTGCCCACACCGCCCCCCACAAGTCCTGTAGGGTCCCCTGGCCCCCTTCACTCCCCCAGGGTCCCCATCCCCGACTCAGAATTCTCCCTGCCCCCAGCTACGTGCTGACCCTCATCACCGACGGCATGCGCAGTGTCCGAGCGTTCCACTTTGACAAGGCGGCCGCCAGCGTCCTCACCACCAGCGTGAGTTGGGACTAGGGGTTGGGTCTGGGTCCAGACCCGGCCCAGCCATCACACACCTGCCCTCCCTCAGATGGTCACCATGGAGCCCGGGTACCTGTTCCTGGGTTCTCGCCTGGGCAATTCCCTCCTCCTCAAGTACACGGAGAAGCTGCAGGAGCCCCCGGCCAGTGCTGTCCGTGAGGCTGCCGACAAGGTGGGTTTCCTGGGCCCATTGGGCCACCACCCTTCATGTGGGCACTGCTGTGGCATGCCACTCAGTGCCCCTCCTGCCTCACAGGAAGAGCCTCCCTCAAAGAAGAAGCGAGTGGATGCGACGGCCGGCTGGTCAGGTGAGGGCCGGTCCAGGGCTGGTCAGGAGCGGGGCCAGGTGACCCAGGGCTGCGCTCAAGTGGGCTCTCTGTGTGCAGCTGCGGGTAAGTCGGTGCCGCAGGATGAGGTGGACGAGATTGAAGTGTACGGCAGCGAGGCCCAGTCGGGAACACAGCTGGCCACCTACTCCTTTGAGGTGAGATTGAGGCAGCAGGGCCCCCGTCCCAGCCAGCGCCCCCAGCGGGCCCCTGACTCTTGCTGTGCCGCAGGTGTGTGACAGCATCCTGAACATTGGACCCTGTGCCAATGCCGCCGTGGGCGAGCCTGCCTTCCTCTCTGAAGAGGTGCCCAGGGTTGGGGTCGGGGCTGGGGGCAGGGGCTGGAGTGTGAGGGGGGGTGGGGGGCATAGTCCTCACCCCCGAGTCCTGTGCAGTTTCAGAACAGCCCCGAGCCGGACCTGGAGATTGTGGTTTGCTCCGGCCACGGGAAGAACGGGGCTTTGTCGGTGCTGCAGGTGTGTGGGCAGGTAGGGGGCGGGCGCCTCCTGGTGGGACCTGGGTGGGCTCACACCCCCATCACACCCCCACCCCATCATCATTCTAGAAGAGCATCCGGCCCCAGGTGGTGACAACCTTTGAGCTTCCCGGCTGCTATGACATGTGGACAGTCATCGCCCCGGTGCGTAAGGAGGAGGTAGGTGCGAGCCTGCTGCAGGGAGGCCCTGGGATGGGACCGGCGCTGCCTTCTCATAGGCCGGGGGTGCCCAGGTCGCACCTGCGTGCCTGCCTTCACTGGACTGTGGCTTCCAGCCTGCCCCCCTTTGGCCCTGACAGGAGGACAATCCCAAGGGGGAGGGCACAGAGCAGGAACCCAGCACCACCCCTGAAGCAGACGACGACGGCCGCAGACACGGATTCCTGATTCTGAGCCGGGAAGACTCCACCATGGTGAGGGGCAGGGCCTGGGACCTGGGACCTGGGGCTGGGGTCCCCTGCGGGGGGCGCCTCCCTCACAGCTGTCGCCCGCAGATCCTGCAGACGGGGCAGGAGATCATGGAGCTGGACACCAGTGGCTTCGCCACTCAGGGCCCCACGGTCTTTGCTGGGAACATCGGGGACAACCGCTACATTGTCCAAGTGTCACCACTGGGCATCCGCCTGCTGGAAGGAGGTAGGTGGGGGGGGTGGTTGGGCCCTGGGCATCTGCCTGCTGGAAGGAGGTAGGTGGGTGGGGACGGTGGGGGGGAGGTGGTTGGGCCCTGGGCATCCGCCTGCTGGAAGGAGGTAGGTGGGTGGGGACGGTGGTGGGGAGGCGCATGCTGACTGCCCCATGCCTACAGTGAATCAGCTGCACTTCATCCCCGTGGACCTGGGCGCCCCCATCGTGCAGTGCGCCGTGGCCGACCCCTATGTGGTCATCATGAGTGCCGAGGGCCACGTCACCATGTTCCTGCTGAAGAGTGACTCCTACGGTGGCCGCCACCACCGCCTGGCGCTGCACAAGCCCCCGCTGCACCATGTAGGCCCCCTCATTCCCGGCGCCCTCCTGTCCCTGCCCCTTGCCCGCCGCTGAGCCCACCCCTCTCCCCGCAGCAGTCCAAGGTGATTACGCTGTGCCTGTACCGAGACCTCAGCGGCATGTTCACCACTGAGAGCCGCCTGGGTGGGGCCCGTGACGAGCTCGGGGGCCGCAGTGGCCCGGAGGCCGAGGGCCTGGGCTCAGAGACTAGGTGCGTGGGGGCTGGGGGCGCAGGTAGGGGCTTGGGTCCCTGGGGCTGGCAGGCCGCCCATGACCTTCTGCTGGCCCCCAGCCCCACAGTGGATGACGAGGAGGAGATGCTGTATGGGGATTCGGGCTCCCTCTTCAGCCCCAGCAAGGAGGAGGCCCGAAGAAGCAGCCAGCCCCCTGCTGACCGGGACCCTGCACCCTTCCGGGCAGAGCCTACCCACTGGTGCCTGCTGGTGCGGGAGAATGGCACCATGGAGGTAGGTGGTGCCCTGCACTGTGGCCCAGCGGGTTCCACCCACCTGCCTCCACTGACTGCTGCCCACCCTGCAGATCTACCAGCTTCCCGACTGGCGGCTGGTGTTCCTGGTGAAGAACTTCCCTGTGGGGCAGCGGGTCCTTGTGGACAGCTCCTTTGGACAGCCCACTACACAGGGCGAGGCCCGCAGGGAGGAGGCCACGCGCCAGGGGGAGCTGCCCCTCGTCAAGGAGGTGCTGCTGGTGGCGCTGGGCAGCCGCCAGAGCAGGCCCTACCTGCTGGTGAGTGCGCCTGGCCTGGCCTCCCCTTCCCATCTTCCCCCTGGCCCTGCCCGTTCCCCCACAGCCCCGCCCCTTCCCGTGGCTCCACCCCATCTCCCCCACGGCCCCGCCCCTTCCCGTGGCTCCACCCCATCTCCCTCACAGCCCCGCCCCTTCCCATACATGGCTCCACCCCATCTCAGCCCCGCCCCTTACCCACAGCCCACCTCTTCCCATGGCCCATCCCATGTTCTCCATGGCCCTGCCCGTTCCCCCATGGCTCCCCTCATCCTGCCAGGTGCATGTGGACCAAGAGCTGCTTATCTACGAGGCCTTCCCCCACGACTCTCAGCTCGGCCAGGGCAATCTCAAAGTCCGCTTTAAGAAGGTGCCAGTGGCTGGACTGCTGGGGCGTGGGGTGGGTGTGGTACAAGGTGTGGGTTTCAGACCGGCAGCCCCTGGAGGACCTGCATGGTTCCCCCCCAGGTCCCTCACAACATCAACTTCCGTGAGAAGAAGCCAAAGCCATCCAAGAAGAAAGCAGAAGGTGGCGGCGCAGAGGAGGGGGCTGGGGCCCGGGGCCGCGTGGCGCGTTTCCGCTACTTCGAGGATATTTATGGCTACTCAGGGGTAGGCCAGCGCCTTTGCAGGGGTCTGTGGTAGAAGGGAGACGCGGCCTCATCCGCAGCATCCTCATCCACAGCATCCTCACGGTGCCTGCCCCCAGGTCTTCATCTGCGGCCCCTCCCCTCACTGGCTCTTGGTGACCGGCCGAGGGGCTCTGCGGCTACACCCCATGGCCATCGACGGCCCGGTCGACTCTTTCGCTCCATTCCACAATGTCAACTGTCCCCGCGGCTTCCTGTACTTCAACAGACAGGTGGGGCCCGGCCGGTTCCCAGCAGCACTGGCTGATGCTGCCCCAGCTGGGGGCTGAGGGGGAGGGGACAGGAGAAGGGACCATTGGCTCCACCCTGAGGACCAGGAAGGAGTGTCCAGAGGGCGATGGGGTTGAGGTCGAGGAGGTGGAACCTGTGACTTGGTTGCTCCAAAGGTCTGGAAAGGGGTGGTTGGGAGCTGGGGCTGCAGCCCCTGGGGTCCCCACCACTGCTCTGCCGGCTCGCCGGGCAAGCCCTCGCAGGGCCTGGCCTCCACACTTCTCAGGAGAGCTGACGTGAGTGCTAGCTCTGCCCCTTGGCTGCTCTGTGACTTTGGGAGGGCACACAGGCTTTCTCATCCTGGTTCCCTATTTAAGCCACCACACCACCAGGTCACTTGAGACCCTGCCTGGGATGCGGTGAGTGCTTCCTGGGTGCCTGAGGACTCAGGACTGTCCATGAAAGAGGGCAGCCCTGGCTCCCTCTGCCTGGTTTTCAGTCCCCAGCATGGCAGTCTGTGGGCTGCCCTTTGCAGCCTCCAGTGCCCTCCTGGCCTAGCTTTCCCATCCCCTGTGGCCAGCACCCCTAGCCCCAGCTGAGCGTGGGAAAATGGACAGGAGGAGCCCCAGAGGCTGAGTGGCAGCCCCTTCCAGGACCTCGCCAGGACACAGCTGCCCCTCACCCACCCCTGCTCCCACAGAGCTGAGGGCAACATCCCAGGGCTCTTGGCGGCCTGGGCCTGCCTGCCCCTGCCCTTGGCTAGCCCTGGATCCCCTGACCCCTGTGCCCCCACCCCAGGGCGAGCTGAGGATCAGTGTCCTGCCTGCCTACCTGTCCTATGATGCCCCATGGCCTGTCAGGAAGATCCCGCTGCGCTGCACGGCCCACTATGTGGCTTACCACGTGGAGTCTAAGGTCTGCCCCCACCCCCACCCCACCAGGGACCTTCTGGGCCTGGCCGGGCCACTGGTGTGTGACCCTCACTAACCCACAGGTGTATGCTGTGGCCACCAGCACCAACACGCCGTGTGCCCGCATCCCACGCATGACTGGCGAGGAGAAGGAGTTTGAGACCATCGAGAGAGGTGGTGACGCCCACACCATACTCCCATCCTCAGCCGCATCTTGGGGAAGCCCTACTCTGACTGTCACCCTTGGTCCCCACAGATGAGCGGTACATCCACCCCCAGCAGGAGGCCTTCTCCATCCAGCTCATCTCCCCGGTCAGCTGGGAGGCTATTCCCAATGCCAGGTGAGGCTGGGCCGGCGGGGGTGGGGTCTGCCCAAGGCCTCCAGGCAGCATCCTGAGGCCCCTGGCCCCCACAGGATCGAGCTGCAGGAGTGGGAGCATGTGACCTGCATGAAGACAGTGTCTCTGCGCAGTGAGGAGACCGTGTCGGGCCTCAAAGGCTACGTGGCCGCCGGGACCTGCCTCATGCAGGGGGAGGAGGTCACGTGCCGAGGGCGGGTAAGGGGCCAGTGAGCGGGGGCGGGAACTGGCAGCCCCTCTGCCATCCCCACAGCCATCCCACAGCCATACCCATGCCCTCCAGATCTTGATCATGGATGTGATTGAGGTGGTGCCCGAGCCTGGCCAGCCCTTGACCAAGAACAAGTTCAAAGTCCTTTACGAGAAGGAGCAGAAGGGGCCCGTGACCGCCCTGTGCCACTGCAATGGCCACCTGGTGTCGGCCATCGGCCAGAAGGTGTGCCAGTCCCACCCGGCGTGTGTCCCCCGGCTCACCCTCACCCGGCTCCCCGTCCGCGCCCGCTCACCCTCGCCCTCGCCCCCAGATTTTCCTGTGGAGCCTGCGGGCCAGCGAGCTGACGGGCATGGCCTTCATCGACACGCAGCTCTACATACACCAGATGATCAGCGTCAAGAACTTCATCCTGGCAGCCGACGTCATGAAGAGCATTTCGCTGCTGCGCTACCAGGAGGAAAGCAAGACGCTGAGCCTGGTGTCGCGGGTACACCTGTGGCGGCGGTGCTCGTGTCTGGGTGGGTACCCGCCCAAGGCACCTCTGACGCCCCCTTCCCGCCCCCAGGATGCCAAGCCCCTGGAGGTGTACAGCGTGGACTTCATGGTGGACAATGCCCAGCTGGGTTTTCTGGGTATGTGGGCAGGGCCCTGGGGAGCTGAGGCTCTGGGGGTGGCCGGGGCTGACCCTGGGCCTCTGCTCCCCAGTGTCTGACCGCGACCGCAACCTCATGGTGTACATGTACCTGCCCGAAGGTGAGTGCTTCCTCCACCCCCTCTGCCTGGGCCGGGGCTGGGCTAGCAGTGACCCCTAGGCCTTTCTGGTCTAGCCAAGGAGAGTTTCGGGGGCATGCGCCTGCTGCGTCGGGCAGACTTCCACGTGGGTGCCCACGTGAACACGTTCTGGAGGACCCCGTGCCGGGGGGCCACTGAAGGGCTCAGCAAAAAGTCGGTCGTGTGGGAGAATAAGCACATCACGTGGTTTGGTGAGTGTGGGGGAGCAGGTGTGTCTGGGTGGGGGGCCCTAGGGTTGGCCTGGCTCACACCAAAACCCTCACCCTACCCCTGCCAGCCACCCTGGACGGCGGCATCGGGCTGCTGCTGCCCATGCAGGAGAAGACCTACCGGCGGCTGCTGATGCTGCAGAACGCGCTGACCACCATGCTGCCACACCACGCCGGCCTCAACCCCCGCGCCTTCCGGTGAGCCCCGGCCCCGCCCCCGTGCAGCACCCCCTCCACCCCAGCCTGCCCTGACACCTGTGCCTGTACGCCCCAGGATGCTGCACGTGGACCGCCGCACCCTCCAGAATGCCGTGCGCAACGTGCTGGATGGGGAGCTGCTCAACCGCTACCTGTACCTGAGCACCATGGAGCGCAGCGAGCTAGCCAAGAAGATCGGCACCACACCAGACATAGTGAGTGCGCGCCCCGCCCCCCGCGCGCCCCGCCCCTCCGTGTGCATCCCCACCCACCCACCCACCCACCCTTCCATCCCCTGCAGATCCTGGACGACTTGCTGGAGACGGACCGCGTCACCGCCCACTTCTAGCCCCGTGGATGCCGTCACCACCAGCACACGGAACTACCTCCCACCCCCTTTTTGTACAAAACACAAGGAAAAACATTTTTTGCTTGAGAGGAGTGTGTGGTCATTACACGGCCTCCTGGCCCAGCTGCTGTCACAGCCCCCCAGTGCGAGTGCCCACGGGGCTCGGGGTGTCTACACCTCTAGCCCCGCCACCTCCGTCAGCCCAAGGTGAAAAGGGCCCCGCCGGCCCTGGGCGGCTGCACCCTAGGTCTCCAGGTACTGGTAGAGCTCCTCCGCTGGGGGCACGAGGCTCAGGTGGACCAGAGCACGAGCCAGGAGGGCGGTCAGCCGCATGGCCAAGGTCTCCAGCCTGCGTGGGTCAGGTCACAGGTCACAGGTGGGTGGGGAGCAGGCCCCCGCCACCCACCTGCCCCGCGGCCACTCACCTGAGCGCCACTTCAAACTTGAGCATCTCCCAGACGACCTTGGCGTGGCGCAGGAGGCTGGTGCCGTAGACACCCCGATACGTGGCGCCCGCCAGGCGGCTCCAGCCCCGGACAGCCCTGCACACACCCGCGTTAGCGCCGCGTCAGCCCCACACCAGCCCCACCACGGCCCGGGCGCCTCCTCGGGCCACCGACCTTTTAGCCATAAGGAAGTAGCGGTCCACGGGGGCGCCGAGGGCCACGTTGATAGCGCGCACGGTGTTGATGTTGCGCAGCACCAGCAGCATGGGCCGCGGCAGCTCCCTGAGCACCGCCATGACGGCCTCGAAGCGCTCGCGGGCCATGTCCACCATGTAGGCCGCCTCTTCGCGGCTCAGTAGGTGCGAGCCCCACAGCTGCCCCAGGCGCACGGGGCGCTGCATGAGCATCTCGGCGAACAGGAGGTAGTCTGGGGAGGGAGGGAGGGAGGGAGGGAGGGGGCTCTGAGTGGGTTCCGCGCCGCCCGACTCCCTTCTGTGGTGCCCCAGCCATCCCCGCACGCCCTCACCTTGCACCCCCAGTGCGGCTGCGTGCGCCCTCATGGCGGCGTCGTCCCGCAGGATGATGGCCCGCCACAGCTGGCAGAGGGCTGCGCGGTCCCTGGGTGTGGATGGGCCCGCAGCCATGAGCTCCCTGCGGCAGGAGAGGCTTGCCCTGCCCCACGCCCACCCACCCGCGCTCACTTCTCCTCCAGGAACTGGTAGAGCCCGTGGTCCAGCAGCACCAGCTCCGCTTTCCCGTCCGGGCCTTTCCGCACCAGAACTAGGGATACAGCCTCTTAGGTCGCGCTGCGCCCACCCTGAGACCCCCACCCCTGGGGTAAATTCCTACCGTTGCCAGGATGTGGGTCCGAGTGGATGAAGCCGGTGTAAAATATCTGCTCAGCAAAGGCCTTGATGAGCTTTTCTGCTATCTGGGGAGAGGAGAGGCATTGCAGTGGACACAGCACCAGCCCGCCCTGACCCGCCCCCGCCCCCCCGCACTCACGTCATGCACTGCCAGCCCCTGGCTCCTGATGGCCTCCACATCGTTGACCTTGCAGCCGGCGCAGAAGTCGGCAGTGAGCACGCGCTGGGGAGAGCAAGAGGCTGGGCTCAGCAGGCCCAGCGCTGTGCCCACCCCAAGGGCCTGGCCCAGCCCACCTTGCTGGACTTGTCCCAGTGCACGCGGGGCACCACGACGTAGGGGAAGTGCGCCAGCTCCCGCGCACAGCGCTCTGCGTTGCGGCCCTCATTCTCGAAGTCCAGCTCCTGGGCCAGGGTCCCCTTCAGGTCCTGGGGGCCAGATGGCGGTTGAAGACCAGCTCTGCCTACCAGCTGCTCCTACCAGCTCTGCCTACGTGTTTGCTCCTGCTGGCCGGGGAAGGGGTGGGGCTGTACCTGGAGGACCCAGCTGAAGCCAAAGCTGGGGTGCATGACCTCAACGAGCCGCAGCAGGAGCTCCAGGGTGTGGATGTCCCCATCAAAGCGGTCCCGCAGGTCGATGTACTGCACCTGCACTGGGCGAGGGTGTGGTGAGAACTTGGGGCCCCACTGTGCCCCGCCCCAGCCCACTGCTGAACAAGGCAGCCCCCATATACCTTCACAGCCACGCTGGTGCCATCGTGCAGCTTGGCTCTGTGCACCTGTGCCAGGCTGGCGGCAGCAATTGGCTGGTAGTCAAACTCCTGGAAGAGCTCGTGGGGGAGGGCCTGGAAGTCCTCAAGGAACAACTCATCCACCTGGAAGGACAGGTGCTCAGAGCAGCCTGGGGCCACTGCTGGAGGCCCCACCTCCCTCGGCCTGAGCGCACACTCACCTCCTGGAAGCCCCGCTTGAGGGCCCTGTCCTCTAGCACGCGCAGGGTCCGGGTATACTCGGGGGGAAGCAGGTGGTTGAAGGAGCACAGCCCCTGGCCCAGCTTCACGTAGAGGCCCCCGTTGCTGATGGCCCCTGCCACCAGGGCATCAGCCGCCCGCTGGTGACACGCAGACATCACCTCCAAGTAGCCTGGGCTGTTCTGACCACAGGCATGGGGAGAACACATGGGGACAGGTGGCTGCCTCCTCAGTCCCACCCAGCCCACCACCTCATGCCCACCACTGTGTGCCCAGGGCACCAGGACAAACCTCTTCCACCCCTCGAAGGACAACATTGGTGCACCACCAGTAGTCCAGGGAGATCTGCAGGCCGACCTTCAGAGACCTGCGGGCAGAGGTGGCCTCAGTCTCCAGCGGGGCAGGCTCGGGGCCCCGGTGCTTGGTCCTCTTGTCAGAGCCCTCATGGTCTAGCCTCACCCCGGCCAGCCCTTCATGTCCCAAGGGTGAGGCCAAGCCAGGGTCCAGCCTACAGCCGCGTAGGCCTGTGTGAGCACAAGGGGTGCTGCTGAGCTCGTGGGGTGTCCTGTGGCCCTGCAGGTCAGTCTCAGCTCAAGATCAGTAGAACGGGGCCAGGTGTGGTGGCTCATGTCAATTATCCCATCACATTGGGAGGCTGTGCTGGGAGGATCACTTGAGCTCAGGAGTTCGAGACTGGCCTGGGCAACATGTTGAAACCCTGTCTCTACCAAAAATGCAAAAAAATTAGGCAGGCACGGTGGTGCACACCTGTGGTCCCAGCTCCTCAGGAAGCTGAGGCAGGAGGATCGTTTGAGCCTAGGAGGTGGAGACTGCAGTAAGCTGAGATTGCACCACTGCACCCCAGCCTGGGCAACAGAGCGAGACTCCGTCCAAAAAAGATCTGCAGAGCTGGGCACAGTGGCTCACGCCTGTAATCCCAGCACTTTGGGAGGCCGAGGTGAGTGGATCACCAGAGGTCAGGAGTTCAAGACCAGCCTGGCCAACATGGTGAAACCCCATTTCTACTTAAAATACAAAAAAATTAGCCGGGTGTGGTGGTGCACACCTGTAATCCCAGCTACTCGGGAGACTGAGGCAGGAGAATTGCTTGAACCCGAGAGGCAGAGGTTGCAGTGAGCCAAGATCGCGCCATTGCACTCCAGCCTGGGCAACAAGAGCGAAACTCGGTTTCAAAAAAAAAAAAAAGAGGCTGGGCTTGGTAGCTCACACCTATGATCCCAGCACTTTGGGAGGCCGAGGCGGGCAGATCACAAAGTCAAGAGATTGAGGCCATCCTGACCAACATGGTGAAACCTAGTCTCTACTAAAAATACAAAAATTAGCTGGGCATGGTGGTGCGTGCCTGTAGTGCCAGCTACTCAGGAGGCTGAGGCAGGAGAATCACTTGAAGTCAGGAGGCGGGTTTCGGTGAGCTAAAATTGCGCCACTGCACTCCAGCCTGGCGACAGAGCGAGACTCCGTCTCAAAAAACAAAAAAAGATCTGCAGAATGGGCAGCCTGTGTCCATGCCACCCTCACTCCCTGCCACCCTCAAGGGTGCCCAGGTGAGATGGGGTAGGGGACAGTATGGACGGTGGCATCCTCTGGAGAGATGGGGTTCCAAGGCTGTCTGTGAAGGTAAAGGATGGCAGCAAGGGGGCAGGGCTGAGGCAGCAGAGGTCACAGGAGGGTCAAGGTCACCTGCAGCCTGAGGTCCACTAGGAAGAGAGGAGGACACCAGGAGGGTGGGTCTCCAAGGCCTGGGGAGGCAAGGTCTGCAGGGAAGAGAGCCCAGTTAAGGCAGGAAGTGGGGGACATCCTGGGTATCTGTTGAGCAGGTACTGGGCTCCTGGGGGAGATTTAGGCAAGAGGATGGGGTAGAGGGGTGTCCCCAGGCCTGGCCCCAGTTAGGAGGATATCAGGGTGGGAGCCCTGGGAGAACTCTGGGGACCAGCTGGGCAGCCCTGGAATGAGGCGCCAGGCAGCGGGCAGACCACACACAGGTGCACAGGGAGGGGCTGAGGTCAGAGTGGCTTCTCCAAGGCTGGCCATGGCCAGAGGCCTGTCCCTGCGTTCTGTGAAGCTCACGTACCTGCCTGGGGACAGGGCCCACAGTCATTCCTGAAGCGCAGCTCTGGCGCTCAGGTGGACTCTGTGTCCCCCATCAACCCAGGGCGACCCCCCGGCCATTCAGGCCCCACTCTGGCCCCCGTAGAGCATCTGGAGTGCGTGCTTGGGTTAGGCCAGGGTTTCGGTTTCTTTTTTTTTTTTTTTGGAGACGGAGTCTCGCTCTGTCGCCCAGGCTGGAGTGTGGTGGCGATCTTGGCTCACTGCAGGCTCCGCCTCCCAGGTTCACGCCGTTCTCCTGCCTCAGCCTCCAGAGTAGCTGGGACTACAGGCGCCCAACACCACGCCCGGCTAATTTTTTTGTATTTTTAGTAGAGATGGGGTTTCACCGTGTTGGCCAGGATGGTCTCGATCTCCCGACCTCGTGATCCGCCCACCTTGGCCTCCCAAAGTGCTGGGATTACAGGCGTGAGCCACCGTGCCCGGCTCTAACTTTTCTACTATTAAAATTTGTTATAGTAAACACAACACTTTTGTAACAAAACTTAAAGATGTGAAAAAGTCCCACAGACTTGTGCTTGGGGGAGAAGGAATTTAATTTTTTTTTTTTTTTTGAGATGGAATCTCGCTCTGTCGCCCAGACTGGAGTGCAGTGGCACAGTCTAGGCTCACTGCAACCTCCGCCTCCCAGGTTCAAGCAATTCTCCCGCCTCAGCCTCCCGAGGAGCTGGGACTACAGGTGCCCACCACATGCCCAGCTAATTTTTCTATCTTTAGTAGAGATGGGGTTTCTCCACGTTGGTCAGGCTGGTCTCGAACTCCTGACCTCGTGATCCGCCCTCCTCGGCCTCCCAAAGCATTTTCACATTGCATTTCACATTGCCTCACAGAGCATTTTCAACATTGCTGTATGTTTGAAGTTTTTCACAAAATGTTGGAGGCCGGGTGTGGTGGCTCACACCTATAATCCCAGCACTTTGGGAGGCCAAGGCGGGCGGATCCCCTGAGGTCAGGAGTTCAAGACCAGTCTGACCAACACAGAGAAACCCGCCTCTACTAAAAAATACAAAATTAGCTGGGTGTGGTGGCGTGTGCCTGTAATCCCCAGCTACTAAGGAGGCTGAGGCAGGAGAATCGCTTGAATCCAGGAGGTGGAGGTTGCAGTGAGCGGAGATCCCACCATTGCACTCCAGCCTGGGCAACAAGAGTGAAACTCTGTCTCAAAAAAAAAAAAAAGTATCAATGAGTGCTAAACTGCTGGGTGGAGGCCAGGCGCAGTGGCTCATGCCTATAATCCCAGCACTTTGGGAGGCTGAGACAGATGGATCACTTAAGGTCAGGAATTCAAGACCAGCTTGGCCAACATGGAGAAACCCCATCTCTACTAAAAATTAAAAAAAAATTAGCTGGGTGTGGTGGCAGGTGTCTGTAATCCCAGCTACTGGGGAGACTGGGGCTGGGAGAATTGCTTGAACCCAGGAGGCAGAGGCTGAAGTGAGCCAAGATGTTGCCACTGTACTCCAGCCTGAGTGACAGAGCAAGACTGTCTCAATAAATAAATAAAGAAACAAACAAACTGCTGGGTGGAGGAGCAGTGAGAACAGACACATCATCTCAACTGCCTCCATACGGCTAATTACAAGGGAATCAAATGGGGGAAACCGAAATCATGTGCCCCCGGCAGGACAGAAGCAGTGTCACTCCTGTGTGATTCCTGCCAAAACAGATGACGAATATGACCACAAGCAAACATCAGACAAACCCACACTGACAAAATAAGAAGCAGTGAAATATTTCTGTAAAAGATGAGATGGTAATTATTTTAGGCACTCTGGCCACGCATGAGCACATGGGCAACTGTGCACCAAGTGGTCACAGGCAATGCATGGGCATGGCTGTGTTCCAATAAAGCTTTATTTGCAAATCAGACAGCTGCCACACTAGGCCCCTGCACTTGGCCCAGGGACCACAGTTTGCTGACTCTTGTTATACAATACTTACAAGCCTGTAATCTTCAAAGGTGTCCAATCATGTGCAATGAAGAATTAACTTTACCCAAACAGAGGACTGACCTTTGTCCCTTCTTAAGTCCTTGGGATTTCCTGAGTGATAAGGAGTGCCTCTGTTTTCCATGGTGGCCCTGAGGGCTTATGCTAAGAAGGGACTCAGGGCGAAGACCCACCACTTTGGGGCCCACGGGGATGGGAGCGGGAGGACCGGGGCTGGAAACTGAATTCCTGGGATTTTCTGAGAAACTGGAGATTTTCAATCAATCCCGCCCAAGTATTAATACCCCAACAAAAACTCCAGGCATGGCCTGCGTGGTGGCTCATGCCTGTAATCCCAGCACTTTGGGAGTCCGAGGCGGGCAGATCACTTGAGGTCAGCAGTTCAAGACCAGCCTGGCCAACATGATGAAACCCTATTGCTACTGAAAATACAAAAATTAGCCGGGCGTGATGGTGGGCACCTGTAATTCCAGCTACTCAGAAGGCTAAGACAGGAGAATCGCTTGAACCCGGGAGATGGAGGTTGCAGTGAGCCGAGATCCCACCATTGCACTCCAGCCTGGGCAGCAAGAGCGAAACTCCATCTCAAAAAATAAAAAAAAATAAGTTAAATAAAAAATTAAAAAATTTTAAAAAAAAAGTTAAATTTAGTTCAGGTATGATAGCTCACACCTGTAATCCCAGCCATTTGGGAGGCTGAGGCAAACGGATCACCTGAACTCAGGAGTTCAAGACCAGCCTGGGCATCATGGCAAAACCCCATCTCTACTAAAAATATAAAAAATTAGCCGGGCATGGTGGCGCGCACACCTGTAGTCCCAGCTACTCGGGAGGCCGAAGCATGAGAATTGCTTGAACCTGGGATATGGAGGTTGCAGTGAGCTGAGACGAAGCCACTGCACTCCAGCCTGGGCAACAGAGTGAGACTGTCTCCAAAAAATAAAAGAAAAAGGGGCGGTGGGGGAAAGCAAAACACATAGGTGATTTTTTTTTTTTTTGAGACAGAGAGTCGCTCTGTCACCCAGGCTAGAGTGCAGTGGCGTGATCTTGGCTCACTGCAAGCTCCGCCTCCCGGGTTCACGCCATTCTCCTGCCTCAGCCTCCCAAGTAGCTGGGACTACAGGCAACCGCCACCAAGCCCGGCTAATTTTTTGTATTTTTTAGTAGAGACGGGGTTTCACCATGTTAGCCAGGATGGTCTCGATCTCCTGACCTCGTGATCCACCCACCTCGGCCTCCCAAAGTTCTGGGATTACAGGCGTGAGCCACCATGCCCGGCCACATATAGGTGATTTTATTTTTTATTTTTATTTTTTGAGACGGGTCTGGCTCTGTCTTCCAGGCTGGAGTGCAATGGCGTGATCTTGGTTCACTGCAACCTCCGCCTCCCAGGTTCAAGTGATTCCCCTGCCTCAGCCTCTCAAAGTAGCTGGGATTACAGGCGTGAGCCACCGCGCCTGGTGGTGATTTAAGTTTAGGGCCAGGTGTGGTGGCTCACACCTGTAATCCCAGCACTTTGAGAGGCCGAGCTGAGCAGTTCACCTGAGGTCAAGAGTTGGAGACCAGCCTGTCCAACATGACGAAACCCTGTCTCTACTAAAAATACAAAAACTAGCCGGGCGTGGTGCCACACACCCGAAATCCCAGCTGCTTGGGAGGCGAGACAGGAGAGTCGCTTAAACCAAGGGAGCACAGGTTGCAGTGAGCTGAGATCGCACCACTGCACTCCACCCTGGGTGACAGAGCAAGACTCCGTCTCAAAAAAAAAAAAAAAAGAAAATGTAAGGAGTGGCAGAGATTAAAGACAGGGCTCTGAGGCAGAGAAACATTGTCCCAAACCTTCCACCTTCCTGGGCAGCCCCTGATCATTTGGGTACCTGTGGCCTGTTCTGACCTCTGCTGCCTTTTCTCATGGTGCACTGGCACCGCCATGCTCCTCACCCGCGCTCCTTCCTGGGCCCCTGCATGGGTGCTGCTGTCACCCAGGATGTGTTCCCAGGCTACCCTGTGCCCTGCCAGGGAAGCTCCACAGGCCTGCTTGTCTATGCAACCGTGACGGCTTAGAGCCAAGGAGAACGTGCAGACTGCTGGGAAAATTAACAACAGAGGTCCCTCCCTGCAACCCCAGCTCAGCCCCTGAGAGCGAGCTGTGAGAAGATGTTTTCCCACAAAGTGAGCCCAAAACGCAGGCTCACCAAGCCGGTGGCCGAGGAGGTGGACACCAGACACAGCTGCATGCCATGAAATAGAGGGTGAGACAAACCCAGGCCTGCCAAGCCGACATTTCAGAACCAGGCTGCAGGGGACGGTGGCTGGCAGCCCTGTGTGGCCCTTGCATGCACTGCAGCGGAGGGTCACGAGAAAAAGGCAGAGGACCCGAGGCTCTGTCGTCACCCACCCCAGGCTGCGAGACTGGATGGCCCTGCAAGACAGACAATGCCACCCAAAATCTGCAGGCAGGGACAGCAGGAACTCCAAGCAAAACCAGATGCCAGGGAGACCCACGTGGGGAACGACTGTTTTGTCTTTTAGGCTGAAAATCCTCAGGTGCCCAGCTATCCACAAGCTTCCACTCACTGCTGGAGGAAATTTCTGTGAAACTTCTGGTGAAATCTCTGAAGGCACCAGAAGCCGAGGCACTTGCTGAGAAACTGACCTAGGCCTGGCAGATGCTCGGAGGCAGGCAGAACAGGACCACACCCTCCCTGCCTCCTTCCTGCCCTGACGCTCCATTCAAAAGGGCTTTGGGGGCTGGGCACGGTGACTCACGCCTGTCATCCCAGCACTTTGGGAGGCCGAGGCGGGTGGATCACGAGGTCAGGAGATCGAGACCATCCTGGCTAACACAGTGAAACCCCGTTTCTACTAAAAATACTAAATAAATAAATAAATAAATAAATAATTTAGCCAGGCATGGTGGTGGGCACCTGTAGTCCCGGCTACTCAGGAGGCTGAGGCAGGAGAATGGCGTGAACCAGGGAGGCGGGGCTTGAGTGAGCCGAGATTGCGCCACTGCACTCCAGCCTGGGTGACAGAGCGAGACTCTGTCTCAAAAAAAAAAAAAAAAAAAAAAAAGGGCTTTGGGCTAACAGGTTTCTCTCAAAGCCAAGAGCTGGTTCCACCAGGCTCAGGCTAGCAGGGCTTTGTGGCTGCAGGAATTCCGGGATCTGACAAAAGCAGGAATGCCCACCCAAGGGTTCCAACAGAAGGTGTCCTCACCCTCCCCCTGAGTTCTTCACTGTAAGGTAATGGAGGAAGAAAGGGCCCTGACAGCAATAACCCGATTTTGCCCATCTCCAGGGCAAGGGACAGAGGCAGCCTCCTCTCCCAGGCCCAAACCTTGGAATGGGGCAAGAAGAGAAGGAAGGCAGGGCAGCTGCTTCTCTGCCAGCCTAGAAGCCTGAGGGAGAAGGCACGGGCCCAGGGCTGGAGCGCCTCCCCACTAAGGCCAAGGCTGAACTAGGGAAGGGCCTGTGGCGGCTGCATCCAATGTGGAGGACCCTTGTCTACACCACCTCCTATAGGCCCCGCCAGTGCTCACTGTCCCTTCAGCCAGCACCTTCCCATGTAGGAAAGGACGCCTGAAAAGCAGCTGTAAAATCCTCAGCAAGCTCTGCAGGCCTCCCAGGCTCACGCCCCTCGTCTGTGAAGGCATCTGGAGCAGGCAATCCTGCACCGCACACACCCCGCCCGCCACGCCGCAACCCCTGCCTGCCGCCAGGCCCTCCTACCTGCCAAAGCGCCCCATGCCATCCACCACGAGCCGCATCCTCCTCTTCTCCCGTGCCTCTGCCATGACATAGCGGGCTCCGAGGAGCAGGGGCGCCCCCACTACCGCGGTGGAGAGCACCTTCCTCCACAGGGGTGTGGGGCTGGAGAACCTGAGGAGAGACAATGCAGCCTGGAGGCGCCGCCCCCCACATTCAGCTGGGCTCTGATCTCTGCCCCCACCTCCCCCAGCACCACGTCTCACTCCTGTGTGCACAGCCATTCTGACGTGTGGTCAGCAGAGAACACCACCGCATCAGCGTCCCCTTCCCTGAGCCCCTGCACCAGATGCCCCTGCACCAAAGCCCGGCACCAGATGGCCATAAGGGGCAGGTCTCATTCAGGTCTGTCCAGAGACGCAGCCAATGGGCCATGGGACATGGAAATGGCTCCTCAGGTAAAGGAAGCAGCTCAATGGCAGGTCTGTGCTCCTCACGGACCGTGGTCTCCTACACTGTGGAGAATCACAACCACCGTCCACCTCGCAGGATTCAACTGGATGGTCATCAGCACAGCAGAGACAGAGAAGATGCTGCGGTCGGCACGTGCTGAGTCGCATGACAGTACAGAGCAAGAAACAGAGCTTGCCCCATATTGAATATAGTAGGATCACCATACACGCTGAATACAGCAGAAGCCCAATACTTGCTGAATACAGCAAGAGCCCAATACTTGCTGAATACAGCAGGAGCCCAATACTCCCTGAATACAGCAGGAGTCTAATACTCGCTGAATACAGCAGGAGTCCAATACTTGCCAAATACAGCAGGAGCCCAATACTCGCTGAATACAGCAGGAGCTCTACCTATGCTGAACACAGTAGCAGCTCCATATATGCTGAAACCAGCAGGAAACCCATAACGCTGAGTGCGGGAGGTGCCTGAGAACACATCTGTTTCTGCACCCGGCCCATAATCCTGAGTGCGGCAGGTGCCTGAGCACACATCTGTTTCTACACCCGGCCCATAATCCTTAGTGCAGCAGGTGCCTGAGCACACATCTGTTTCTACACCCGGCCCATAATCCTTAGTGCAGCAGGTGCCTGAGCACACATCTGTTTCTACACCCGGCCCATAATCCTTAGTGCAGCAGGTGCCTGAGCACACATCTGTTTCTACACCCGGCCCATAATCCTGAGTGCAGCAGGGGCCTGAGCACACATCTGTTTCTACACCCGGCCCATAATCCTGAGTGCAGCAGGGGCCTGAGCACACATCTGATTCTACACCCGGCCCATAATCCTGAGTGCGGCAGGTGCCTGAGCACACATCTGTTTCTACACCCGGCCCATAATCCTGAGTGCGGCAGGGGCCTGAGCACACATCTGTTTCTACACCCGGCCCATAATCCTGAGTGCAGCAGGGGCCTGAGCACACATCTGTTTCTACACCCGGCCCATAATCCTGAGTGCAGCAGGGGCCTGAGCACACATCTGTTTCTGCACCCGGCCCATAATCCTGAGTGCAGCAGGTGCCTGAGCACACATCTGTTTCTACACCCGGCCCATAATTCTGACTGCGGGAGGTGCCTGAGCACACATCTGTTTCTACACCCGGCCCATAATCCTGACTGCGGGAGGTGCCTGAGCACACATCTGTTTCTGCACCCGGCCCATAATCCTGAGTGCGGCAGGTGCCTGAGCACACATCTGTTTCTACACCTGGCCCATAATCCTGAGTGCAGCAGGGGCCTGAGCACACATCTGATTCTACACCCAGCCCATAATCCTGAGTGCGGCAGGTGCCTGAGCACACATCTGTTTCTACACCTGGCCCATAATCCTGAGTGCAGCAGGTGCCTGAGCACACATCTGTTTCTACACCCGGCCCATAATTCTGACTGCGGGAGGTGCCTGAGCACACATCTGTTTCTACACCCGGCCCATAATCCTGAGTGCAGCAGGGGCCTGAGCACACATCTGATTCTACACCCAGCCCATAATCCTGAGTGCGGCAGGTGCCTGAGCACACATCTGTTTCTACACCCGGCCCATAATCCTGAGTGCAGCAGGTGCCTGAGCACACATCTGTTTCTACACCCGGCCCATAATCCTTAGTGCAGCAGGTGCCTGAGCACACATCTGTTTCTACACCCGGCCCATAATCCTTAGTGCAGCAGGTGCCTGAGCACACATCTGTTTCTACACCCGGCACATAATCCTGACTGCGGGAGGTGCCTGAGCACACATCTGTTTCTACACCCAGCCCATAATCCTGAGTGGGGCAGGTGCCTGAGCACACATCTGCTTCTACACCCAGCCCATAATCCTGAGTGGGGCAGGTGCCTGAGCACACATCAGTTTCTACACCCAGCCCATAATCCTTAGTGCGGCAGGTGCCTGAGCACACATCTGTTTCTACACCCAGCCCATAATCCTGAGTGGGGCAGGTGCCTGAGCACACATCTGCTTCTACACCCAGCCCATAATCCTGAGTGGGGCAGGTGCCTGAGCACACATCTGTTTCTACACCCAGCCCATAATCCTTAGTGCGGCAGGTGCCTGAGCACACATCTGTTTCTACACCCAGCCCATAATCCTGAGTGCAGCAGGCGCCTGAGCACACATCTGTTTCTACACCCAGCCCATAATCCTGAGTGCAGCAGGCGCCTGAGCACACATCTGTTTCTACACCCAGCCCATAATCCTGAGTGCAGCAGGCGCCTGAGCACACATCTGTTTCTACACCCAGCCCATAATCCTGAGTGCAGCAGGTGCCTGAGCACACATCTGTTTCTACACCCAGCCCATAATCCTGAGTGCAGCAGGTGCCTGAGCACACATCTGTTTCTACACCCGGCCCATAATCCTGACTGCGGCAGGTGCCTGAGCACACATCTGTTTCTACACCTGGCCCATAATTCTGACTGCGGGAGGTGCCTGAGCACACATCTGTTTCTACACCCGGCCCATAATTCTGACTGCGGGAGGTGCCTGAGCACACATCTGTTTCTACACCCGGCCCATAATCCTTAGTGCAGCAGGTGCCTGAGCACACATCTGTTTCTACACCCGGCCCATAATCCTGAGTGCAGCAGGTGTCTGAGTGCACATCTGTTTCTGCACCCAGCCGCAGGCGCCTGAGCACCCATCTGTTTCTGTAGCTGGCCGCATCTGTCCCAGGGACACAGGTTGTCCTACTGCAGAGCTCTCGGGAGAAGGAGACCCCTGCCAGGTTCACTGAGCCAGTGGCGCTTGGACAGCTCACCCTGCCTGCCCTGCCTGGCCACATCTACCCTCCACGGCCTTCCTGCCTTGCCACCGTCCATCTGCGCACTGTGGTCCGGACTTGCTGGCCTCAGGACATTGTCTGGCCTTTCCTTCTGCTCAGACCCATCCCTCCACATCTCTTCTTGCTGCTCTTCCTCTTGTGTGACTCCCACCTATAGTCACCCCGCCCTCCTCCATGCTCTGAATGACCCGGTTTGCTCTTCAGAGCAGGCGCTCCATGTGCACCCTTCCCGATTTGCTAGCTGTCTGCTCTAAATGCTGTGATCAGGGTGTGCCCACCCCTGAGCACGGTCCCATGGGTCCCTGGGGGTCTTTGGTCCCAGTGCACCGCACTGAGGAGCAAACATATCCTGCCTTGGTTGTGGGTACAGGAGAAGGTCCAGCCTTGGGCCCTCGACTGCCACCTCTGCATGCACACAGACGCCATCCATGCCTGCCTGGGTGAGAGGCGCATGCCCGTGGAGGACTCGTTACCTTGGAGGAAGGCCCCTGACGTTTCTCCTGAAGAACACAGCAGGGGACGGCCAGGGCTTCTGCCTGCTGTGCAGCAGAGCAGAGTGGAAATGACAGAGCTGCACCTGCAAAGAGAGGAAATTGTGTGGGGTCGAACGAGGCCAGGACACGCCCCTGCCCTCAACCAGTACCAGCACTTACATGTGCTGGAGTCTGAGGCAGCCTAACTCTAAACCTAATGTGTGAGTCCATTCTCACACTGCTCTAAAGAACTACCCAGGCCGGGCACAGGGGCTCACACCTTTAATCCCAGAACTTTAGGAGGCCGAGGCGGGTGGATCATCTGAGGCCAGGAGTTTGAGACCAGCCTGATCAACATGGTGAAACCCCGTCTCTACTAAAAATACAAAATTAGTTGGGCATAGTGGTGCATGTACGTAATCCCAGCTACTCGGGAGGCTGAGGCAGGAGAATCGCTTGAACCCGGGAGGCAGAGGTTGCAGTGAGCTGAAATCGCGCCACTACACTCCAGCCTGGGCAACAGAGCGAAACTCCATCTCAAGAAAAAAAAAAAAAGAACTACCCAAGCAAGACTGGGTAATTTATGAAGAAAATAGGTTTGTTTGTTTTTCTGAGATGGAGTCTCACTCTGTCGCCCAGGCTGGAGTGCAATGGCACAATCTCGGCTCACTACAATCTCCGCCTCCCGAGTTCAAGTGATTCTCTTGCCCCAGCCCCCCGAGTAGCTGGGACTACAAGCATACGCCACCACATCCAGCTAATTTTTGTATTTTAGTAGAGACGGAGTTTCACCATGTTGGCCAGGCTGGTCTAGAACTCCTGACCTCAAGTGATCTGCCCTCCTCAGCCTCCCAAAGTGCTGGTATTACAGGTGTAAGCCACCGCACCTGGCCTGGGTTTAACTGACTCACAGTTCTGCAGGCTGTCCAGGAAGCACCACTGAGAGGCCTCAGGAAACTTACAGTCATGGCAGAAGGCAAATGGGAAGCAAGCACAGTATGGGTGAAGCAGTGGGGGGGGCGGAGAGAGAGAGAGAGCAAGCGAGAGGGCAAAGGGGAAAGTGCCACACACACTTTTAAACCATCAGATCTGAGAACTCACTCACTATCACCACAACAGCAAGGGGGAATCTGCCCCCATGACCAGATCACCTCCCACCAGGCCCCTCCTCCAACACTGGGAATCGCGACTCAGATGAGCTTTGGGTGGGGACACAAAGCCAAACCACATCACCAAGTCAGTCAGCAAAGACTGCCAGCACCGCTGGGATCATGCCAGGAAGCCAGGTTCCCATCTTTGATTCCGTAATGGAAACACTATCCTACCTCCTGGGAGCAAGGCTGAGTGTCAAAGTATCATAGGAGAGAAGGCTAAACGCAGCTTAACCAGGGCTGATGCCTCAGATGCTGACAGGGCATCAAACATACCCCGTCTCTGAATGTCCCCTCAGTCTCTGCAGGAAGAGATGGCATCACCATCTGGCTCATCTGGGATGGGACCCACCCCATCCCTGCCCCTGCACTCTCTTGGCAGCACCCTGACCTGTCATTTACTATTTTACTATTTCCTGCTGCTGAGACCACTGACCAGTGGCCAGAGGAAAGCAGTCCTCATCTCCGAAGGAAGTGGCAACAGTGCCCAGCCATGGAATCATACAGCAGACGCCAACCTTGAAGGTGGACGCCCGGATGGGAGGAGTGGCCTACGTAGGTCACTGTTCTGAAAGCAGATGAAGAAACTTACAACTTACTGAGACCCCACAGACAGGGACCCTGTACATCTTTTACTTGGAGGAGAAGAGGACATGCTGCAGCTAGCAGGACACACGTAAAGAAGTCCCAAGGGTCAGGCGCGGTGGCTCACGCCCGTAATCCCAGCACTTTTGGAGGCCAAAGCGGGTGGATCATGAGGTCAGGAGATTAAGACCATCCTGGCCAACATGGCGAAACCCTGTCTCTACTAGAAATACAAAAAAAGTAGCCAGGTGTGATGGCGCATACCTGTAATCCCAGGTAGTTGGGAGGCTGAGACAGGAGAATCGCTTGATCTTGGTAGGCGGAGATTGCAGTGAGCCAAGATTGAGACACTGCACTCCAGCCTGGGCAACAGAATGGGACTCCATTTAGAAAAATAAATACATAAATAAAGAAGCCCCACCATGAGACTCTTGACACATGGCCCTGCTTTATTTTTGTGACTATGAAAACACCACATAGAACTTACAGTATTATTAAAAAAAAGAAAGAAAACACCACAGCTCTCACTGGAAACCTTGGTCTCCCAATCACACTTGACCTAGGATGAGGTCTCACAACTCCCCAAATTCCCCAACTGAGAGCTCTTCACACAAGTCACGGTTTGGGTGGAAAGGACTGTGCATAGCCAGTCATGCCCCGTGGCACAGACGCTAACATGGTCCTCAACACTGGACCTAGTAAGGAACTGACTTGCCAGCTGGTTTTTGGCCAGAGCTCAGAGCCCTGGAGAAAATTTTGAGGACTCCAAACAACATGAAAGCCAAAGGGAAAAGTCCATGACCTCTTATCCCTAGAGGGCGGGTTGACAGAAACCCCTGCTTGGCGAGGTCACATGCAGCAAGTGCTGATTCACAAGGAAAACCCAAGGCAGCCGGGCAGCGACTCGTAGGCGGGCCATCCACCTGCTGCCTACCCAGCCTGCACCTCCTGACCCTAGCCACCTCTGGTGCCAGTGCATGCATGGCTAGAGGCCCCGAGATCAGGCAGTCGTGCCCACGGACTGTGGAGAGACTCTGAACAGCAGCTCGTAAGTGGCTGCAAGGGAGCTACCTCCAGGTGGCTATCCCAGCCACTGCCCACCTCATCCATGACCAGCAACGCAAGCTGTTTCCACAGGCTCCACCAAACAGGTGAGGCCAGGAAAGTCATGGCTGGCTGACTGCTGTCTCCAACAACAGTTTTCTGCTCTTTCCTCAGGAACCAGCATTGCAGAAGGGGCTCCAGCTGCGTCTCTCACTCCCATTCTTATCCAGGACAGAGATCCCTCCAGTAGACCCCGGGCCACCATCACCCTACCCTGGTCCACCAGCAGCCTTGCTCATGCTCACGTCCCGCTCCACCTTGTTCACCGTGGTCCTATCCTGCCACTGTCCTCATCACACACCAGCGTGACTGTCAACTTACGGAATCTGTCCTCCCACTAGACTGTGAGCAGGGCCACCTCTCAACCATCTCTGAACAAGCAGGCACTCAATGAATGCCTGCCGAATGAGACCAACAGCTGTGAAGCACAGGACTCAATTGAACCCCACATGGCCCTGCCAAGCAACAGGCACTGATAACCCACAGTGCCTGCCAGGGCCCATGAGGCTGAGCAAGAGCCTGTCTCCTCCAAATGTGGAGCGCCCAGCACACCCAGACTATCCTCTCTGAAATTCCCATCACACAGGAGAGGTCCCCAAGGCCCAGAGAGGTTATGGGTTGGGGGGCGAGCCTGCAGCTGCATCTCCCAGAAGGACTTCCCAGAGCCCAATCCAGGGCAATTCTCACGTGACACACAGCCCCAACCGCACCCAGAACACGACCTCTAAACTGCCAGAAGATAAGCCGTCTTTTAGACGGTGGGTCCCCAGGGCCTTCCCCCAACACACCTGAGACGGCCCTGGTGACACTTATCCCTGCAGCTCCCCTGACTTCCAAAGCCTTCCAGTTTGGACAAGATGAAACGGGTGCCCCCTGTCAGAACCTCTCATGCTTTCTTATGGTGAGTGTGTGCAGTCTGTCTGCACAAACGGAAACACCTCCCGTTCCAGAGTGACTCTAGACCACAGCTGACTACCTTGAAAGCGGCAAGTATTCTGAGTGGTAACACTCACACAGGTATCATGAAGTTCACAACCAAAGGGCGTGCTTTGGCCGCAGAACCACATGCATGTCCGATCGTGTCTGGTTTTCCAGCGCCTGCAGATGAGGAGGATGCAGCTCCCACAGACAGGCCCGGCCGCAGCAGTGAGAAGCAACTGCCGAGTCTCAGAATGATGCCAGAAACTAAAAACCATGAACGGATGACCAGAGCCTGGGGAACCCAACAGCACTGTGCACCTCAACATGAGGGGAAACTGAGGCACATAATTGTCCCCAAAGTTAGGAAGAGACAGATTGGGAGTCTGGGCAGGGTAAGTGGGTCTGGCGACCACAGACACTGTCCTTCTCCCAGGGTGTGTGACCCTGTCAGCCCCAGCCAGTCCTCAAACGCCGCCTGGACCCAGCCCTGCTCACTGGCCATGAGCAGCTCCTAACCAGAGGCTAAACCGACCTGTCCACTCGCTGGGGCTGGGGAGGGACTGAGTGGCCTGCACGTGGGAAGACTTTGTCACCTGGAAGGAGCTGCACTGAAGGCCACCTCCCCGGCCCATGAAGCACCCTGGGGTCACACAGCTGGGCTGGGGCACGAGTGGGCCGTCCATCTGTGCTATTTATAGCCAGACGGGCAAGGCTAGCTTATCGCCAAACACAAGCTCTGCTGACATTCCAAGAAAAAAAGGAACGGCGCTGGGAGCCCCTTCATCTCTTCTGGAAGGGGGTGGGTAAGATGCGTGTCAAGGCCTCTGCCCCGCCCCCCCGCAGTCCTAACCGCAGGGACAGAGCAACGGGACCCGGCGGCGACGTGGGAGCGGGGAGACGCCGAGAGCCTGAGAGAGGGGGCCTCGGAGCCATGGGGGGCGCGCCCCTGAGACGACGCAGGGGCGCTCAGAGCAGAGCCCGGCCTGCAGCCCCCGCCCGCCCGCCGCCTCAGGGCAGGGCAGGCCCGGCGGGGAGGCGAGCGAAGGAGGTCCGGGGCAGCAGGCTGGGCAGGGAGGCGTCCGTGATTCCGGGAGGCCGCCTCGCGAGGGGAACGGCGCCTGAGGCTTCCCCGCGGGGCCCCTGCCCTCTGGAGATCGCGCTCTCCGGGGCGCCGGGCACCCGCCTCCGGGCTGGGCGGAGGGGCCCCTGCGGCTCCCGGTGCAGGCGGCGTCAGGGCTGCGGGCGCGGCTCCCGCCTGAAATCCCAGCTCTCGGGGAGGCTGAGGCGGGCGGATCGCTAGAGCCCAGGAATTCGAGACCAGCCTGAGCAACACGGCGAGACCCCGACTCTGCTAAACAGAGTCGGCCGGGAGCGGTCACGCCTGCGGTGTCAGCTACTTGCGGGGCCGAGGCGGGAGGATCGCCTGAGTCCGGGAGGCGGAAGCTGCGGTGAGCGGAGATCGCACCACTGCGCTCCAGGGCGACAGAGCGAGACCCTGCCTCAAAAAAAAAGAGGGAAAAAGCCCCGAGGGTCTCTAGGGCGGGGTCTGGGGACTTGCGGGTCTCGGGTCTCTGGGGCTGGTGTGCAGGATCTCGGGCGCCCCGGGCCGGGAGAGTCCTCACCGGTCGCCACATCTCCGACCACTGCTCCGCTCTTCTCCCGCCCGGCGCCGCTTAGCGTCTCGCAGCCCAGCAGGCCCTGCGGGAGGGCGCGTAGTGCGCACGCGCCGGAGCCAGAGCCCCGCCCCGTGGGCGGTGGGCGAGGCTGGAGGCCACGCCCCGAGTCGTGCCGGCCTCCGCGGCGGGGCAGCGTCCCCTGGCGGCCCCCAGAGGCTTACCTTTTGGCGCCCGGACCGCGCCTCCTGAGAGCGGAGGGTTCCAGTCCCGCCCTCGGCGCACTGCGCATTCCCCGGGCAGGCACCTGCCGGAAGGACCGCTGTGAGAAGCACGTGGATAATCCGGGGAGGGCTGAGGGCTTCCTGAGGTCCTCACGGCCCGGTATCCGCCTCTCTTTAACACTCCGTGCTATAGTGTGATTAGCGTGAATCTCTTTAACCTCAGGACTCCAACTCACCACCTGCCTGTGTGAGGGCCAAGATGACGCCCCTGACTGGGAACTGGAAGACAACCAGGAGAGTGGCCAAAGGGGTCCTGGAGCAGCTCCCGTGCCCATGGGGAGACCTTCCCAGGGCCAGGGCTTCAGATTCTGGGGTTCACTTTGCAGCCACCCTTGGTCCCTGTCACTTAGCTTCTTATGGGAACGTCAGTGACGTCACAGCCTCCTGCAGTGCCCTAGGCTGCTGCTACTCACTCTGTGACAGCCCTGGCTGGGTAGGGGCCCAGGCCCGGGCATGCCATGCAGCCAGCAAGGCTACTGCTGGACTGACGACCTCACCGCTACTAGACTGACCTCACCGCTACTAGACTGACCTCACTGCTACTAGACTGACCTCACCGCTGCTGGACTGACCTCACCGTCCCCGAACATGCCAGGGATCCTCGGGCGCCAACACGGGTCCTGGCACTTACTGCCTGCAAGCCCTCCTAGACCCCACTGTGAGCATGAAACAAAACACCATCCTTGTGGAATCCACGAGGGCTCCTGAGTCAGCTTGGCCTAAGGGTGCCACAGTAGCTGAAAGTGGGAGGTTTTCAGGCCTCAAGGCCTTTTCACAACTCTCAGAAGTGGCCCCTCCTCCTCCCACCAATGGCCCCTCCTCCTCCCACCAGTGGCCCCTCCTCCTCCCACCAGTGGCCCCTCCTCCGCCCACAAGTGGCCCCTCCTCCTCCCACCAGTGGCCCCTCCTCCTCCCACCAGTGGCCCCTCCTCCTCCCACCAGTGACCCCTCCTCCGCCCACAAGTGGCCCCTCCTCCTCCCACAAGTGGCCCCTCCTCCTCCCACATGGCTCCTCGTCCTCATCTTCTTACAGTCCTCTTGCTCCTCCCACTGGGACTGAACCCAAAGGCATCTCTTCAATGGGGTGGTCCCTGCCTAGGGAAAGCCGGTGCCTCCAGCCCTTTAGTGCCCCTTCTGTTATGGCGTGTCTCCTGTGAAGTCTCTGTCATCCCCAAGGTCAAGTTTGCTGGGCTCAATGATTCTGTGTGCCCTGCATCACTTTGCTAGCAGGACAGGGATTGGCCTCCAGTCTTCAGTCCCTCATCCCCAAAGCCCAGACTAGAACTTCACAGATGGACCTGGGGCCCCTCCCGGAGCCGGGCTTTCTGGAGTGTTCTCATTTGCTAACATCTGCCTCCCTCGGCAACCTTTCCTCTGTAATGGAACAGGTCCAGAAGAGCCATGTGGGCTGACACAGTAAGGCCTCCAGGCATCTGTGCCGTGACGTGAGCAAAGTGTGAGCTGCATGGTGGGATATGCCATGCCTTGCCTAGGGGCCCGGGCACTGCCATCACAGGGAGGCTTGGCCACCAACCGACATGGCTGCCCCAGGTGGGAAGGGTCGGATGGAGGACTCTGCCACCCACTCTTGGGAAACACCCCCAAAATGAACGAAGGAATGACCTCTGTCCTGTTTTAGCATCCCGGGAGACACACTGTGGCCTAGGATCCTGCCCGGCTGCAGGGCTCTGGATGGGGCGTGACATCCTGCCCCCGAGGGTGTGGCGGGGAGTCGATGTCACACAGCTGAGCCACAGGGCCCAGGGATGTGGTGAAAGCTTTCCCCAGGTCCCAAGTGCCCACAGCCCCTGCCCCATCCAAGACCCAGAAATGCAGCTCACTCTAGCCCTTCAGTGCGGGCCCGCTCTCAAGCCTGTCCGTCACCTCCCAGAACTCCCACGTTCCCAAAACCCTGTGTTCCCAGTCTCTTTGGTCTCCAGAACTGTCATTAAAGAAAGAAGGGGCTAGGCACAGTGGCTCGTGCCTGTCATCCCAGCACTTTGGGAGGCCGAGGTGGGCGGATCACCTGAGGTCAGTTTGAGACCAGCCTGGGCAACATGGTGAAACCCCATCTCTACTAAAAATACAAAAATTAGCTGGGTGTGGTGGCGGGTGCCTGTAATCCCAGCTACTCAGGAGGCTGAGGCAGGAGAATTGCTTGAACCCGGGAGGCAGAGGTTGCAGTGAGCCAAGATCAAGCCATTGCACTCTAGCCCGGACGACAGAGCGAGACTGTCTCAAAAAAAAAAAAAAAAAAAAAAAAGAAAGAAAGAAAAAGAAAAAAGAGAAGGTTAAATAGGTGTTAAGAAGCGTGGCTCTCACATAGCTATAAAATGAGCACGTGTTCATTTCATGTCTCCTGGGCTGAGCACTGTCCCCCAAAAGAACACTGTCCAGGCCAGGCACGGTGGCTCACGTCTGTAATCCCAGCACTTTGGGAGGCCAAAGCGGGTGGATCAGGAGGTCGGGAGATCAAGACTGTCCTGCCCAACATGGAGAAACTCTGTCTCTACTAAAATACAAAAAATTAGCTGGGTGTGGTGGCGGGCGCCTGTAGTCCCAGCTACTTGGGAGGCTGAGGCAGGAGAATCCAGGAGAATTACTTGAACCCGGGAGGCAGAGGTTGCAGTGAGCCAAGATCACGCCATTGCACTCCAGCCTGGTGACACAGCAAGACACTGTCTCAAAAAAAAAAAAAAAAAAAAAGACACTGTCCTAACCCCTAGAGCCTGGGAATGCAAATTTATTTGGAAATGGGATCATTACAGATGAAATTAAGCCAAGGGTCTTTAGACAAAGTCACTGTGGGTAAGGGCAGGCCCTGAATCCAGTGACCAGTGTCCTTACAGGAGAAGAGAGAGGGAGATTTGGGACACAGAGGGAAAGGCCACATGAAGGTGGAGGTAGAAACGGGAGAGGATCACGGCCGAGGCGCCCGGAGCCAGCAGCTCCACAGCAGGAAAGAGAACTGGCAGGTTCTTCCTCAGAGCCTCAGAGAGAACCAACCCTGTTGACACCTTGATTTCAGACCAGTGTTTTTGTTTGTCTGTTTTGTTTACACATACACAGCACTGCAATTTCAGACTTCCGGTTTCTAAAACTGTGAGAGAATAAATTTCTGGCTGTTATTTTTTTATTTTTTATTATTTTATTTTTTTTGAGACCGAGTGTCACTCTGTTGCCCAGGCTGGAGTGCAATGGCGCAATCTTGGCTCACTGCAACCTTCTCCTCCCGAGTTCAAGCGATTCTCCTGCCTCAGTCTCCTGAGTACCTGGCACGATCTCAGCTCACTGCAGGCTCCGCCTCCTGGGTTCACGCCATTTTCCTGCCTCAGCCTCCCGTGTAGCTGGGACTACAGGCGCCCGCCAGCACATCCGGCTAATTTTTTTTTGTATTTTTAATACAGAGTTTCACCGTGTTAGCCAGGATGGTCTCGATCTCCTGACCTCGTGATCCGCCCGCTCGGCCTCCCAAAGTGCTGGGATTACAGGCGTGAGCCACCGTGCCCAGCCCCTGGCACTATTATTTTTATTTTTTTAAGAGACAGGGTCTCACTCTGTGGCCCAGACTGGGGTGCAGTGAGGCGATCATGGCTTGCAGCAGCCTCGACATCCTGGGATCAAGGGATCCTCCCTTCTCAGCTTCCCAAGTAGCTGGGACTATAGGCATGCACCACCACACCTAGCTAATTTTTAAATTTTTCTGTAGAGACAGTGTTTTTTTTTTTTTTTTTTTTTTTTTTTTGAGACAGAGTTTCACTGTTGTTGCCCAGGCTGGACTGCAATGGCACGATCTCTGCTCACCGCAACCTCCGCCTCCCGGGTTCAAGTGATTCTCGTGCCTCAGTCTCTCAAGTAGCTGAGATTACAGGCATGCACCACCACACCCGGCTAATTTTGTATTTTTAGTAGAGACAGGGTTTCTCCATGTTGGTCAGGCTGGTCTCAAACTCCCGACCTCAGGTGATCCGCCCGCCTCGGCCTCCCAAAGGGCTGGGATGACAGGCGTGAGCCACCGCGCCCAGCCCGAGACAGTGTTGATTGCTTGAGTCCTAGTCTCAAGCAGTCCTCCCCACCTCCGCCTCCCAAAGCGCTGGGATTATAGGCAAGAGCCACTTAACTCAGCCCTGACGTGTTGATAGCGACAGGAGGCAGCCAAATGCATAGGCAGATAGGGCGGGTCCCCGGTGAAACCACACCTCCAAGCCAAAAAGCCTGAAGCCTGAAAGACAGAACTGCTGGTCTGGGATGAAACTCGAGACCCAGAGCGAGAACTTCTGTTCCTGTTTGCCTGCCCTTTCCTGATGGGTTCTTTCCGAATAATGCTTTTAGTTTATATTATTATTATTATTATTATTATTATTATTATTATTATTATTTTGAGAGAGAGAGCCTCACTCTGTCACCCAGGCTGGAGTGCAGTAGCACGATCCTGGCTGACTGCAACCTCTACCTCCTGGTGCAAGCAATTCTCATGCCTCAGCCTCCCCAGTAGCTGGGATTACAGGCGAACGTGAATGCTACCACACCCAGCTATTTTTTGTATTTTAGTAGAGATAAGGTTTCACCATGTTGCCCAGGCTGGTCCCAAACTCCTGATCTCAGATGATGATCTGCCTGCCTCAGCCTCCCAAAGTGTTGGGATTACAGGCATGAGCCACAACACCCAGCCTGAATAATGCTTTTAACCAGTTGAATGTTGCCTTCTCTAATACTACCTATGACCTGCCCCTCCCCAATACTGAGCCCATAAAAGCCCTGGACTCAGCCACATTGAGGGGACTTTCCTGCCTTTAAGTAGGGGGACCACCCCCAAATCGCCTCTCTGTTGAAAACTGTTTTATCACTCAATAAACCCCCCACCTATTGTATCACTCAATAAAATCTCCACCCTCACTCTTCGATTGCCAGTGTATCCCCATTCTTTGTGGGTGCAGGACAAGAACTTGGGAACCAGTGCACAAGCCAGACTCGGCCCAGGTGGGGTGAGTGGGCGAGCTGTCTCTGCAGCAGGTATTGTGGCCCAGCGAGGCCCAGGTGGGGCATCGTCGGCTGGAGGTCCCTGGCTTGCAAAGTGACTGAGAATAAAATTGTTCATCAATTTTAAGTCACTAACTTTGTGGTAATTTGTTCTGGCAGCCCTAGGAAATGAGGACAGTGTGTCAAAGGTTCATTTAACTAATTAATTTAGCTGGGTGTGGTGGCTCAGGCCTGTAATGCCAACACTTTGGGAGGCCCAGGCAGGTCCTGAGGTCAGGAGTTCAAGACCAGCCTGGCCAACATGGCGAAACCCCGTCTCTACTAAAATTACAAAATTAACTGGGCATGGTGGCGCATGCTTGTAGTTCCAGCTACTTGGGAGGCTGAGGCAAGAGAATCACTTGAACCCGGGAGGCAGAGGTTGCAGAGAACCGAGATCTCGCCACTGCACTCCAGCCTGGGCGACAGAGCAAAACTCTATCTCAAAAAAAACAAAACAAAACAAAAAAAACTGACCACAGTGGCTCATGCCTGTAATTCCAGCACTTTGGGAGGCTGAGGCAGGCAGATCACCTGAAGTTGGGAGTTCCAGACCAGCCTAACCAACATGGAAAAACCCTGTCTCTACTAAAAATACAAAATTAGCCAGGCGTGGTGGCCCATGCCTGTAATCCCAGCTACTCGGGAGGCTGAGGCAGGAGAATTGCTTGAGCTCAGGAGGTGGAGGTTGCAGTGAGCCGAGATTGAGCCATTGCACTCCAGCCTGGGCAAAAAAGTGAGACCTTGTCTCAAAATAAAATAAAATTAAATTAAATAAAAAATAAATCACACTGGGCCATAAAATGAAGCTGGTGTCAGCAAGTGTGGTCCAATTATTTACATAGGTGCAGAAACAGTGCAAATATCCCATATAGGCCACCTTACGTTTGCTTTGCTGGAAGTTTTCATAAGAAATATCAGATTGGGGCTGGGTGCCGTGGCTCACACCTGTAATCCCAGCACTTTGGGAGGCTGAGGCAGGTGGATCACTTGAGGTCGGGAATTCGCAACCAGCCTGATCAACATGGTGAAACTCTGTCTCTACTAAAAATACAAAAATTGCCGGGCGTGGTGGCTCACGCCTGTAATCCCAGCACTTTGGGAGGCTGAGGCGGGCGGATCACGAGGTCCAGAGATCGAGACCATCTTGGCTAACACGGTGAAACCCCGTCTCTACTAAAAATACAAAAAAAAAAAAAAAAAAAAATTAGGTGGGCATGGTAGCACGTGCCTGTAGTCCCAGCTACTCATGGCTGAGGCAGGAGAATCACTTGAACCCGGAAGGTGGAGGTTGCAGTGAGCCAAGATTGCACCACTGTGCCAGCCTGAGTGACAGAGTGAGACTCGGTCTCGAAAAAACAAAACAAAACAAAAATTAGCTGGGGGTGGTGGCAGACGCCTGTAATTTCAGCTACTCGGGAGGCTGAGGCAGAAGAATCGCTTGAACCCAGGAGGCGGAGGTTGCAGTGATCTGAGATCACACCATTGGACTCCAGCCTGGGTGACAAAAGTGAAACAGTCTCAAAGAAAAGAAAGAAATATCAGAGTGGACCTGTATTGTTTGCTTCTTTGCAGAGGCAAGAAACGCAATACCTATAATTTGGGTCAATTTCTATGTTCCTGGGCCTGCCAGGAAATCACCTTCCTGGTCACCTGCAAGGCCTGGGGTCTGCACCCTCAGGAGGATTTGCAGGCACTCCTTCATAACAGCAACCCAAGGTCCGCAGCAGCGGCTGGTCATCCCCAGTGAAAGAGCAGAACTCTCCATATGACAACCTGGACAAGGCCTTGGTGACCTAACCAATTCATCCAATTGTCTTCTGTAAAAGGAGAAGAGTCTCTTAACTGAATCTATGTGCTGTGGTTTGAAAGTGTCCCCCAGAGTTCATGGATTGCAAACCTGATCCCCAGTGTGGCAGTATTGGAGGTGGGACCTTTTTATTTTTTTCTGAGATGGAATCTCGCTCTGTCATCCCAGGCTGGAGTGCAATGGTGCGATCTTGGCTTGTCGCAACCTCTGCCTCCCAGGTTCAAACAATTCTCCCGCCTCAGCCTCCCGAATAGCTGGGATTACAGGCATGTGCCACCACGCCTGGCAAATTTTGTATATTTAGAGAGACGGGGTTTCTCCATGTTGGTCAGGCTGGTCTTGAACTCCTGACCTAGTGATCCGCCCGCCTCCACCTCCCAAAGTGCTGGGATTACAGTCGTGAACCACCACACCCCGCCAGAGGTGGGACCTTTAAGAGGTGATTAGGTCTTGAGGGCTTCACCCTCATGAAGGGATTAATGCCATTATTTCGGGAATTGATTCCTTATAAAAGGATGAGTTTGGCCCCTTTCCGTCCAGCCACATAATGCCTGCTGGCATGTTATGTGGCAGCAGGAAGGTCCTCATGAGATGTGGCCCCTCCCTCTTGGACCTCCAAATCTCCAGAACCAATAAATCCCAGTTTATTATCAATTACCCAGTCTGTGGCATTATAGCAGCACAAAACGAACTAAGACACTGTAGGGTCCAGCCCTATGGGGCTAAGCGGGTGTTGTCCCCATGTGCAGAGACGAGAGATTGTAGTAAATAAAGACACAAGACAAAGAGATAAAGAGAAAACAGCTGGGCCCGGGGGACCACTACCATCAAGACGCAGAGACCGGTAGTGGCCCCGAATGGCTGGGCGCGCTGATATTTATTGCATACAAGACAAGGGGGGCAGGGTAAGGAGGGTGAATCTTCTAAGTGATTGACAAGGTGAAGCAAGTCACATGATCATAGGACAGGGGGCCCTTCCCTCTTAGGTAGCCGAAGCAGAGAGAGAAGGCAGCAAACGTCAGCGTTTTCTTGTATGCACTTACAAGAAAGATCAAAGACTTTAAGACTTTCACTATTTCTTCTACTGCTATCTACTACAAACTTCAAAGAGGAACTAGGAGTACAGGAGGAGCATGAAAGTGGACAAGGAGCGTGAACATTGAAGCACCACAGGGAGGGGTTTAGGCCTCCGGATGATTGCGGCCAGGCCTGGATAATATCCAGCCTTCCACAAGAAGCTGGTGGAGCAGAGTGTTCCCTGACTCCTCCAAGGAAAGGAGACTCCCTTTCGCAGTCTACTAAGCAACGGGTGACTTCCCAGACACTGGCGTTAGGGCTTGACCAAGGAGCCCTCAAGCAGCCCTTATGCGGGCGTGACAGAGGGCTCACCTCTTGCCTTCTAGGTCACTTCTCACCATGTCCGTTCAGCACCCGACCCTATATCCGCCGGTTATTCCTACGTTTTGTTAGTAATGCAACAAAGAGTAATGGTAAAAGCTAATGATTAATAATGCTTATAATAATGATTGATAATTGTCCATGGTCATCCCTATATCTAATTTGTATTATGACTATTCTTATTCTAAATATTTTCTTTATTATACTGAAACAGTTTCTGCCTTCAGTCTCTTGCCTCGGCACCTAGGTAATCCTCCGCCCACAAGACACCATGCAAATACCTACGTTGCCATGAAAACTGAGGAGGCTCAGTAAGAGCCTCTGAGAATCAAGGGCAGGAGGTGAAAGGACAAATCTCTGGGGAATCTCCAAAATCATGTATTTATTTTATTTAGAGACAGAGTCTCGCTCTGTTACCCAGGCTGAAGTCCGGTGGTACAATCAAGGCTCACTGCAGCCTAGACCTCTTGGGCTCAAGTGATCCTCCTGCCTCAGCCTCCCGAGTAAGTGGGACTGTAGGCTCTCACCACCATGCCCAGCCAATTTTTAATTTTTTGGTAGATATGGGATGTCACTATGTTGCCCAGGCTCAAGTTTTTTTTTTTTGAGACAGAGTCTTGCTCTGTCATAGCCTAGGCTGGAGTGCAGTGGTGCAATCTCAGCTCACTACAACCTCCACCTCCCGGGTTCAAGCGATTCTTCTGCCTCAGCCTCCCGAGTAGCTGGGATTACAGGCGTGCGCCACCACGCCCGGCTAATTTTTGTATTTTTAGTAGAGACGGGGTTTCACCATGTTGGCCAAGCTGGTCTCGAACTCCTTAACTCAGGTGATCCGCCCACCTCAGCCTCCCACAGTGCTGAGATGACAGGTGTGAGCCACCGCACCCGGCTAAGGGTTTCAGTTTCTATCAAGATGTTTTGTCATATCTAAAACCATCTTGGGCCGGGCGCCATGGCTCACACCTGTCATCTCAGCACTGTGGGAGGCCGAGGTGGGCGGATCACCTGAGGTCAGGAGTTCGAGACCAGCCTGGCCAACATGGTGAAATCCCGTCTCTACTAAAAATACAAAAATTAGCTGGGTGTGGTGGTGGGCACCTGTAATCCCGGCTACTCGGGAGGCTGAGGCAGGAGAATCGCTTGAACCCGGGAGGCGGAGGTTGCAGTGAGCTGAGATCGTGCCATTGCACTCCAGCCTGGTGACAGAGCGAGACTCAGTCTCCAAAAATAAAAAAAGATCATTTGAGTCCTCGACCTCACTTGAGCCTCAGGCCTGGGCAAAAGAACGAGACTCTACCTCTAAAAGACAAACAAGACCGGGCGCAGTGTCTCACGCCTGTAATCCCAGAACTTTGGGAGGCCGAGGCGGGCGGATCACAAGGTCAGGAGATCGAGACCATCCTGGCTAACACAGTTAAACCCCATCTCTACTAAAAATACAAAAAAATAGCCGGGCGTGGTGGCGGGCGCCTGTAGTCCCAGCTACTCGGGAGGCTGATGCAGGAGAATGGCGTGAACCCAGGAGGCAGAGCTTGCAGTGAGCCAAGATAGCGCCACTGCACTCCGGCCTGGGCGAAAGAGCGAGACTCCTTCCCAAAAAAAAAAAATCAAGGGGTGCAACTGTTCCTTAACCCCGTAGTCACCTGCACCCATCTAGGGACTAAGCTGGGCGGAGAACTACAGAACTGAAGGATGGGAAGGCTCTTAGGTCAGCTGCTCAATCACAGCCAGCGAGGCTTGTCCCCACACACAGAGGATCAGCATCACATGGGATGACCACATACCTGGGACAGGCGGCTGCACGTGGTGGCCACGGCCTGGCTGGCCCTTCACTGCTGGTTTTTTTCTTTTTTTGAGATGCAGTTTCGCTCTTGTTGCCCAGGCTGGAGTGCAATGGCGCGATCTCGGCTCACTGCAACCTCTGCCTCCCAGGTTCAAGCAATTCTGCCTCAGCCTCCCGAGTAGCTGGGATTACAGACACCTGCTACCACGCCTGGCATATTTTTGTATTTTTAGTAGAGACGGGGTTTTGCCATGTTTGCCAGGCTGGTCTCGAACTCCTGACCTCAGGTGGTCCACCCGCCTCGGCCTCCCAAAGTGCTGGGATTACATGCATGAGCTACTGCACTTGGCCCCTTCTCTGCTGGTGAGGAGCCCAGGAAACCTTTCCTTGTGGAGGGACAAGGAACAGTGAGTTGCAGGCTTTGCTCCTACTCAGGGGACCACCCTCTGGGGACAGTGGGGGACGTCAGGTCCGGCTCCATTCCTGCCTTCCGGTGGAGGGTGGAGTCTCCTCCAAATTCCTCTTGGGCAGGGTTTCGCGCTTCAGAGCCTCTGGCCACTTGCTGTGCAGCTGGTGGTGGTGGGCATCCTCGCCCCAGCAGGCCCTGCGTGGTGGGCTATCCTGCCTCCCAGGGGCCCAGCTTTGGCCCTGGACTCAGCCCCGGGAAACTGTAAGTGAGCAGTGCTCAAGGCCTCGGCCCTGAGGCACCTTTCTGCCATTATGATTCTGACCCCTGCCCCAGTTCCTACTGGGATGGGCAGGAAGCTCACAGAGACTTCAAAAGGCAGCGGATTCCTCACTCAGGCTTGTGCACCTTGCTCCTCTGCGGCCTGGGGGAGTGTGGCTCATGTGTGGCACAGAGCAGAGCCTCCATGGATGCCTTTGATCGCTGGCCTATGGGAGGGAAGATAGAAGAAGCTGGGAGGTGGCTCCACCAAGCCTGCAGCCCAGGGTGGACAGGAGAGGGCAGGCCCCAAGCACCGGTGCTGATGGGGGTGGTGGCAAAGCGATGAGGGGAAGGGGGCAAGCATGAGACCAGGAGCCCTGTTGCCCACAGCCATGCCACCAAACCACCCACCTTGTCCCATCCTTGTCCTCATCCTCCCTCAGAAGCTTTCTTCTTTTACCAGGCGACTTCTGAAGCTCACACTCAACCTTCAGCCCCCACCCCCTAGAACCCTCAGTACCTGCAACCCCCAAAGGGAAGCAGCCGGGTCAGCTGGGCAGGGGCCCAGCCTCAGGCGGCAGCATCCTGGAAGGCTGGAGCTGGCAGTGGCCTCTGCCCTCAGAGTTGGGTGGTCCTGAGCCCCCCTGGGAGCTGGCCTGCCCCCTGATGTTTGATGGGGCCCAGACTAGAGGCTTTCCGGGTCACAGGGGCTCCTTCCTCCTCTGATGGTCCTGCCAAGACAGGAGGGAGCAGAAGTGGGGAGGAAGACCAGGCCTTCAAAGGCCCGTGTGCAGGCCAACTCAAGGACAATGAGAAAGGGCCTCCGCAGAGCGGAACCGTCGCAGACAGAGCTTGGGCAGCAGGAACAGACCCACCATCCCCAGTGCCTGCACGCTCCCTGTAGCTGCAGGGGCCCTTCTGCAGAAGTGGGGCCTCTTGCCTGGGAGAATGGGCCTTGCTGCCAGGCCCGTCATACTGATCACAGTTCGGTGTCCTGCCTCCCTGGGGTGGCGGCCCACGAGGTGAAGAAAGCCAGGCTCCTACCTTGGCGTGGTCTCTCCCAGCACTTTCTTCCAGATCCTTGCTCCCAGGCTCAGGGGCTCCTCTCAGTTAGTTCCTTTGCAGCTCCAGCTCTTTTTGTGGGAGCCCAAGAACCACCCAGCCCAGGATAGACCATGGTCAGTGCTGAGGTCCTGCTCCCTGCAGATGCCAACACATACAGGCCCAGGCTGCTCAGGGCTAGGGGCAGTGTGCCAGCAGCCCAGGGAGAAGACAGCTGTAGCCAAGTCTGCCTGAAGAAACAGTTTGGGGCCTTTGGGGGTCTGATTGCAGGAGGAGCTGTCACTGAGAGGGTGGAGGCTCAGGGGAGTGGGGTAATGCTCAGGCCAAACGGTCCCGATGGGCTAAAACCTTAAACTCTGTCTCTTCTGAGTCCCCCTCACTGAGTACCCCGGTGCCTGCACACCAACCCCCTGGTGTAAATCCCTAGCAGGATACTCCTGGGAAGCTAGCAGGCAAACAGTCACTCCAGGGCTAAGGGTGGACAGGGGGCTCGGCACATCGCAGCCCCATCCGACTAACCCTCAGCCCTTGAGAGGTGCTCGTGGAGCAGTGGCCTTGCCGGGAAGAGGCTCCTCTACTCCTCTGACCACCGAAGCTGGTAGCTCGTGTGGGCCCAGAGAGCCCAGGGCAGTTCCAAGAAGCAATGTGGGGTAGTCTGGGCTCAGAGGGCATGACTGTACAATCCGTGAGACCAGCCTGTGGTGGGTAAGGACCTGCCCAGGGCCTGGGGAGAGGCAGCCTGTTAAACAGGCCAGGCCATGGCTCTAGTTCAGGGAAGCATCCACACAGAGAGATGTGCTCAAAGAATTAATGCCAACTCATTAAATACAAATGTTTTATTACGCAAACCACATGTAGGTCCCAGGCTCAGGGGCTTACCCTACAGCCCCCACTGGTCCCTGGCTCCAAGCCTGCTCCTTGCCCTTGCCCACCCTGGAAAGCCAGGATCTCCTATGGAGTGTGTAGGTGTCCACGAGTGTACCGGTGTGCGGGCCTCCTGGGCTGCAGGCACTCAGGCATGGTGGCAGCATTGAGGGAAAGACAGGTGTTGGGGAGCGGGGTCCCCACCTGCCCAGGCTCAGGAGTCACAGGGGTCTGCACAGTCCTTTCTGCTGTGGAACACGTGATAGATGCTGGTCGGGGGGAACATAGCAACAGCGCCGAGCAGAGAGCCCACCTGGATGGCCACGCCGGCTGCCAGCAATGCCGGCCGGCCCCCGCCATGCAGCAGGGAGCTGGCTGCCACCTTCACGTAGGAGAACACGCCAAGACACAGCACCCACGACAGCACCTGAGGGGGACACAGCACCAGCTGAGCGTGAGATGTGCCTGCTCCAGGGCAACGCCCCCCCACCCCACTTCATGTCCCCCTGTGCTCACCACGAGGACCACCCCCGCCGAGGTGCCCACCAGGGGCGGGCAGGGGCTCAGGACTGCCAGCGCCATCAGGTAGCCCCCACAGAACACGCCCAGCAGAGAGAGGCCGCCCAGCCCTGCCAAGGACCTGCAGTGAGCGAGCAGAATGTCAGGGCTGACTGCGCCAGGACCTGGCTCCTAGCCCTGAGTTCCACCCGCACAGGGGCTGGGGGTCCTTGTGTACCTGCACAGCACACCCATGGCCAGGAAGCAGGCCAGGGGATTGGCAGCACTGCCCAGCACCACAGCCAGGTGGTAGGCCAGACGCCCGTAGGGTAAGCAGGAAAAGCTCTGCACGGCAGGCAGCACGCCATTGGTCAGCGCGTTGGTGGCGGCCAACAGGCCCAGCAGGCAGGCACTGCGGGCTGATAGAAGCTGATAGGCCTTAGGGTCTGGACCAGGGGTGGTGCCTGCTGCCTGGCTTGGTGGCTCTTGCAGTGGTGAGGACTCTTCCACCTCTTCCTCTGCTCCTGGGGCTCCCACCTGGAGGCCTGATCCTAACTCCCCTGTGGGTACAGATGGTGGTGGCGGCAACAGCAGCAGAAGACCCTGGAAGGCAGCAGCTGAAGCGACCAGAAGGGCAGTCAGTGCCCAGAAGAAGGTGCTGGCGGGAAAACGCTCAAGGAAGTCGAGCGGGGGGCCAGGGGTGCCGTTGATGGGGGCTGGCGGGCACTCGAGGCGGCCCACACCCTGCACTAGGGCCAGCACGCAGGGCAGCAGGGCACTCAGGCCTTGACCCAGGAAGAATGACCGTAAGAAGCGAGGTGGCAGGTGGCTCAAGAAGGGCAGGAAAGTGACATTCGAGGCACAGCATGCCAGTGCCAGCACAAAGGCCAGTGCTAAGAAGGCCACAGAATGCAACTGTCCTGCCACTGGGGCCACATGGTGCCACAGAGAGGCCAGCAGGGCTGTGCCCACCATGCCCAGCACCTGCACCACCCGGATGGGGACCTGCTCGTCCTTTCCTGGGGCCAGCCTCCTCCAGAGGGTCACCACCAGCAGACCCAGGTTCCCCAGAGCCACAAGCACAGAGACGTAAGAGGGGAGGCTCCAACCTGCAGGGAAGGGAGGAGGCCATGTCAGGGTCATGATGCCCAAGGGAGGAAGAGTGCCAAAGCCCACCTTCCTGGGCACACCTGCACCTCCTCCCACTCACCCTCTGGAAGCTCTCTGACCACCACAGGTAGCTCCACCCAGATCCCACTGACCGCAGCCCAGGAGTCTTGGGCACACCTGCACCTCCCTCCCACTCACCCTCTGGAAGCTCTTTGACCACCACAGGTAGCTCCACCCAGATCCCATTGACCGCAGCCCAGGAGCCCATGCCGAAGAGAGCCACCAGCAGGTGGGTCAGCACCGGACGGGCGGGCGTGGGTGCTGCCATTCAGCCCAAGGCTGGGCCCTTCCAGGTCAGGGCAAAGGTCACAGCCAGTTCTTTTCCCACCTAGGGCCAGACACGCTTTGGCTCTCCTGGGAAGTGAAGACTTCTTCTAGCTTGAAAGAAACAGAGAAACAGATAGGATGCAGAGCCGGAGTCAGAACAGGGTGAGACCAGGGGAACTGGGGGAGCCCCGGGCAGGAGCGCAGATGGGGAGGATTGGCTAAAACGTACCCAGCGGGACCGCCGGCAGGCAGGGAAGCAGGAAGCCGGCCCGAGTCGCTGCGGCCCCAGGGGAGGAGGCCGAAGGAGCGAGTGGAGCCCTCCTCTCCAGGGAGAGGCGGGGCTGGAGTCAACGCCACCACCACCCCAAGCCGGACGCCGGGAAAGGGCGCCTACCAGGAGGAGCCACGCACACCCCAGGGCTTCACGGTGCCCGCGACCGCAAGAGCCAAGTCAGATCCCAGGGGAGTGGCCGGGACGGCTCTGCTCGGAGGGGCGCCGCCCTCTCGGTACCGTCAGGTGGGCGACTCGGGAGCCGTCCGGTCCCTGCGCCTCCCGGTCCCGCGCCCAGTGCGCTCCCGCTCCAGTGCCGGCTTCCCGCCACGCCGGGACACCGCCGTCCGGCCCAGGGACGCCACCTCAGTCCGGAGCGCGCAGGACCCGGCAGCAGCCACGACCCGACTCACCCGTGGCGGTTCCGGGCCCGCCCCCGGCATGGCCCACGACCGGAAGTCCCGCCCCGGAAGCTGGTCGGCGGGCGGGCGGGCGTTGAGAGGAACCGGGGGGTTGTCGGTCTATAAGCCTCGCCCGTTCCGCTCCCTGGGGCTTCCCCGAGCGCCGTCGGTGGTCATGGCTGCCCCAGCCTCCCGGCAGGTCCGACGCAGAGCCCGGGCAGCGCCGCGGCCCCGCTCGGCCGAGGACTGGTGGTGGGACCGGCTGGCGCCGAGGGGCTCGGGGTACCACCTGCTGCAGTCCGACAGCATGCTGCTGGTGCTGTCCGAACCCGGCCCCGCCCGGCCCCGCGCACAGCGGCGCGCTTCCCGCCGCACTCCCCGGCAGCCGCCCCGGGGCCCCAGCGCCGCGGCCAAGCCCAAGGCCGGGCTCAGGTCCGAGGCGGCGGCCGCGCCCGCACCCGCACCGGCACCCACGCCCACGCCCGAGGAAGGGCCCGACGCGGGCTGGGGAGACCGCATTCCCTTGGAAATCCTGGTGCAGATTTTCGGGTTGTTGGTGGCGGCGGACGGCCCCATGCCCTTCCTGGGCAGGTAACGCTGGTGCCGGGCCCGCCGCCGAGCGTAGCGGCTTGGGCCAGACGTGGTCCGAGCGGTGGCCCGGGCGGGGGCGGAGGGCGAAAGCATCGGAGCGCGCACCGCTCAGTCCGAGAGCGCAGCCCCTTAGGCGCCCAGTTGGAGTCCCAGGAGCCCGGCTTTGAGCCGGGGTGTCTACTGCGCTGCGAGAGGGGGGCATCGCCTACGGAGGGGCCGGCACCCTCAGCACGCTGTCCTCCCAGGGCTGCGCGCGTGTGCCGCCGCTGGCAGGAGGCCGCTTCCCAACCCGCGCTCTGGCACACCGTGACCCTGTCGTCCCCGCTGGTCGGCCGGCCTGCCAAGGGCGGGGTCAAGGCGGAGAAGAAGCTCCTTGCTTCCCTGGAGTGGCTTATGCCCAATCGGTGAGGGGTTCCCTCTCTTCCTTACCCCTGGCTCCAGGCTCCTTCCGTCTCCCTGCACCAAGGTGTTGGGTGGGAAGGACTCGTGTGGGAACATTAGTGCAGCTCTGCCTCCGCTGTCGGCCCAGGTTTTCACAGCTCCAGAGGCTGACCCTCATCCACTGGAAGTCTCAGGTACACCCCGTGTTGAAGGTGAGAGCTCCAGGCTGTCCTGCACATCAGCTGTGACACTCTGGGACTGTTCAGTACTCTAGGAAGTGGGTCAGGCACCTTGGGGGCCCAACGCTGCTCCGTGGGGATGTCTGCCTGCCTGCCTGGTTCTCTTTTCCTGCTGTTTCCTCCAGCAGGGAGGTATCAGAGGCGGGGACACCCAAGTAGGCCTGGCATGGGCAGAAAGGAGGTCACAGCTAAGGCGGTAGAGTGGGGTTGGCACCAGCCACTTGTCTGTTTCCCTTGTGGATCTTAGCCTGTCGTCTCCCAACCCCAGCTGCCCCTCTGTCTCCCCGCAGCTGGTAGGTGAGTGCTGTCCTCGGCTCACTTTCCTCAAGCTCTCCGGCTGCCACGGTGTGACTGCTGACGCTCTGGTCATGCTAGCCAAAGCCTGCTGCCAGCTCCATAGCCTGGACCTACAGCACTCCATGGTGAGCCCTGTGTCCCAAGGGGCCCTGAAAAAACCCAGGCCGGGGTGACGGGTGCTCTTGTATTGGGGCCCCAGGTGGAGTCCACAGCTGTGGTGAGCTTCTTGGAGGAGGCAGGGTCCCGAATGCGCAAGTTGTGGCTGACCTACAGCTCCCAGACGACAGCCATCCTGGGCGCACTGCTGGTAAGTTGGCATTGGTGGGAGCAGAGGCAGATGCTGAGCTGGGGACTGCCAGGCCACTGACCCTGTGACCTACCCCCTCCCCCCATCTCTGCAGGGCAGCTGCTGCCCCCAGCTCCAGGTCCTGGAGGTGAGCACCGGCATCAACCGTAATAGCATTCCCCTTCAGCTGCCTGTCGAGGCTCTGCAGAAAGGCTGCCCTCAGCTCCAGGTACCTGGCGCCCTGCCTCTCCCACCTGTCACACCCTCCCCCATCTACAGCCTGGACCTTGCCCCCAGGTGCTGCGGCTGTTGAACCTGATGTGGCTGCCCAAGCCTCCGGGACGAGGGGTGGCTCCCGGACCAGGCTTCCCTAGCCTAGAGGAGCTCTGCCTGGCGAGCTCAACCTGCAACTTTGTGAGCAACGAGGTCCTGGGCCGCCTACTCCACGGCTCTCCCAACCTGCGCTTACTGGATCTTCGTGGCTGTGCGCGCATCACGCCGGCTGGCCTTCAGGATCTGCCATGTCGGGGTCAGCAGTCCTGGGTGGTGGCCGGGCGGGTGAGGTGTGGGGGCCCTTGTCACCTTGTAGCTTATGCTCACTCCTTTCACTGCAGAGCTGGAGCAGCTTCATCTGGGCCTGTATGGCACGTCAGACCGGCTGACTCTAGCCAAGGAGGGCAGCCCCTTTTTGACCCAGAAGTGGTGCCATACACTGCGAGAACTGGACTTGAGTGGCCAGGGGTTCAGTGAGAAGGACCTGGAGCAGGCCCTGGCTGCCTTCTTAAGCACCCCTGGGGGCTCACACCCAGCCCTGTGCTCTCTTAACCTCAGGGGCACCCGGGTCACACCAAGCACTGTCAGGTCAGCATCCCCTACCCCAGTCCCTGGAGCCAGTGTGGCTGTCACTGTGTCTGCCTGGGGCCTGGAAGTTGTGTCCTGCCTGGCCTGAGACCTCCAGGGGTCAGAGGGGCATGCATACTGTCCAAGCCCCTGCGTGGGGTGGGCCTGAGGACACCAGGGGAACTGGGCTTGGCCTTGGTGGCTATGGGTGGCAGAGCCAGGTGTCGAACACCAGCAGGCACAGCTCCCTAGCCTGGCCCAGCCCTTCTGAGGCAACAGCTCAACTTCCTGTGGTCTGCCCTCCCCACAGCTCTGTGATCAGCGGCTGCCCGGGCCTGCTCTACCTCAACCTGGAGTCCTGCCGCTGCCTTCCCCGGGGTCTGAAGCGGGCCTACCGGGGCCTGGAGGAAGTCCAGTGGTGTCTGGAGCAGCTGCTCACCAGCCCCTCACCCAGCTAGGCAGCCACAGACCTGGGACACCTCAGCCAGCTTGCCCACCCTCCACCTTTGCCCAATTTCAGATATTTGAGCATTTTGTTAAAATAAAACATTTTTAGGAGTTCTGTGTGTGTGGTCCTCAGGGTAGGGTTGGGCAACAGGTTATACCTGATGGAGCCACTGGGGCTACAGCCGGCCCAGAGCCTGTGTGTTGTGGGGTCAGGGTGGTCCCATGGGCTCTTGAGCCTGCAGGTGGCCATGCCTTTGCCTGCCCACTGCTGGGTCCAGTGTGTGTGTTCCGTCCTCGGGGACACTGGTGAGCTTGTCTGTGGTTGCATGTGGGTGGGGGGTGGGAGGGGGTGGGGCCCCGCCCAGCTGTGGGGCTCACTGAGTGGTCGCCGCCTGCAAATTTCTCTCCAGCTCAGGCCTAGGGTGTCCACCCATCCACCCTTCACATGGGGACTGTGAACAGGCCATACAGGGGGCCTCCAGTGGATGGACTGGCCAAGAAGTTAATGCCTACCGCAGGACCTCACCCTGGACTCCCTAAGAGGTGGTCAACAGAGCAGCCCCTTCTAGAACCTGCCCAGAACTTCTAGAACCCATCCGCGGTCCACCCTGGGCCGCTCCCTGGCCTCGCTGCCCTGTCAGTCGCCTGTGAGCTCCTGCTCCTTCCTGGGCCTGCAGCCCTGGAGAATTTGCTCACCGAGGTAGGAGTGCCGCTGTGGGCAGTGGGCGGCGGCAGCGGACGAGCGGCCAGGCTGACCACCTCTGCCTGACTCAGATGCCTAAGGGCCGGGCCGGCAGCCTGCCCACGACCTCCATCGGCTGGCGCTTCCAGCTCTGGTTCCTAGGACTCACCTGCCCGGAGCGCCACCTGGCCAGACGCCTCAAGAACAATAGCTTCTACCCATTCGTGCAGCAGGAGCCAAACGGTGCGCGCGAGGCTGGGCGGGGCGGGGCGGGGCGGGGCTGGGAAGGGCGGGGCGGGGGAGGAGGGAGACGGGCCCGAGGCCTGAATGGGGCGGAGCCAGGTGGGCAGAGGCAGGGCCAGGGCCCTGGGTGGGGCCGGCCGGTGCTCCTGGGGACGGAGAGGCCGCAGGCGAGACGTCGCCTCCGCGAGCCCTGCGCGGACCCAGCTAGTCCGGGCCAAGCCTTGGCACCGCCACCCCCGGCTGCGGGCAGGGCCGGGGCGTCCTCACGCGCCGCGCCACCCCCAGTCTTCGTGCTCGAATACTACCTGGACACACTGTGGAAGGGGATGCTGCTCTTCATCATCAGCGTGGTCCTGGTCAGCTTCAGCTCCCTGAGAGAGGTGTGAGCCCCTGGGCCCGACCCCCACCGCCCTCCTCCCCTGAGGGCCGGCCCCGCGCCGCTCAGACTCTCCGCGTGGCGCCCGCAGGTGCAGAAGCAAGAGACCTGGGTCTTCCTCGTGTACGGCGTGGGCGTGGGCCTGTGGCTCGTGATCTCGTCGCTGCCGCGGCGCCGCCTGGTGCTGAACCACACGCGCGGCGTGTACCACTTCTCCATCCAGGGCCGCACCGTGTGCCAGGGCCCCTTGCATCTGGTCTACGTGCGCCTGGCGCTCAGCTCCGATGGTAACGGGCCGGGAGGGTGCGCCAGGGACGGGGAGGCAGCTTGGGAGGTCGGAGGGGCGGCCAGGCTGGCTAAGTCCGCTCTCCCCGCAGCCCACGGAAGGTGCTTCTTCCACCTGGTCCTCGGCGGCCACAGGTTGGAGCCCCTGGTGCTGGTGCAGCTGTCGGAGCACTACGAGGTGGGTCCCGCCCAGACACGCGCCCTCCTCAGGACACGATGACACCGATCACTGTTTAAGGTCTTTGGGTGGGGCCGTTTCCGCACGCAGAGGGTAAATACAACACGGTCTTCGGTGCTGGGGGCCGTGGAGAGGGCGCCGGGGCTTCGGGCAGGACGGGGGATGCAGCCTGGTAGGGGAAGGAGACGCCTGGACGGCGACTCGGGTCTGTCCTGTCCCGGCCCCAGTTGAGCGCCACCTGCTCCCACAGCAAATGGAATACTTGGGCCGTTACATCGCCCGGAAACTCAACATCAACTACTTCGACTACCTGGCCACCTCCTACCGGCACGTGGTTCGCCACTGGCCACCCCCTGGCGCTGGCACTGTGATGGGCAAGAGCCCCATGGGTCACAAGCCCAGCTCCTCTCAGTCCAGCCTGGAGGTGTGACTCTGAGGGCCTCCCCCACCTCGGGACTGTGTTCTCGGTAACCTCCCAGCCCCACTCTGGGGCAGATCAAATGTGAGTCCCACTCACTGGCCTTCCTTTCAATAAAGCTGCCTCAGCTTCCACACGGATCATTTTAGGGGGCAGGGGAGGCCCTCTGGTGCCTAGGTCTTCCACTGTTGCGCACTCCTAGGACCTCAGAGAGCCTGTGCCTTCCAGCTGACTGAAGCAAACCCCACAGCTTGTGTTCGAAGACAGGAACAGCTGAGAGCAAGGGATGGCATATAGCCAGGCCTCTGAGGTTCGGCCCATCACTAGAGAGGCTGGGAACTCCATCCCCTCTTAGCCAGCAGCACTTAACTTGTCCTACCTGACCTCAGAGGTGCTGACCAATGCGTGGAATCCAGGAGTCAGAATCTGGCCCATTCTGGACCCGGTGCCTGCTGCTACTCCAACCAGCAATGGGGTGGGGTGCGGCCAGAGAACAAGCCCTGTGCCTGGGGTGCATGCTTGCCCCAGTACCCACAAAGCTGCTGCCGCTTGCCTCCAAGGGGGTGGGCACAAGAGTCCCGGGCCAGGGTGCAGGGCCTCCTAGGAGGGAGGATGTGCAGTGCCCTGACACCCGCTCGCCATGCCCGCTGGAACCCCAGGCCCGCGCCCCTGACACCCGCTCACCGTGCCCACTGGAACCCCAGGCCTGCGCCCCTGACACCCACTTGCTGTGCCTGCTGGAACCCCAGGCCCACACTCTCCTGTCCAGTGGATCCCCCAGCTATCACTGCAGCACCTGAGGCCTCCTGAGTGCTGGGGGCTGTTGTGGAAGCCGAGAAGGCTGTGGGCCATGGGGTCCCAGGGAAAGCAGGACCTGGCTCTCCGGATCTTCAGGCATTATCAGCTGAACGTCCCTGCAACCAGGAGCAGCTACATAATTTGCAGGGTCCCATGCCAAATGAAAATTTGGAGCCCATTGTTAGGAAGTTAATAAGTGGGGTGCAGTGGTGTATACCTGTAGTCTCGGCTGCTCAGGAGGCTAAGGTGGGAGGACAGCTTAAACCCAGGAGTTCAAGGCTAGCCTGGACAACATAGTGAGACCCCAGTCTCTAATAAAATAAACAATAAAAATAAAAATAAAGTTATTAAGAATTTCAAGATAGACTGGGCATGGTGGCTCACGCCTGTCATCCCAGCACTTTGGGAGGCCAAGGCGGGCGGATCATCTGAGGTCAGGAGTTCAAGACCAGCCCGACCAACATGGTGAAACCCTGTCTCTACTAAAAATATAAAATTAGCTGGGTGTGGTGGTGCATCCCTGCAATCTCAGCTACTCGGGAGGCTGAAGGAATAGAATCGCTTGAACCTGGGAGGCAGAGGTTGCGGGTGAGCGGAGATTGAGCCATTGCACTCCAGCCTGGGTGACAGAGTGAGACTCTGTCCCAAAACGACAACGACAACAACAACAGCAACAAAAACTCAAGTATGGGGCCTTTCTGAGCCTGGGGCCCTGTGTGACTGCCCAGGTTGCAGGCTCGTGAAGCCAGTTCTGCCTGGAACCATGACTTAGAGTCTCTACTTGACCCCCAATCCCAAGGCTGCTCAAAACTCACTGGGCACACAGGCACCCTGGCCCATCTCTGGGGCAGGATCTGGGGGCTACTGAAGTGGCTTTAGGTAATCCCTGGAAGCAATTGTCATTAACAGCACAAGTGCAGGGACCTCCACTCCCCAGAAGATGGGGCTCAAGGTGTCCTACAGTGGCAGCACCAAACTTAGGTTTGGGTTGAGGGCTCTGTTTCACTCAGGCAGGCAAAGTCCCTCCTCCCTGGAGCTGGTGATCTAAGAGGGACCCAGAATGAAGAGTGGTTGGAGGGGCAGGGTCCCTCTGGCTGGGGAGCTTTGGGGGAAGGGCATCGTGGGCAAAGAGTAAACACAACACAAGGGCGTGATATAGGACTGAGCTGGGTGTGCTGGAGAAGCTGCAAGGGGATTGGGCTGGTCAGAGTAGAGAGGACAAGGGAGAAGGAGGCCTGAGATGAGGTGGGAAGGGCAGGCAGCGTCCTTGGAGGCCATAGCTCAGAGCTTTAGTCCTGTGTGCCATGGGAATCTGCTGGAGAGCTGTAAGCAGATATGCACTAAGACCCAGGGAGGGAGCGGTGGGGAAAGGCCAGGAGGCTGCAGGAATTGTGCACGGAGGAAAGGGAGCTGGAGGGGCAGAGGGGAACAGAGAGGAGCAAGGACCACAGACAGTTCTGAGCTCCGGCTCCGTGGAGGGGATTTGCTGCTGGGCGGGAAGTGGGCTGGGAAGAAAAGTGACTCGGGAGTCCAGAGTGTCTGGCCTGGGCACTGGGGCTGGTGGCTATGGGGAGAGGGGTTGGCAGTCAGGAGTTCTGAATTAGACAAGGCCTGAGGAGCTTACAGGACCTTGTGGGGGAGATTTTGAAAAGGCAGAAAGGCCCTGGGGAGAAAGGAAAGGGGGAAGCACAGACCTGAAACCATCATGCCCTGGGAGGTCCCTAAAGCTAAAGCACTAGATGAGATGTCTCTGGCAACGCAGAAGATGGGGGAGAACAGGAGGAGGGCCAAGGATGGAGCTCTGGCATCAGACACAGAGGCAGACAAGGGGCCACGGGGGAAGAGGACCCAAACAGAGGGAGAAGGAACCCATGTTGAGTAAGATGGGGACTCATAAGAGGCACGAACGCCCCTGCAGGAACAGCCTCAAGAAGGGGCCTCAGCAGCACAGAACTGGGGCAGGGAGGAGGGAGGGAGAGAGGGTGGAAAGAAGAGGAGAGTACAGCTCACACAGCAAGTTTCACTGTCATGGGCAGAGAAACCAGGGGGCAGCTTGCAAGAGGAAGGTCTTGCTTGTTGGTGTGCAGGTGTGCATGGCCTAATAGAGATTTTATTTATCTATTTATTTATTGAGACCGAGTCTTGCTCTGTCACCCAGGCTGCAGTGCAGTGGCGATCTCGGCTCACTGCAACCCCTGCTTCCTGAGCTCAAGTAATTCTCCTGCCTCAGCCTCCCGAGTACCTGGGATTACAGGCATACGCCATCATACCCGGCTAATTTTTGTATTTTTAGTAGAGACGGGGTTTCACCATGTTGGGGCCAGGCTGGTCTTGAACTCCTGACCTCAGGTGATCCACCCGCCTTGGCCTCCCAAAGTGCTGGAATTACTCTGTCTCAAATCAAACAAACAAACCGATAGAATTAGGGAGCTCTATGAGTGTAGAGTTGCCCTACTAGTCCTGCATGGCTTCTAATGGACTCTATTTATGTGAAAGAGACAAATTTCCAGTTTAAGCCACTGTAATTTACATTTGTTGTTGTTGTTGAGATGGAGTTTCGCTCTTTTGCCTAGGCTGGAGTGCAGTGGTATGATCTCTGCTCACTGCAACCTCTGCCTTCCTGTTCCAAGTGATTCTCCTGCCTTAGCGTCCCAAATAGCTGGGATTACAGGTGCCCGCCACCATGCCTGGCTAATTTTTGTATTTTCAGTAGAGACAGAGTTTCACCATGCTGGCCAGGCTGGTCTCAAACGCCTGACCTCGTGATCTGCCTGCCTCGGCCTCCTAAAGTGCTGGGATGACAGGTGTGAGCCACCGCACCCGGCCTATTTGATCCACCTGCCTTGGCCTCCTAAGGTGCTAGGATTGCAGGCATGAGCCACCGCACCCGGCCTATTTGATCCACCTGCCTTGGCCTCCTGACGTGCTGGGATTGCAGGCATGAGCCACCGCACCCGGCCTATTTGATCCACCTGCCTTGGCCTCCTGAAGTGCTGGGATTGCAGGCATGAGCCACCGCACCCGGCCTATTTGATCCACCTGCCTTGGCCTCCTGAAGTGCTGGGATTGCAGGCATGAGCCACCGTGCCCGGCCTATTTGATCCACCTGCCTTGGCCTCCTAAAGTGCTAGGATTACAGGCATGAGCCACCGCGCCCGGCCTATTTGGAGTTTTCTAACAGTTGCTGGCAAGTGTGATTCTAACTAATAAGATTATTAGGCTGAACGTTGTGGCTTGCACCTGTGATGCTAGCACTTTGGGAGGCTAAAGCAGGTGGACTGCTTGAACTCCTGTTCAAGACCAGTCTGGGTAACATAGTGAACCTTGTCTCTACAGAAAATACAAAAATTAGCCAGATGCGGTTCTGCACACCTGTAGTCTCAACTGCTTGGGAGGCTGGGATGAGGCAAGAGAATTGCTTAAGCCCAGGAGTTTGAGACCAGGCTAGACAGCATAGTGAGACCCCATCTCTTAAAAAAAAAAATGGTTGGCCGGGTGCAGTGGCTCACGCCTGTAATCCCAGCACTTTGGGAGGCCAAGGCGGGCGGATCACAAGGTCAGGAGATCCTGGCTAACACGGTGAAACCCCGTCTCTACTAAAAATACAAAAAAAAATTAGCCGGGCGTGGTGGTGGGCACCTGTAGTCCCAGCTACTTGGGAGGCTTAGGCAGGAGAATGGCGTGAACCCAGGAGGCGGAGCTTGTGGTGAGCCAAGATGGCGCCACTGCACTCCAACCTGGGCGACAGAGTGAGACTCTGTCTCAAAAAAAAAAAAAAAGGTTATTAGCTTTGAAGGTGGAGGGGATTAGCAGGTTTTAAGTCAAGAAGACGAGGTGTGAAATAGTCTTCCCAGGGAGCAGGAGAGTAACTGGATAGGGAAAGTATAGTAAGATTGTCAGGCAGTGTGGGGTGCTCAGTTGAGATGCGTGTCACACATGTGAAGGGTGAGTGGATGTGGTTGTTTTTCTAGGGAAAAGGTTTGCTGCTTAGATGCAGGTGTGGAGTAGGCAGTTAGTTGGGTCAAACAAGGGTAGGTGGCCGGGCCTGGTGGCTCACGCCTATAATCCCAGCACTTTGGGGGATCGAGGTGGGCGGATCACCAGAGCTCAGGAGTTCGAGACCAGCTTGGCCAACATGGTGAAACCCCATCTCTACTAAAAATACAAAAATTAGCTGGGCGAGGTGGTGGGCTCCTGTAATCCCAGCCACTCAGGAGGCTGAGGCAGTAGAATCGCTTGAACCCAGGAGGTGGAGGTTGCAGTGAGCCCAGATCACGCCACTGCACTCCAGCCTTGGCAACAAGAGCGAAACTCTGTCTCAAGAAAAGAAAAGAAAAGAAAAAAGGGCTAGGTGTGGTGGCTCACGCCTATAATCCCAGCAGTTTGGGAGGCCGAGGCAGGTGGATCACAAGGTCGGGAGTTCGAGACCAACCTGGCCAACATGGCAAAATCCCGTCTCTACTAAAAATAGAAAATTAGCCGGGCATGGTGGCAGTTGCCTGTAATCACAGCTACTCAGGAGGCTGAGGGAGGAGAATCGCTTGAACCCGGAAGGCAGAGGTTGCAGTGAGCCGAGATTACACCACTGCACTCCAGCCTGGGAGACAGAGCGAGACTCCGTCTCAAAAAAAAAAAAAAAAAGAAAAGAAAAGAAAAATAGTAACTTGACAGTGGAAGAATCTGGCAGATGCCACGTTAACCAGGTGACTGAGGTCAGCCTCACCAGTGATGTCACAGTGACGCCACATGAGCCCTGCGGTGATGTAATGAGAAGCCTCCCCACACCCCAAACCCTCATCACGAGAGCACATCAGACAAACCCCAACTGAGGGACATTTTACCAAAGACTCATTCAATCTATAAAATTGAGCAGTGCTCCTCAAAACTGTCAAGATCATGAAAAACAGGGAAAGACTGATAAATTGTCACAGACCACAGACTAAAGAGACGTGATAGCTAAATGCAAAGTCGTATCTTGAATTGATTTCTGTAACAGATAGAGGATGTAGATGGAAAAACTAGTGAAATCCAAATAAAGCCTGGAGTTAGCAGTAATGTATCAAGGTTGGTTTCTTTTTTTTTCTTTTTTTTTTTTTTGCAACGGAGTCTTACTGTGTCACTGAGACTGGAGTGCAGTGGTGCTGTGTCAGCTCATTGCAACCTCCGTCTCCTGAGTTCAAGCAATTCTGCCTCAGCCTCCCGAGTAGCTGGGATTTCAGGCACCCACCACCATGCTAGTTTTTTTATATTTTTAGCAGAGATGGGGTTTCACCATGTTGTCCAGTCTGGTCGCAAACTCCTGACCTCAGGGGATCCACCCGCCTCGGCCTCCCAAAGTGCTGGGATGACAGGCGTGAGCCACCACGCCCGGCCCAATGTTGGTGTCTTAACTGTGACAAAGGAACCATAGGCATGGAAGACAGGCCGGGCTCAGTGGCTCACAACTGTAATCCCAGCACTTTGACAGGACAAGGCAGGAGGCTCCCTTGAGCCCAGGAGTTCAAGCCAGCCTGGGCAACATGGTGATACCTCGTCTCTACAAAAAAAAAAAATTTTTTTTTTTGAGACGGAGTCTCAATCTGTTACCCAGGCTGGTGGGCGCTGGGTGTGATCCCAGTTCACTACAATCTCCACCTCCTGGGTTCAAGTGATTCTCCTGCCTCAGTCTCCCCAGTAGCTGGGATTACAGGCATGCATTACCAGGCTGGGCTAATTTTTGTATTTTTTTTTTTTTTTTTTTTTTTTTTAGTAGAGACAGAGTTTCACCATGTTGCCCAGGCTGGTCTTGAACTCCTGACCTCAAGTGATCTGCCTGCCTCGGCCTCCCAATGTGCTGGGATTACAGGCGTGAGCCACCATGCCCAGCCAACTTTTTTAAATTAGCTGGATACAGTGACATGCCCCTGTGGCTGAGGTGGCAGGGTCACTTGAACCCAAGAGGTCAAGGCTGCAGTGAGCTGTGATTGTACCACTGCACTCCAGCCTGGACAACAGGATGAGACCCTGTTTTTTTTTTTTTGAGATGGAGTCCCACTCTATCGCCCAGGCTGGAGTGCAGTGGCGCGATCTCGGCTCACTGCAAGCTCCACCTTCCAGGTTCACGCCATTCTCCTGCCTCAGCCTCCCGAGTAGCTGGGACTACAGGCACCCACCACCACGCCCAGCTAATTTTTTTTGTATTTTTAGTAGAGACGGGGTTTCACCATGTCAGCCAGGATGGTCTTGATCTCCTGACCTTGTGATCCACCTGCCTTGGCTTCCCAAAGTGCTGGGATTCCGGGCGTGAGCCACCAAGCCCAGCCTTTTTGTTTTTGTTTTTTTTTGAGATGGAGGTTCTCTCTTGTTGCCCAGGCTGGAGTGTGATGGTGTGATCTTAGCTCACTGCAACCTCCGCCTCCTGAGTTCATGCATTTCTCCTGCCTCAGCCTCCTGAGTAGCTGGGATTACAGTACAGGCATGAGCTACCACGCCTGGCTAATTCTATATTTTTAGTAGAGACGAGGTTTCACTATGTTGACCAGGCTGGTCTCGAACTGCTGACCTCAGGTGATCTGCCCACCTCGGCCTCCCAAAGTGCTAGGATTATAGGCGTGAGCCACCTCGCCTGGCTGACCCTGTCTTTAAAAAAAAAAAAAAAAGGCCACCCTACTCCACCATCACTTGAGCTAATTAAATCTGCATGCAATGGGCCTATTTCCCAATATTGTCATATTCTGAGATATTCTGAGACACTGTGGATTAGGGCTTCAACACATTCTTATTTGGTGGCTGGGCATTTCATCCCATACCAGGCCCCTCCACATTTTTGCCTGCATCTCGTGGCCCAGAACCCAGCATCAGGTGCAGCTGTGTCTCCAGGTTGCTGTGGCAACGCCTCTCCGGACTCCTGCTGACAACGGCTCATCTTCCTCCATCCTCCTCGTGGGCTCCTTCATTCCCAGTCTCTGTTGACAGTCTCCTCAGGCCTCTGCTTGCCATGCCACCCAGTCCTGGAGCCAGTGCCACTGATTTTAGGTATTTGGTCCAGCAGCACCCCGCTTCCAGCTGCCAACTTCTATTTCAGTCACCTATCTGCTGTGTAAAATGTAGACGCTAGTAGCAACTTTTTTTTTTCTTTTTGAGATGGAGTCTTGCTCTGTCACCCAGGCTGGAGCACAGTGGTGCGATATCGGCTCACTGCAACCTCCGCCTTCCTGGTTCAAGCAATTCTCCTGCCTCAGCCTCCCAAGTAGCTGTGATTACAGGCATGTGCCACCATGCCCCGCTAATTTTTATTTTGTTTTGTTTTTGAGACAGAGTTTTGCTCTTGTTGCCCAGGCTGGAATGCAATGGCACGATCTCGGTTCACTGAGACCTCTGCCTTCCAGGCTCAAGCGATTCTTCTGCCTTAGCCTCCCTAGTAGCTGGGATTATAGGCATCCACCACCACGTCCAGCTAATTTTTTTGTATTTTTGTAGAGATGGGGTTTCACTATGTTGGCCAGGCTGGTCTTGAACTCCTGATCTCAGGTGATCCACCTCTCTCAGCCTCCCAAAGTTCTGGGATTACAGGTGTGAGCCACTGTGCCCGGCTAATTTTTTTTTTTTTTTTTTTTTGAGATGGAGTTTCGCTCTTGTTGCCCAGGCTGGAGTGCAGTGGCCATCTTGGCTCACTGCAACCTCCACCCCCCAGGTTCAAGTGATTCTTCTGCCTCAGCCTCCCAAGTAGCTGGGATTACAGGCATGCACTACCACGCCTGGCTAATTTTGTATTTTTAGTAGAGACAGGGCTTCAACATGTTGGTCAGGCTGGTCTCAAACTCCCAACCTCAGGTGATCTGCCCACCTCGGCCTCCCAAAGTGCTGGGATTACAGGTGTGAGCCACTTGCACCTGGCCTAATTTTTGTATGTTTTAGTAGAGACAGGGTTTCACCATATTGGCCAGGCTGCTCTTGAATGCCTGACCTTAGGTGATCTGTCCGCCTCGGCCTCCCACAGTGCTGGGATTACAGGCATGAGCCACCGTGCCCAGCCAGTAGCAACTTATTATTTATCCAATCGTTCAGGCTGACTGGCTCCATGGGGCAGTTCTACCCCAAGCATTGTAGCTGGGGTTACTTGTGTGACTGCATTTGGCTGGGAAGTCTGCTGGGGCTGGACCATCTGTAGCACCTGTCCCACAGAAACGCTCTGCGTGGCCTGTCCTCAACAGCCCCGTCGGAGCTCTTGCCAGCCGTAGCTGCAGGCATCCCAAAGTGAGCGAGAGCTCTGGAGTCACCCCACGGTGTGCGTGGTCACAGCCTTGGTTTGCACCATTCTTGCTGATGCCCACAGCCGGACCCAGGTCAATATCGGAGGGGGCACCTCAAGAGCTATGCCCGGAGGAACAATTCCTGGGGCTCCATGAGAGCAGTGGTCATAGGCAGAGAGACGTGGTGGGGCTGAAGGCTCTACTAAGTTTGAGGTGTTGGAGTGAGAGTACCAGAGTAGAGCAGCTGAGGGTGGGAGAGGGCAAGGAGATGATGGGGTTCCTGGAAGGAGCCTTGGGCCCCCCTGCAGGGTGAATAGGCATGAGAAGAAGCCCAGGACGGCTGGGCCAGGGTGAGGAGTAGAAACGGTTGTTGCAGAGGCACTGTCCCCAGGGACTTTTCAGCCAACAGGAGAGTGTGGAGAGGACCATCAGGCCCAAATGCCTTCAGGGAACCTGGGGTAGGGGAGCATGGGGGCTAGGGGGTGGAAGTGGGGACAGGAGTGTGAACTTGGCTGGAAAGATCACATTCCATTGGAGGGAGCAGAATAAAGCTCTGGGAAGGGACTCTGAGCCTGAGTTTGGAGCTCTAGGACATTTACAAGACTGCCCTAGGGATGGACATCTGTGGAGGGAGGGCGAGGAGGTCAGATGAGGCCGAGGGAGGAGTGATGGCCACCCAGGAGCAACAGCCCCTGCTGGCCCCCAAAGGCCTGAGCCGAGATCGCCCATCAAAGTTGTCCTGCCTCAGGCAGGAATGCCAGGGCCTCCATCAGTCACCAGGTGTGGCCACCCCTAGGAGGGTGTGGCCCTGGGCGAGGGGCTCTGCAGCTGCAGCCATCCCTCAAGGCTGCTGGTGACAAGACTCCCAGCAGCTGGGACAGCAGGAAGCCACACCACGGGCAGGTCCAGGAAGGTGAAGGTGGGGAGGCTCATGTTGCATCAGGAATTAGGAGGCTGCATAGGAGGCCGTCGACACTGGGCCTCCACTGTGCAGGCAGGTCAGTGCCCCCCGGCCACTTCCAGAGCCCTCCTCATATCACCCTGCTAGGAAAGAAGTGAGCCCAGCTGCCAGGAGTGCTTGCAGTGCTTAGGTGGGGCCCGGCTGCCCTCTGGTGGAAGCCCTTTCCTCCCCCTCCTCTGGAGTCACCTCCTCCGCCCCTGCCTCTTCCTCCCCCACCTCTTTCCTCCTCACATCCCCCGTCTCTGCCTCCTCCCAGGCCTCACTCTCAGGTTCCCCTAGCCTCTTCTCAATGTCTCCTTTATAACTTTATACCTGCCCCGAAGGACCATCCTGTAGGGCATGGAAGTATCCTGTGTCTCTGTAGGTGAGTGGGTTACAAGAGAATATGTGTTTTTAAAGCTGATGGAATTCTACATTTAAGATATTTTACATATGAAAATTGTATCTTCAGTTGGCCGGGTGCGGTGGCTCACGCCTGTAATCCCAGCACTTTGGGAGGCCGAGGCGGGTGGATCACAAGGTCAGGAGATCGAGATCATCCTGGCTAACACGGTGAAACCCCGTCTCTACTAAAAATACAAAAAAATTAGCCAGGCGTGGTGGCGGGCGCCTGTAGTCCCAGCTACTCAGGAAGCTGAGGCAGGAGAATGGTGTGAACCCGGGAGGCGGAGCTTGCAGTGAGCCGAGATTGCACCACTGCACTCCAGCCTGGGCAAGAGCAAGACTCTGTCTCAAAAAAAAAAAAAAAGAAAAGAAAAGAAAAAAAAAAAGAAAATTATATCTCCAGTTTAGAGAAATTAAGTGACCCCTGCCTAAAGCTGAAGGTCTGAGCAGGTCAGGCAGTTGGACCTCTTGGAAGGGGGTGGGATTTGGGCCCCTTCAGGGCTGCTGGCCTCTCTGCTATGCAGCCAGGGGGACACAGGAGACTGAGGGGTTGCCCTGCTGAAAGCAAGAAGGAGGCGGGGTCCAATCCTGTCTCCAGGCACCCCCAGCTCAAGCTGGGCTGGGCCCGAGTAGGAGCCTGAGGCCCAGCTCTGCAGCTCCTTAGCTGCACCTCCACCCTCGCTCATGTGCAGCACTCATGTCTTTATCAAGAGAAAATGGCCGTGTTGTTTTTTGTTTTTTCTTGAGACAGAGTCTCGCTCTGTTGCCCAGGCTGGAGTGCAGTGGTGCAATCTTGGCTCACTGCAACCTCCGTTGCAGTGAATTCCTCCTGATTTCAAGGAATTCTCTGCCTCAGCCTCCCAAGTTGCTGGGATTACAGGCGCCCGCCACCACACCCGGCTAATTTTTGTATTTTTAGTAGAGACATGGTTTCACCATGTTGGCCAGGCTGGTCTTGAACTCCTGACCTCCTGATCCATCTGCCTTGGCCTCCCAAAGTGCTGGGATTGCAGGCATGAGCACTACACCCGGCTACACCTGGCTAATTTTGTGTGTGTGTGTGTGTGTGTGTATGATTTGTTGTTGTTGTTGCTGAGGCAGAGTCTCGTTCTGTTGCCCAGGCTGGAGTGCAGTGGCGCAGTCTCAGCTCACTGCAACCTCTGCCACTCTGGTTCAAACGATTCTCCTGCCTCAGCCTCCCAAGTAGCTGGGATTACAGGCGCTTGCCACCACGTCTGGCTAATTTTTTGTATTTTTAGTAGAGATGGGGTTTCTCCATGTTGGCCAGGCTGGTCTCAAACCCCAGACCTCAGGTGATCCACCCACCTTGGCCTCCCAAAGTGCTGAGATTACAGGCACGAGCCACCATGCCCAGCCAATTTTTGTATTTTTAGTAGAGACGGGGTTTCACCATGTTGGCCAGGCTGGTCTCAAACTCCTGACTTCAAGTGATCCACCCACCTCAGCCCCCCAGAGTGTTGGGATTACAGGTGTGAGCCACTGCGCCCCGCCAAAGATGGCGTTTTGTGATGCCATGTCTGGGATTTGCTTCAAAATGATGAGGGAGTCGGGGAGGAAGCAAGATGCCTATAGGCTGTTTTTTTTGTCGTTTTTTGTTTTTCAGACGGAGTCTCACTCTGTCGCCCAGGCTGGAGTGCAGTGGCGCGATCTTGGCTCACTGCAAGCTCCACCTCCTGGGTTCACGCCATTCTCCTGCCTCAGCCTCCTGAGTAGCTGGGACTACAGGCACCCGCCATGACGCCCGGCTAATTTTCTTTTGTATTTTTAGTAGAGATGGGGTTTCACCGTGTTAGTCAGGATGGTCTCTATCTCCTGACCTCATGATCTGCCCGCCTCAGCCTCCCAAAGTGCTGGGATTACAGGCGCCCAGCCACCCATAGGCTGGTCTTTAGTGAAGGTGCTTATTGGGCAAGAGGGGAACCTGCATTAACTGGCTCTCTGCACATCTGTGCATATTTCATATTTTCTGTAATAAAACAAGAAAAAACCCTGAAATTTGCATTTTGTCCTTTAATTTGCATGTCTTTGATTCCTTTTTTTTTTTTTTTTTTTTAAAGACAGAGTCTAGCTCTGTTGCCCAGGCTGGAGTGCAATGGAGGGCAATGGTGCAATCTCAGCTCACTGGAACTTCTGCCTCCCGGGTTCAAGCAATTCTCCTGCTTCAGCCTCCCAAGTAGCTGGGATTACAGGTGTGTGCGCCACCACGCCCAGCTAATTTTTGTATTTTTAGTAGAGACGGGGTTTCACCACGTTGGCCAGGCTGGTCTCGAACTCCTGACCTCAAGTGATCCACCCGTTTTGGCCTCCCAAAGTGCTGGGATTACAGATGAGCCACTGCACCCAGCCAGCATGTGTGTGATTCCTAAGAAGATCTCTTATTTCTTCTGTAGTCAATCACCTGCTAAGCCCTTTGGAGTCTCAGCATCTTTGTTCTGTAAAAAGTTCATTTATACCAGTTATTTCTCCCGACAATCAGAATGTTAACCTGTTGTTATGTTTAGTGCAGGTGTTTTCTGGCACTGACACTTGCCCTCGCTCTCTGCTTCTGGTTTTCACACGCACATTTCCACTTGTGCTGCAACCTTGCTCCTGTGGGTCCTCCAAAGCTCCTGCCCAGCAGGGACCAAGTCTGCCCACCGGCTTTTCTGGGCCACTCTTCACGCCCTTGTCCCCATGCCTACCCCCCAACCCCACCAGAGCCATTTTGGAATACAGACCCACCCCCCATCCTGAAACCTTCCCCAGGGGCTCCATCCCCAGCGACCCCACGTCCTCCCTGCTGAGGGCCCTCCTTCCATGCTGTCCCTCCCCACAGTCCTCTCTGGGGGCTGCTTTCTCTCTCCCCCAAATACTCCTGTGCTCCTGGCTGAGGCCTGCAGACCCCAATTCCCTCCTCTCCTTGAGCGTCCCAGCTGGAGCACGTGTCATTGGCCACCAACCACCCAGCAGCAGCTCTCACTATGGCTTCGTCCCCACCCATCGCTGCCTGAATTCCTGGTGGTCTAATGTTCTCGTGGATGAACCACTGCAGACTGCCTGTCCCTTCCAAGCCTTGATCTCTTCTCCAAGTCAATGTCCTCATCTTCTAACCCAACTGTGCTCCATCACCACCAGTAACTGCATCCCATACCTGTCACCTCCATTCAACACCCTATTCTCTGCCCATCGCTTCTGTCCAGCAGGGTGGACCCTCGGATCTGGGCTGTCCACTTATTTCCTGGGTTGGAGCCTCAATAGGGCAGGGGTGGGTGAGAATGCAACTGCAGGATCTGAGGGTGGGCACACCAGGGGCTCTGGCTTTGCTGAGGGTGGGGTGCTGGAGACACAAGAGTGGGGACCCCTGACCCTTATGGCTGACCTTTCCACAACATGGGGCCTGGGAGGGGCAGGGAGAGGTGCGGCCAGCAGCAGAGGGCACGGAGGGTTCAGAGCCAACACTGCACCCACCCGAAGGGACAAGGGGGCAGAACTGGGGCTTGCATCAGGGCGGCAGGAAGAGACTCCCCAAGAGGGGCTCTGCAGAGAGTGGCTAGGGGGACCAGGACTTTAATTGGCTGGGGACCAAGGCAGCCTTGCCTGGGAACCCTGACCATCTCCTCTCCTGCAACAAAGCCTCCCAAGGCCCCAGCTCTCAGTAAGAGACTCGGGGAGGCCTCCCATGCAGGAGGGCTGACACTTTTCCAAAGCGTGAGAATCGTCCACTGTCCTCCTTCAGCCTCTCCTAGCTGGGGCCCAGGACTGGGGCACCACAGCGACCTCCTGATGCTGGGGGTGAGGGGGAAGGGGGGGGATCAGGATGCTGGTGGGGGGGCGGGGCGAGGAGGCCCAAGTAATTGCGCCCGGGTCGCATGTGCGCTCCGCACCCCGGTCGGTGCAGACTGATGGCCAAAGCCTGGACCCAGCTGTCCCTCCCCGCCAGGGGTCCCGGGGGGCTGCGGGCTCCACCCGAGCGGGAGCAAGGGCCGCCCCAATGGTTCCCGCGGGAGCGCCTGGCCACGGGACACATGTGTGCCGCTGTGATGCCTCTTCCGTCAAGGGGACTGGGGGCAAAAGGGGCGAGGAGCTTGACAGAGAGAGGCAGGTATGTGCACAGAGGCAGGAGAGGAAGGGGCTGAGAGGGTGGATGGAGGGACAAGGAAACGGGGTGAGTGCAGGGCGACAGGAATGGCGCGGGGAGAAGGGACGAAGTGGGAGGAGCAGAGGAGAGAAACGGGGGGTGGGGGGACAGGGCAGACGAACGGAAGAATGGGGGAAGGGGACAGAGTTGGGGGTCGGAGGACCCGGAGAGTGGGGACAGAGAGGCAAGAATACTAGGACGAACGGAGGAGGCCAAGGATGGAGTCGAAGGACAGAGTTGAGGGCGGGGACAGGGTCCGGGAGAAGGCGGTGAGCGCTGGGTCATGAGGGGATCGCGCCTGGCACGTCCCGCCGGCGCCCCGAGGGTCTGCCGGGTAATTAGGCCTCGGTCCAGATGGCCCCCCAGTCCCGCAATCAAAATGTTAATTGGCCCCACGCCTCCGGCTGTGCCTTGGCCCGGCCCCCCCCTGGGAGGGAGCCAGGACCCGCGCGGCGCGGCCGAGGGGGATCCCGCCCCCGCCCCCACCGCGAGCCTAGCCGGCTGCCGCTCGGAGATAAGGGGGCGGCCGCGCCCCGCCCCCACCCCTCGGGAGCGCCTGCCACGCAAGATGAATGTCCCGCCGCTGCCGGGGCCGGGGCGGCTGGCACAAAGCGGGTCCGTGGTCTCCGCCGCACCCCCCGCGCGGGCGGGCCGGGTCACACCCACCCGGGCTCCGCGCGGGGCCGGGCGGCCGGGGGCGGGGCGCTGAGCTCAGCAAGTGCAGCGCGCCCCCGCAGGCCGCCTTCCCCGGGGCCCGCCCGCCGCGCGCTCCCAGCCGCTGTCCGCGGGTCCGCCCCGCGCAAGGTCATTTTGCGCCGCAACGAGCGCGCTCCAGTATCGCACGCGCTCCCGGCACACCCGCGCCCGGACGCTCCCCGGGGCCGCCCCCGCGACCTTGGTCCCCAGCGGCAGCGGGGCGCGTGGGAGCGCGCTCGGAGCCCGTAGACCCGGACCACCGGGCGGGGCGGGTGAGGGGACAATGGCGGCGCCAGGCCCTAATTGGGGACAGAGGCACCCGCGCGCGGCCATTGTGCGGCCCGGAGCCCCGGAGCCCCCGCGCCCGGCGCCCCGCCATTGGCCGCTGAGCCTGACGTCATGGGGGCTGCAAACGCTGGGCGGGCGGCCGAGGAAAGGGTTATCCGCCTGGTTGCGGGGCTGCCGTGGGGAGCTGCAGCCGCGCGGAAGGGCGGAAAACCCCCAAAGCAGCAGAATTTCTGGAGCAGGGTCGTGGCAGCCCCTCTCCAGCTCCACACCCGGCTCGCAGCGACGCCGCTGCGCCGCACACCCGCCCGGGGGGAGAGAGGCGGGGGCGGGTAGGCCCCTCCAGCGTGCACGGGGTCAGCCGGGGTGACCGAGCGGCGGGAGCCACTGCGGCACAGGGCGCGCGCTGCGCTTTCGCTGCCTCAGCACTTGCTCCTTCGGCTCCCGCCTCCCCCGCCCGCCCCCGCAGATCCCGCGCCCCAGGCCCCGAGCGAGGCAGGCGGGACTGGGGTCCTCCCTACGTTCCTCCCCACAAGACCCCGAGTCCGGGGCGCTTGGGTCCCAGGCCTGGCTCCATTTCTCCCCACACGCCCGACAATGCTGCTGGCTGCCGGGCCGCGGTTCCCCGAGCCGCGCGGGGGAATTCCCCACTCGCGCAGGCTGAGGCATCCCCGGGACCCCTCCCAGGAGACCCAGGCCGGGGCTCGGCCCAGCGCAGCCATTTCCGCCGGCCTCTCCCCCACCTCCCTCCCCCTCCCCCAGCTCCTGGGCTTTAAAAGCCAGAGGCTGGGCCGGGCCGCAGGCAGAGGCGGCTGCGGGCTCTGGAGGCCGGGCCCAGGAGCAGTCCGAGCGCCGAGCCCCGCCCCCGGAGCCCCTGTCCCTCCCTCCCTCCCTCCCTCGGCCCGCCCTCCCTGCGCACCCCTCCCCCCAGGACCCCCGCCCCCCGCCCGCCGCCGCCGCCGCCGCCGCCGCCGCCGTCGCCACTGCCGCTCGCTCCGGCTGCAGAACAATAAAGCAAGCCTCCCAGAGACCCCCGCCGAGGACCCCTGCCCGGCGGCCAAACCCCCGCGGACCGCCCCTCTCCGCCCGCGCCGGTTGAGCGCGCCCGGGCGCTGGCCGCGGTGCTGCCCAGGCCGGCGCTGGCCGCGGTGCTGAAGCTGCCGGCGCTGCCGCTGCCACCGCGTTCTCCGGGCCCGGCGCCGCCGCCCCCGGGGGCATGGGGGGCCGCTGACTGAGGCTCCGCCGCGGCGGCGGGGGGGGGGAGGGGAAGGGGGCCACCGAGCCGGGCCAGCCCTGCACCCACTCGCAGCCTCCAGGCCCGGGACGGAGCCGCTCCCCCCCTCTCCGCCCCCCCAGCCTCCTCCCCCGCCTGTCCAGGGGCGGCACTGCGGGCTGGGAAGCCGGGACCAGAGGAGGGAAGGAAGGAAGAGGAGAGGAGAGAAGAGGAGAGAAGGAAGGAAGGATTGAAGGAAGGAAGGAAGGATTGAAGGAAGGAGGAAGAAGAGGGATCCGGAGGGGCAACGGAGGAGACGCAGGGCAGCAAGGAGAGAGGACACCACTCGCGCGGCAGCATCCAAAGGCCAGAGTGGGGACCCGCGCTGCCTCCGCCGCTCCTCGGATGGTGACGGGGCCCTGCCGCCGCAGCCCCCCCAAGCCCCGGCTCCGCAGGCCCACAGCGCCGGAGCCCCGCAGGAATCATGCCCAGGTCCTTCCTGGTCAAGAAGGTCAAACTTGACGCGTTCTCTTCGGCCGACCTGGAGAGCGCCTACGGACGCGCCCGCAGCGACCTCGGCGCGCCACTGCACGATAAAGGTGAGCGCTGGTCTGAGACCAGGGCGCGGGGCCTGGGGCTTTGCTGGAAGCGGTGGAGGGCCAGAGTGTGGGGGCGGAGGGCAGGGCCCGGGGAAACAGACTGAAGGGAACCAGAAACGGCAAGAGTCTGTGGCTGGAGCCTGGACGGTAGAGGGGAGGAAGGGGAACACAGAGGCCAAGGCTGGGCAGGGAGAGTGTCGACGTTGGACAGAGGGTGGGGAAGAGGATCAGGAACTGAGGTACCCAAACGCACACATGGACCCACATCCTGACCCATGCTGGGACAGACACAGCCGCATGGGCGCTGCCATGACGGGACCCAGCCATGCCGGCACACACAGACCTACACTCAAGAGACCAGGGCCGCCTCGCCACCCTCTCCTCTTCCTTGACTGCACCAGGACACCTGCTAGGGTTAGCTGGGGAATGCAGGGAGCTCCAGGGAGTAGGCAGGGGGTCCAACAGGGCCGCCCACCTGTCAGAGCAGAGGGCCAGCAGAGGCAGCAGCAGTCTCTTCCCTGAAGCCTGGGTCAGGGAGAGGAAGCAGGGAGGAGGCTGTGAGCAAGGGACGCCCAAGGTGTGGGAGGCAGGGGGAGGCTCTTTGTGTAAGGGTGCCCAAGTTCAAGGACAACTGTCAGCATGCAGGAGAGGGGGACAGGAGTGCCAGCAGCATGGGGTGGCAGAGCAAGTGTGACCTGCAGGAGTGTGAGCCTGTGTGGGTCCATGTGACTGTGTGTGGCCATGTGACCGTGTGCGCTTGTGTGTGACCCTGTGTGTGTGTGTGCTTGCCTGTGTGCCACTACATGGGACCATGTGACTCTGAGGCCGCTGTGCACCATGTGACTTGAGAGTGTGTCCGGGGTGACTGCATGTGTGACCCTGCGTGAGTGAGGAGGTGGTGAGTTCGGCACATCAGTGTGCAGCCCACCCTGTGAGGGCACACAAGGGCTGATCATGCTGGGAGACTGGGTGTAGCCCTGAAGGAGGCAGAGCGTCGCGAGGGGCGTGCATTTGTGACTTTGAGGTTATGAGATCCATCTTGTGCCTGGGGAGCAACTGCAGCTACCGGTATAAGTGATGCTGCCCTCCTGCAGCTCGTCCCTGTGAAAGTGGACGCCCTGGCCCTCTCTGCACAGTTCAGGGGCTTGGGAAGGCCCTGAAAGGGGTTAGGGTGTGAGCAGGAGAGGGCAATGTTGAACAGGGTAGGACCCAAGGGTGCAGGATGGTGAGAGGGAGTTCGGAGGAGAAGCAGAGTGCATGGAGGAGCAGGGAGGGCAGGGTCAAGTCCAGTGGGTGGCCGGAGAGCTGAGGGAGGTGCTGGTGAGGCCGGAGGGAACTGGGGGAGGGAGACGTCTTCAGGGCTTGTTGGAGGAACCAGAAGGCCAGAGGGGGTCAACATCAAAATGGAGCGCACGTTCTGCAGGCCAGAGGGAGAGCCGGCCAGGACCCCGGAGAGGTGGGACAGACGGGGTCCCTGGGCCGGCAGTCCTGGCTTTGTGCGCCGCGGGTCTGCAGTGTGTTGCATAATCAGGGAAAACTGCTGAAGTGGGGAGAACCCGAGGGGGAGGGGAGGGTGGGTGGGGGAGGAGGGAGAGGGAAGCGCCGCCCCTCCCCCCTGACCTTGAGGCTCCGCGGAAGGGGGGCAGCCGCGCCCGAAGACGCGCCTCTCTCCTCCTCTCTGCGAGGGTGGGGCGGCGGGGGCGGAGCGTGGCCCGGCCCTGTCTCATCCTCTCCTCCCCTCTCTTCCCCTCCCTGCTGTCTCCATCCTCCCTGCCCGGCGGTCCCTCGGCCTCCTCTCCTTTGTCCTCCTCCCTGTTCGCCTCTCTCCCGGACCCGGGTCTCCCGGTCCGCGTCTGCTGTCTCCCGCCCCCCCATCCCCCGTGTGTGTCCTGCCGCCGCCCCATTCCCTTCCCGCTGTCCGTCCGCCTCCGCCCGCAGGGTACCTCAGCGACTACGTGGGGCCCTCGTCCGTCTACGATGGCGACGCCGAGGCTGCGCTGCTCAAAGGGCCGTCGCCGGAGCCCATGTACGCAGCAGCTGTGCGTGGAGAGCTGGGTCCGGCGGCTGCAGGGTCTGCGCCGCCGCCCACCCCGCGCCCGGAGCTGGCCACCGCTGCGGGCGGCTACATCAACGGCGACGCGGCCGTCAGCGAGGGCTACGCGGCGGACGCCTTCTTCATCACCGACGGGCGCTCGCGGCGTAAGGCTTCCAATGCCGGCGCTGCCGCCGCTCCCTCCACAGCCTCGGCGGCGGCCCCCGACGGCGACGCCGGAGGCGGGGGCGGGGCGGGCGGGCGCAGCTTGGGATCCGGGCCGGGGGGCCGGGGCGGCACGCGCGCGGGGGCAGGCACCGAGGCGCGCGCGGGGCCAGGGGCCGCAGGTGCTGGCGGCCGGCACGCGTGCGGCGAGTGCGGCAAAACATACGCCACGTCGTCGAACCTGAGCCGCCACAAGCAGACGCACCGCAGCCTGGACAGCCAGCTGGCGCGGCGCTGCCCGACGTGCGGCAAGGTGTACGTGTCCATGCCGGCCATGGCCATGCACCTGCTCACGCACGACCTGCGCCACAAGTGCGGCGTGTGCGGCAAAGCCTTCTCGCGGCCCTGGCTGCTGCAGGGCCACATGCGCTCGCACACCGGCGAGAAACCCTTCGGCTGCGCGCACTGCGGCAAGGCCTTCGCCGACCGCTCCAACCTGCGCGCGCACATGCAGACGCATTCGGCCTTCAAGCACTTCCAGTGCAAGCGCTGCAAGAAGAGCTTCGCGCTCAAGTCCTATCTCAACAAGCACTACGAGTCGGCCTGCTTCAAGGGCGGCGCCGGAGGCCCCGCGGCTCCTGCGCCGCCACAGCTCAGCCCTGTGCAGGCCTAGGGCGGCGGGGCCTCCCCCAGCCAGGTCGGCTCTCAGCAATACGGCCCCCCAGGGAAGTCTTCGCTGGCGTCCGGGTGGAGGGGCCGGAGGGCGGGCCCCTCCTCACAGCAATAGGGGGAGGGGGGCCCGGTCCCACCCCGCCCCGCCCGCCAGGGGCCTTGCCGGCCCCTTCAAGCAATAGGGTCCCGAGGGGAGACCCACCCCGAGCCCCCTCCCCTCCCCTCCAGGGTGCCCCCGGCTTTCTCCCAGCAATAGGGTCGACGAGACCTAGAACCGAACCTCATCTCCGAGTTGGGTCTCTGAAGACGGGGGTGAGGTGAGGTAGGGAGCGCCCTCCTTCTCCCGCCTCTGCGCCCCTGGATCGCGTCGCAGGGACTCAGGTCTTCCCCACCCCTTCCCAAGCCTTCTAGCGCAGGGCCTGCGGCCCAGACGTCCAGGGAGCCGGCCCCTCCCCGGCAGCAGGCCGGGGCGGAGCAGGAGCGGGCGGGCCTGCAGGGACGCCCCTGCCTAGCAGCCTTCGCGGAACTCCCGGCAGTGTTAGACGCGTTGTGGGTCGGGGAGAGGGGCGGACGGCGGCACCCCCTCCCTCGGGTTGCTTCTGGGGCCTCAGTCGGAGCCGCCCTCCTACCCTCGCCTCGCATCCTCTGCCAAATCCGAATTCTTCCAGCCCAGCTTCCCGGGCTCTGTCCTCCATATCGAATAATAATGACACATATCGAATCGCATGGACTTATCCGACCTCCTCAGACCCCGCTTCCGCCCTGCCCCGGGCCCCCACCCCCCACCCCCGTACCCCAGGCATTCGTGTTGGAGGACGGATTCCCGGGGCCGGCAGGCAGGCCTGGGCGCTGCCCTCTACACACCTCTGTCTTCGCTTTGCGGGTAAAGCCCCCTGGGGGGGTTGCGGACGCGTCGGGTTTCTTTTTCTGTATTTGTACGTTTTATTTATGAACGGATTGCACTCGGGTCAGGGAGGGGGCGCTGAACCCCCATCTTGCCCGCCGACGCCGGGGGCCTGGGATGTCCGGGATTACTTTCCACGCCCCGAGGCCCGCCCCTAGCTGGGAGCCTCTAGGGAGCCTCAGGCCCCGCCTCTCCGAGGCAGGCCCCTCCCCTGAGACCCAGGCCCCGCCCCTGAGACCCAGGCCCCGCCCCCACTCGGTTGCCAACTTTCGCCCGTCTATGCCAAAGCCTCGGCGGCGACCCCGCCCCAAGGGCCCGCCCCATTGGCCGCCGCCTTTGTGACGTCACTGCATGCAGCCCCACCCCTCCTCCCGATCCTACCCGGGGCTGCCCGCTCCCCCTCCCTCTTAGGTAGTCCGAAGCCGACTATAGAGCAATAATGCGCACTGCATGCGAAGCTGCCGCCGCCTCTAGAGTTACTGAGAATCAGGTATCCCCTCGCCCTACCCACCCCATAGGCCCCTAGATCAGGGACGCTGCGCGGGGCCGGCCGCGCAGACTTTCTCCCCACCCCTCCCCGACCCCCACGGCAGAGCCCGGCGGCTGTAATGGTTCCATGGGCGGGGGTGGGGTGGTTGCCCCCAAGACCCCTCCTTCAGGCATTAATCATTCACTGACCGTTCATTGAGCACCTACTATGTGCCAGGCCAATTGCTGAGTCCGCCAGGAGCGCAGCCACCTGCTGGGAGGTGTGTTTGCAGGACAGGGGTCCAACCGGCTTGGGTGGGCCAGGGAAGAACGGCAGATGCAGAGAGACCAGGTCCCTAGGTTCACATGCCCCCTACACTCCTCCCCACCTCAACCAGTCCCTGCTGGGCACAACTGGGCTCTACCTTTGAGTTAGGCCTTTTGACTCCAGCTGAGGGGGACAGATCCAGGGCTCCTGGGCCCCCACACAGGTGGCCACTTCTCTGATCCTCTGGCCAACACACATCTGCCATGTCCAGCCAGGGGCAGAGCCATGGCTGGAGAAGAAGGTGCCAGCTGTAGCCTATGGTGTGGCCAGCCTCACCCCCAGCAGCAAGCGTGGCTGCCCCCACAAGGATGACCCACCGCTCTGCACAGCAGTGCCCACATCCAAACACCCTACACAACCAGGTGTGGTGCCTGCACAGCTCCCAAGCTGGGGCCTGCCCACCTGTGCCGCATGCACACGCACACACAGGCGCCCCCACCTCACCCCACCCCATACTCCTGTCTACCTACCTAAGGAGAAAGCTGGAGGGCTGTGGGCCCGTCAGGGTCTCCTGCTTCCCCCTACACCCCGCCGCCGTGGAAAGCCATGGGCCCCCTCCCGCCCCCATAACTAAGCAGCACAATAACCGACTTAGCGAATTCAGGTAGAAGGAACGTTTAGGTAGCACCTATTTTGTACTGATTCTACAAGTAGGGCCCGAGGTGCGGGGGCCCTCGGGTGGGGGCTGCGGCCGCCGGCCCGCCCGCCCCCACCCCCGCCTGTGCCCCGCCGCCTTGTACATATTCCCACCCGGAATAGGCCGGGATTTTTACTCGGGCCGTGCCCCTCTTCCGCCCCCATTTGGGGCCAGGCCGGCCGGACAGACGGACGGACGGACAGACCTCCTTCCTAAGCACAATAGCACCAGCTCCCCGGAGCACCGCACCTCCACAAGGAGAATAAATGCCACTCTTGATAGAATTTGGAGTGTCGGGCTGATGTGTCCTGGGCTGGGCCCACGCTGTTGGGTGGCTGGGAGGGTCTTCCCAGTCTGGCAGTACCTCAGAGGCTGGTGCTGCAAGGGTCAGCCTGAGGCCTTTCACAAGACGGCCCTCTTCTTCCACTGGGGAGGGCAGGCTTGGCAGGCCCAACCACAGGAGCATCAGGTCTGAAGGCAAAGTAGTTGGCATTTCCCCTGGGGTAGGTGGATCTGCTCCACACCAGGAACAGGAGCACTAAGGGGTTCCAGTCTAAAGTCAGGCCAAGCCCACGGTTGGACCAGAGTGGGCAGGGTAGGTATAGTAGGAGCTGCTGTTCCCCAGCCTGGGTGCCTTCGCTCTTCTCTCCCTGAAGGAGCTTTATGCTGTGATGGAAGGCCTGATAGCCACCTCAAGCCCTCTGAGATGCTGTTGCAGGAAATGGGGACAGTGGAGAGTTCGAGGTCTGGCCCTTTTCCTGTGGCCTGCTGCCCACATTCTGACCCCCAGGCTTCCCAGATATGCTCCCCCAGTGTCTGCGGATGCCTCCATGGATAGCTGGGTTGGACCGGTTCCAGGGAGGAGGTGCCCAGGGGGCAGAGAGGCTTCTGCAACCATCGCCCAAGGGCTCTAGACAGAATGAGTAGTGGAGGAGATAAGGGACAGGGACCCTTTGCCCAGCAATGTCCCCTGGTAACCAGGTAGGCAGGCATGAGCCGAGAGGCCCAAAGTCTTCGGGCACATACATTCAAACCAGGTCAGTCCTAGATCCAGGGCCAGCAAAGCTGCCCACACCCTAGCAGGGACAGGGGACAGACCTGCCCAGACTCCACTAGGGTGGAGAGCAGGGGAACCAGGTCTGCAGCATGTCATGGCCTGTGTGCCTGGCACTTGGAGGAGCTGTGGTGCAGGTGGGTGCTCTCTTTGGGAGAGCACTACCAGCAATGACAATGGCAGACAGCAATGGCCAGGAGGAAGGCTCCTAGCCTCACTCCTTCCAAAGGACTCCAACAGCGACTGGCTGTTTCTACTTCTCCAGGATTCTGATGCGTAGAGTGGGTGGAAGGATGGAGGTGGCCTCCCTGAGGCCTGGGATGAGCTCGACCCCCCAGTTCCTCCCAGCCACAGACACAAGTTTCCCTCTGAATGAGCAGCACAGGCCATAGACCACCACTGGCTGTGAACTCTCCTGGGACCCTTGCTTCTCACAGGCCTTCTTGGCCCACCCATGGCCCCTAGGCCCTGGGATCAGCCTGAGGCCCCAACCCACTTCCAGCCCTTTATTCCACTAGCCCTGGAAGGCAACTCGCTTCGGGCTTGGGCCCCCTCATTTGTTGCTGCCCCCAGCAGGGTGATCTGCATCATGCTTTCCTCGATGACCCAGCCATACACACCCTTGTCCCCAACCAACCTCACCTACCCTGACCATTCCCCTCACCCTAGATCCCAGGGTATAGGGCCTGTCTGGGCAGGGCTTCACCCACCTCTGGAGCTGCTGCCCCGCCACGCCCCCACCCCCGGTGGCAAAGCCCTTCCTTAATGGCCCGCCCACAGCCAGTGCTTTCCCCATTGGCTCCAAGCCTGGCTCTGCTCACCAGGCCCGACCCATCCTCCCTGGTGGTCCAGTCCACCCTCCCATTGTCTTTCTCCTGTGGCCACTTGCCGGCTTTGAGTTGGGACGCGACCACAGGTTGAGTCGTTGATCTCCTCTGCCTAGCATGAGGTGCTCCGTGGCCAGGTCCAGACCTCTCTGAGCTTGCTGTCAGTCCATACTCAGACAGGTCTGGGCCTACCTGGCCACAGAGTGTGTCTGCCAGCGACTGCATTCAACAAATGAATATTCTGAGAGACTGGGTAGGAGATGGGGCTGGTCCTGACCGACCAAGGCCCATGTGTGAGGGGCTCTTGGGTCCAGTGAGGGCGGCCCCACTCGGCAGGCTACACAAAGGGCATCTGCCAGGTAGCTCCAGCCTGCCTGATACCTGGTTGGCAGCAACCCACAGCGGCCTGTGGTGACAAGAATATGTCACCAGGGGGGCAACCAAGGGGGCAGCCCTGCTGGCCACTGTTGGTGGAGGTGGTGGAAGAGGACGGAGCTCAGAGGCGAGGCTGTGACCAGCCCACGGGAGAGGACCCCACCTCAGGAGGAGCACCTGTTTGCTTCCAGAGAAGTGCTGCTTGCCCCTGCTCACCCCAGAGGAATGAAGGTGTTTCTAGAGTCAGAGTCCTCAGTGAACCCTGGCATCCTGAGATCCAGGATGTTCTCACTCCATGCCCTGTGCAATATGCACACCAAGCCAAGGTGGGCCGCAACTGTGGCTGTTACAGTTGATTAGTTGCTTCATTTAACATACAAGATGTCTGGGGCAGTGGCTCATACCTGTAATCCCAGCACCTTCAGAGGCCGAGGTGGGAGGATTGCGTGAGGCCAGGAGTTCGAGACCAGCCTGGGCAGAATAGCGAGACCCCCATCTTTAGAAAAAATAACAACAGGCCAGGCGCGGTGGCTTGCGCCTATAATCCCAGCACTTTGGGAGGCCGAGGTGGGCGGATCACGAGGTCAGGAGATCGAGACCAGCCTGGCCAATATGGTGAAAGCCCGTCTCTACTAAAAACAGAAAAATTAGCTGGGCGTGGTGGCACGCGCCTGTAGTCCTGGCTACTCGGGAGGCTGAGGCAGGAGAATCGCTTGAACCCAGGAGGTGGAGGTTGCAGTGAGACGAGATCGCGCTACTGCACTCCAGCCTGGCGACAGAGTGAGACTGTCTCAAAAAAAGAAAAAAGAAAACAAAAAACAACAGGGCGGTTGCACAGGCCGTGCAAATGCACAGAAGCCTCTTGAGTCCCGGCGATCCAGCGGCCCAGACTTCTGACATCCTGGAGAGGCTGGCCCACGTTGGAAACTGGGAGGCCCTGAGAGTTGAGGGACGTGGAGCTCCTTGTGGAGAGAGTGGGTGGGCTGAGAAGACACCACCAAGGGGCCTGCGCCCTCGCCCTCGCCCTCGCCCTCCTCTCGCCGGGCTCTGCAGGCGGGGAGGTGGAGAGCCTGGGAGTCGCGTGCAAGGCAGGCGTCCCGGTGACGCAGGGCCTGGTGCATTTCTCCAGCTTGGTCTTCTGACCTGGCCCTTGTCTGACGTCCCCCTAAGGCGAAGAAAAGCAGGTTCCTGCCGGGGTAACCAGAGGGCTCGCGGAGCAGAAGCGCGCCAGGGACGTTACTGTAAGCTGCGTGCGCAGAAACCAACGCGCTGGGTGGCGGGCGACGCGAGCCGCCGCGGACACCGGCCCGGACAGCTGGACCGTGGCGCACTAGGCGCTTCCTAAATGATTGCCCGGAGTGACTCGCCGAGACCCCGTGTGTACACAAGTGGGACGAGGGGCGGGCGCACAGCGGCCAGGAAGTCGGGGCCCAGCGCACCCCTCAGCGGACCATCCCGCTCCGTGGGGCCGGACAGGACCCCGGGACCACGCGGGAGCGATGCAAGGTCCGTTCCCGCTGCGCGCACTTGCGGCCCGCAGCCCCGGCCCTGGGAGCTGCCACGGCTCCCAGGGTGCTCTGCGCCGGTGCGGCCGCGGCGACTACGACTCCCAGGGTGCTCTGCGCCGGCGCGCCCGCGGCGACTACGACTCCCAGGGTGCCCTGCGCCCCGTCAGCCTCTCCAGGCCCCGCCTCAGGTCGGCCGCGGACTACAAATGGACGAGAGAGGCGGCCGTCCATTAGTTAGCGGCTCCGGAGCAACGCAGCCGTTGTCCTTGAGGCCGACGGGCCCGACGCGGGCGGGTTGAACGCGCTGGTGAGGCGGTCACCCGGGCTACGGCGGCCGGCAGGGGGCAGTGGCGGCCGTTGTCTAGGGCCCGGAGGTGGGGCCGCGCGCCTCGGGCGCTACGAACCCGGCGGGCCCACGCTTGGCTGCGGCCGGGTGCGGGCTGAGGCCATGGGCGACCGCGGCAGCTCCCGGCGCCGGAGGACAGGGTCGCGGCCCTCGAGCCACGGCGGCGGCGGGCCTGCGGCGGCGGAAGAGGAGGTGCGGGACGCCGCTGCGGGCCCCGACGTGGGAGCCGCGGGGGACGCGCCAGCCCCGGCCCCCAACAAGGACGGAGACGCCGGCGTGGGCAGCGGCCACTGGGAGCTGAGGTAGCGGAGCGCCTGACCCCCTAACCTCTGACCCAAGGGCCCCGCGACTTTCCGGGGTTGGCCGAAGCGCGAGCTCCGAGTCCGAGAACATGGGCCCTGGGCTAAGCGGGGATCGGTGTGCCCTATGGGCCCTGTGGGGAAACTGAGGCTTGGGGAGAGTCACCTGACAAGGTCACTGGGTAGGGGCTCTGGAGCTGGCCTTGGCCAGGCAGAGGGGAGCCGGCAGGTGTCCCGCATCCAGATCCTCTTGGGTCTGTGCATCCTCAGGGGCTCCTGAGGAGCTTTTCGAGGGGCGGGCTGGTGGGGGCCCGGCCCTGGACAGTGTCCCCTTATATGGAAGGAGTCAGATAAGATCTGGGCAGTTTGTGGTGATAGGTTCCTTCTTGGTGCTATGAGCGGTGCCTTGCGGGTAGGAAAGGCTCCCAGAGGAGGGCTGGCCTGCCAGGGAGGGGGCCAGAGGAGCCCAGGCCTGTCCGAGGACAGGGGAATCAGCAGCTGCCCCGGACAAGGGGCAGTGTTAGAGGCGTTCTTGTCCTTGCAGACCCTTCTGAGAGTGGCTGCGTGGCCCATTCATTGCTCCAGTGGTTAGGCTGGCCTGGAGCCCTGCCGATGTTGCCAGAGCCAGCGTCTGTTGTAGGGACAGAGAGTTGGGTTCTGTGTTGGGACTTCCATCCTCCAGGTGGGGAGTGGGGTATGGGGGTGGTGGACACACCTGCAGGCGTGTGCCCTGCTCAGCTGGATGACTGACAGAGAGGGGTGGAGGGAGAGAACCATGGCCGATGGGAAGGACTTGGCCAGCCTGGGCATTGGCTTCCTCCACCAAGCTGGCCTTGAGCAATCCCCTTGCCACCCTCCATCCCCCCTTTATGGCCTTTACCCTGGCCCAGGGGCCCTCAGGGCTTTGTTTTAGAGAGCAGCTGAGGGCCTAGAGGTTATCAAGGCAGAAGTGGGCTGATTTTGGACATGTAGTTGGCAATGATTTGCTCTCTCAGTGAGCAAGAACAGAGCTTTCCTTCACGGGGCACCATGGGGAGGGGGTTGGGGGAGGGCAGGCACTGTCGTGGCCCTCAGGGTGCTCAGTTCATCTGGGAGATAAGATAACCTCAGCGAGAGTCAGGCATGGAGCAACATGGACAAAGGTCGGGCACGGAGGCCTTGAAGGGGCCGTGGGGAGGAGGGTGGCCCTCCTGAGAGGGGTGCTTGCCTGCTGTGGGCCTGGGGTGCTGGTGAGGGAGGCTGGCCTAGGCACCTCCTACCTGAAAAGGAGGTGTGGCTCCTGGAGTTACCCTCTCTCCAGGAGGCAGGGGGATGGCTACATGACCTGTGGAGGACGTGGGAATTGAGATTTCTTTTTTTTTCTTTTCTTTTTTTTTGAGACTAGTTTTGCTCTTGTTGCCCAGGCTGGAGTAAAATGGCACATTCTTGGCTCACTGCAACCTCTGCCTCCCAGGTTCAAGTGATTCTCCTGCCTCAGCCTCCAGAGTAGCTGGGATTAGAGGCGCCCACCACACCCGGCTAATTTTGTATTTTTAGTAGAGATGGGGTTTCTCCATGTTGGTCAGGCTGGTCTCGAACTCCTGAACTCAGGTGATCCACCTGCCTTGGCCTCCCAAAGTGCTGGGATTACAGGTGTGAGCCACCGCGCCCGGCCGGGAATTGAGATTTTTTTTAGTGTGAGATGAGGGTAGTCCCAGCTTTGGGCCAAGCCGCCACCTGGGGGTAGGCAGGGGAGAGCAGTCACCTTCTTGCTTTGCAAACCAGCAAGGCTTTCCTGTACTTCTGCTGGTGTGGGATGGGTGCAGAGCTCGTGGGAGAGGCCTGGTGAGTCCCTGTCCCTGCCGTGGAGGTCGGGTCTCCTTGGGAAGAGGGGCAGTAGATGGAGAGGTGAGGCCTTCATGGGGCTGGAGGCTGAGACCAAAAGTCTATCTGCTCCTGGGTCTCCAGGACTTGCAGGCTATGTGTGCTTGTCCCTCAGACCTAGGGATGCAGCAGGGCTCGGCCACTGGCTGTGGACACTGGGCTCTTCTCCCTGCTGTCTGCGTCAGGCCTTGCTCTGCCTGCCCTCCTGGGACTTGGCCTCTAGCGCACCCCCTTGTCAGCCTCACAGCCTCCCCTCCCTCCAGCTTCCTGCTGCTCTTGGCCCAGCCCAGCCTTTCCTCTCCCGCTTCCTCATTACTCCTTGAGCTCGGGCCTCCTCCCCTCACGGACACTTCCTGCTCACCTAGGGCTGGGCTCTGGGTGTGAGCTCCTTTCTTCCGGCCCCGTGGCAAGGTGAGGCTGTGAGGCAGGCAGGAGAGGGCACCCCTTTCTGCTCTGCTTGTGGCTCACTCCTGCCAGGCTCTTTGCACACACCCACCAGCCCTCTGCTCACAGGCACCCCAGTCGGGGCCATCCGGTTTCTGGCTTCTCCCAGGGTGTTTTGTCCCTGAGGTGTCCTTTCTGACTCTCCCTTTCTCTCTCCAGCAGGGTCTGCGAGGTGCAGGGAGCCTGCCCCAACCATCTTGAACCCAGGCCCAGCCCAGAGGCCAGAGTGGAGGAGGCGGCAGTGAGCAGAGCTGGACTCTGCCCCCTCCTCATTGTGCTTGGCCCTGGAGCTGCACTGTGTGGGCCCCAAGTGTGGGACTCACTGGGACCTGTGCCTTTGGGCACACTTTGAACCTGGAGACAGGGTGGCGGGTGGGCATGTGCCAAGGTCTCAGTGTTGCCGTGAGACTGAGAGGATCCTGCTGGCTGGGTGGGCCTGGGGGCTGCAGGAGGGAGGGCAGGCTGCTCCGAGTCTTCTTGGACTAGGGAGTGGGTGTAGGGACAGCTGGAAGGTGCAGAGGCTTGGGCAGATCCTCCAGTCAGTGAGAGGGTGATAAAGGTGCTCTAGGCACAGGGGCAGATCCCACCTCCCCATGCCGTTCCATGCAGCCTGCCCTGTAGCCCACATGCTGCTGGCCGCACTGACTGCTTGGAGCTCTGTGGGCACTGGTGGACTGGGGCTTCCTCCTCATGGGGGCCTGTGAGGGGTAGGGGTAGCGCAGTGGGGGTGCTGCCTCTGGGTGGGGCTGGTCAGGCCTGTGAAGGGCCTGAGGTGAGGCTGTGGCTGGGTTGAGGAAGGCCTTGGAAGCCTGTCAAGGGGCCCCTGAGAAAGCTTGTGTAGGATTGTCTGCAGTGAGCTTTGGGAAGCACCACCCTTTCCCGACTCCTGTTTTCATCTTGGAGATGGGCATGGATAAAGCCAGCATGGTGTCCTTGGTGGCTCAAAGGGGGCAGGGGTCATACTGCTGTGAAACAGCTGTGGTTGGTAGGTCGTGGTACAAGAAGGCCAACCCTGAGGCTTGGGATTGTTCTGCTGAAAACAAATGGGCTCGAACTTGGGGAAGAGGGGGCAGTGGAGAGGCCCCCAGACAGACAGCCCAGAGAGGCTGCTGGGCAGTTGGGCCTCGTGCCCCTGCTCCCGTCACGGTGCTGGGGCTCTGGCGGTGTCTACACCCAGCCTCCTGGTTGTGGGCAGGCAGTGAGTGGAGTAGGCTGGGGAGATGAGCCAAGGGCGGTGGTCAGTTGGGAAGACAGCTGCCAACTTGGGGAGGAGGGAGGCTCTGGTGGAGACCACAGCCTCACTGCATGGCCCAGGATGGACCTGGTGGGTGGATGCAGGGCGCTCAGGCTGGAGCTGGGAGAGGCAGGGGCTGGGTGGAGCTGCCTGCCCCTGTGTTCCAGTCTAGATGGGCAGAGGGAAAGGTGTGAGCATCCTCCCTGCCTGGGGGTCTTGGGGACTAGTGTAGACTTGTCCAGGAACTGTGTAGGTGTAGATGGGGCATGTGTTGCACCAACCTTGGTCTTGGGGAGCAAAGGTTGGGCTTGTTGGCATTGCCTCTCGGCCTCCCTGGCCCTTTGCCTCCTGGGCAGGGCCGTCTGACTGCCGACCCCAATCCTAGCCAGCTTGCCTTGGGTGCCCTGAGGGCGTCTGCCTCATGGGGCTCCTGCCATGGCTCTCAGGCCCACTCTCCCTGCCTAGGGGCTCTGAGGGGCAGATGTGCGTGTGCGGGAGGGAAAGGGAGGCTCTGGCCTCTCCTCTTACAAAGTTGAGGACTTGCTCAATGCTGTGTGTGGTGTCCCAGTGGCACGGCAGATGGGGGGTGAGGCGGGCCTGCAGCTAGTGTATATGAGCCAGCACTGCTTCCTAGGACGTGTGGGGGCCTGGCCAAGCTCTTGCTGTCCTTGTCCTAGCTATATGGCAGTCCCTCTATTGGGCTGGGTGCCCTCTTCCACCTGTGCAGTATGCTGAGGACCAGGCAGGGTCTGCCTGTGCCCCTCCAGCGCTGGTTGGGAGATCATGGGTGGGTGCCTGCCTCTGTTGGAAGCCTCTCAGCCAGCAGGCACCTAGCCCCGGGTGGGTTCCTTTCAGCCCCCTCAGCCTGGGCACACATCACAAACAAGTGGAGGCTACACCGGCACACGAGGGCTGGATCCCTGCCTCTGGGAAAGTGCATGTCAGGCTGGTGTGTGGCTGGCGCCTGGCCTGCCTTTGCCAGTTTGAGCCTGCACGTCCAAGTGTGGGGACCCCTTAGCTCCCGGGTGCTGGGATGGGCCAACTGAATAGGGTGGACTCAACCCTCACCACTTGGTCCCCACAGTGCTGGGCAGTGCCCCCTGGTCCATCCCCAGGTTGGACCCTGCTTGTGGCCCCAGTGCTAGTCCACAGCCAGAGTACATGGCAGTGGCCAGAGGCCTCTGGAGAGTGAGGCCTGGAGTGTCCAAGCTCCATGTAGGTCCAGTCCGGGCAGGGCCAGCTGGGCTTGCTTCTGACCCTGACATGCTCGTCCCGCTGCCTGGAGGTGCAGGCTCTGGGGGTCCGGAGAGCTTTGCCCACTGTAGGTCTTGAGGCCACAGTGTGGCTCTGCCTGGCTTCTCCTCCTGGTTGTAAATAAGGAGTGGGGCCTGAGGGCAGACGAGGACACTGGGGTGGGGGCCTGGATCCTGCGGGGGTGGCGCTGCCCTGCTGGTGCCCACTCAGGGGGTGCTTGTGTTGTGCTCTGTCAGGTGCCATCGCCTGCAGGATTCTTTATTCAGCTCTGACAGTGGCTTCAGCAACTACCGTGGCATCCTGAACTGGTGTGTGGTGATGCTGGTGAGTGGGACATGGTGTCGGGAGCGGGTCTAGGTCCAGGTGGGGCTCTGTCCCAGGCTGGCCTTTGCCTGAGAACAGGCTCTGTCACCCAGGGTGTCCAGGCTGGAGCCCCTGTGGGCTGGGGTGTGTGGAGCAGGCTGCACCTCCATGTGGCTGCCAGCACTGGACTGTTGGGGAGGGGAGTGGCAGTGGCTGCCCCTGCTGTGGTCACTTGGGTGCCCATGCACCACATACTTGCTGCTTCCCATTGGATCCCAGGAGAGCCCTGCAGATGTGGTGTGGGCGTGGGGAGGCCGAACAGTGCCTGGCTGGAGCCTGTGTGTTGTGAGCTGGGCCTGAGGGGTGCAGGGCCTCCAGGGAGGGCAGGGTGGAGGGGGTCTTGCCCTGGGCTGGTGGGAGAGTGGACTGCATGCTCTGTGGACACAAGGCCTCTCTGGCAGGGGATGTGAGAAGAGCTTCCTGTGCTACGCCACATGGCCTCTGTGGGTATGGAGCCCTGCAGGCCTGGCCACCACTCTGCAGTCCTCCTGGCCCCTTCCCTCAGCTGTGGGTCCTAGGAGCCCCCCAGGAAGGTGATTAGATGGAGCCCTGTGCCACGTCCAAGGCCTGCTACCTCTGGGCCTGGTTCCCACTGGCACTTCGTGGGGTGGGGCTGCCAGCCCCACCCCAGAAGTAGTTGGAGTCTAGGGCTCAAAGGGGCACCTGCAGGGCAGGTCGGGGACAAGGGCTATCTGGGCCCAGCCTCCCCAACTCAGGGCTGATGTGGCTCGAGGCCTTTGACCTTCACCCAGGCGTGTCTATCTCTGGCCTTGGGTGCTGCTCCTGTGGCTACCCACGTGGAAGGGGCTCCACGCACATCCACATCCCCCACCGCCCATGGTCCTAGAAGGTTCCCTGGGGGTGGCCAGCTGTGGAGGCCCACGAGTCCTGGTGGCTGAGAAGCTGGCCAGGCAGGAGGACAGTGGGCCCAGCGCCAGCCCAGCACTCAGGAGACGCAGCCCATTCCTGGCCCAGGTTGGGCCTTGTCCAGCCCAGGCAGCACTGTGTATTCTCCCCAACCCCTTGGGCCTGCCTGGCCCTTTGGCCCAGCCCTGAAGCCTTTTCCCTGCTTTGGCTCCCCCATGCCCCCACCCCAGGCATGTATCCCGCTCTGGGCTGCTTGTTGCATTCCTTCTGTGGCCTGGGCCTGGAGGTGGGTACCGTCCATTGGCAGCTTTGGCTTCTGCCTGCTGTCAGCCCTCGGGAGAGGCCAGTGACAGTGTGGGCCACGTGTCCATGCAGAAGGCCTGTGTGTCAGCCCTGCGGCCGGGGGAGGCGGGGCAGTAGCCCTTGTGTCTCTGAAGCAGTCTTCTCTCTCATGAAGCCTTCCCTGACCACCCAGGCAAGACACCCTCAGTGTTCCCTTGCCAGCGACCCTTTTCCCCAGCACCAGTTCACTACCGCATGAGGCCCGAGCTCCGGGTGGTCAGCCAGGTCTGCGGCATTGGGGCCCAGCTTAATGGAGGTGTTGGTAGTGCTTGTAAGATGGAGGAGGAGGTTCCTGTCCTTGCAGAGGGAGGCCAAGCACCCAACTCCAGGCTCGTCCCAAGAGCCTTATTCCATGGGGGCTCAGTCCTGGGAAGTTGCTTTGGAGCCAAGTGTCCAAGGCTTAGAGGGCGGCAGGAAGCAGAAGAGGCAGGCGGGGCACAAGCCCTGGGAAGCACTCCAGGCCCAGCCCCCCTTGCGACACAGCTGGACACTGCTCCTGCAGAGAAAGAGTAGACAACTCCCCCTCTTCAGCCTTGGCCACCAGTAGGGACTGGTTCCTTGGGGCTCAGCCGTGGGCAGGCCTCCCTGGGCAGGCCTGTATTCTGGGGCTGTCTCTGGGGTGTGGTTGGCTGTGGGAGCCTTGGGTCCCTCACTGGCTCGGCTCAGCAGGAGGGATGTGAGCAGATCAGCAGCTGGTCTTTCTGCTCCTGAAGACCCAGGCGTCTGGCAGGGTTGGTTGGTCTGGCCGGTTGGTTCCCTCCATGTGGGACCGTCTGGTGTGATGGGGACAGGGAGGGACTTCCCCTTACCCAGCACTGGTGTTGGCTGAGGTGGGTGCTGAGTCTCAGAGCTTGGCATGGAGACCAGACAGGGCTGGGTCTGCAAGCCTGAGGCTGCCGCCCTGAGCTCGGGCTGGGACGTGCCCAGAGGTGTTGGGAGGATCTGGGGTGAGTACCCTGTGGCCAGGACTAAAGGGGCTGCACCCTCCTGTCCATCCCTCGCAGATCTTGAGCAATGCCCGGTTATTTCTGGAGAACCTCATCAAGTGAGTGCCTTTGCCAGGTCCCACCCCTGCCCCACCCATGGCCTGTCCAGGCCCCGCCCCACAGCCCCACCTGCCACCCACTCAGACCCCCATCCCTCCACCCCCAGGTATGGCATCCTGGTGGACCCCATCCAGGTGGTTTCTCTGTTCCTGAAGGATCCCTATAGCTGGCCCGCCCCATGCCTGGTTATTGGTGAGCTGGGCTCTGAGGAGGGCCTCGGGTGGGGATCAGGCTGACGTGGCCCTAAACCTGCCCCTTGGTGCTTCTGTCCACAGCGGCCAATGTCTTTGCTGTGGCTGCATTCCAGGTTGAGAAGCGCCTGGCGGTGGTAAGCAGTGCCCCTCACCTCCGTGTGTGCTCACCCTGCTGTGTGCGCTCCTGGGAGGAGCTGCTCCCCAGGCCTGGCAGCCCTCTCCCAGGCAATGGGAGCCCTGGTTGAGTGCTCTGCTCCCCACTCCAGGGTGCCCTGACGGAGCAGGCGGGACTGCTGCTGCACGTGGCCAACCTGGCCACCATTCTGTGTTTCCCAGCGGCTGTGGTCTTACTGGTTGAGTCTATCACTCCAGGTGCGCCCCCATCCCACCCTGCCCATCTGTCTCGGGCCAGCCACGGGCATGGCCTCCGGCTGTGGCGCTGTGGAGGCCTGAGTCCACCTCTCCTGCAGTGGGCTCCCTGCTGGCGCTGATGGCGCACACCATCCTCTTCCTCAAGCTCTTCTCCTACCGCGACGTCAACTCATGGTGCCGCAGGGCCAGGGCCAAGGCTGGTGAGGGGCTGCCAGGGGCTGGGGCTGCCTGCTGGGGGGCTGGGCAGCAGCAGGGCCCCACCAGCCCCCTCCCACTCTGCTGTGCTCGTAGCCTCTGCAGGGAAGAAGGCCAGCAGTGCTGCTGCCCCGCACACCGTGAGCTACCCGGACAATCTGACCTACCGCGGTGAGGACCTCTGTGGGCCTGAGGTGCGGGGGACAGGCTGGGCCTGTTCTGGTACCAACCCCCCATTCCCATTCCAGATCTCTACTACTTCCTCTTCGCCCCCACCTTGTGCTACGAGCTCAACTTTCCCCGCTCTCCCCGCATCCGGAAGCGCTTTCTGCTGCGACGGATCCTTGAGATGGTGAGGTTGGGGGCTGGGGGCAGCCACTGGAGGCTAGGGGGCCTTCTGGCTAGCCAGGGCCTCAGCTGGCTGCTCTCTGTTTCCCCCCCAGCTGTTCTTCACCCAGCTCCAGGTGGGGCTGATCCAGCAGGTAAGTGGGGTAGGGCAGGGTTGGGTGTAGCTGGGCATGGCTGGGAGCTGACGTGGTGCCCTCCTTTGCAGTGGATGGTCCCCACCATCCAGAACTCCATGAAGCCCTTCAAGGTGAGTGGCTCAGGTGCTCTTGCAGCTGGGGTGGCTGGGGAGTGACCAGGAGCATGGCTAGCTGAAGGGCTTGTTTCTGCAGGACATGGACTACTCACGCATCATCGAGCGCCTCCTGAAGCTGGCGGTGAGTGCGGACAGGTGGCGCATGCACAGGACAGGAGGGGACAGTGGCATGTGGGGGAAGGTTCTAGAACTTGGTGCCCACCCCCACCTCCCTGCCAGGTCCCCAATCACCTCATCTGGCTCATCTTCTTCTACTGGCTCTTCCACTCCTGCCTGAATGCCGTGGCTGAGCTCATGCAGTTTGGAGACCGGGAGTTCTACCGGGACTGGTGGTGAGTGTCCCTGGGGTGTCCCTGGGGGCTGGGATGGGCCATGGTGTGCTCTGATCCCCCTGTGGTCTCTTGGCCCCCAGGAACTCCGAGTCTGTCACCTACTTCTGGCAGAACTGGAACATCCCTGTGCACAAGTGGTGCATCAGGTAGGTGGGGTGTGTGTGTGTGTGATGTGGAACATGGCTGTGAACCTGAACCGCTTTCCATGCCCCCTCCTCTGCAGACACTTCTACAAGCCCATGCTTCGACGGGGCAGCAGCAAGTGGATGGCCAGGACAGGGGTGTTCCTGGCCTCGGCCTTCTTCCACGAGGTCAGTGCTCTGGGGGGCATCTTGCCTCATCCCTGGGCAGGGGTATGCCCACAGCAGGGACGGCTGACACCCCACTCCCTGGCATCCTCTCTCCCTCCCATCTCAGTACCTGGTGAGCGTCCCTCTGCGAATGTTCCGCCTCTGGGCGTTCACGGGCATGATGGCTCAGGTGAGTGACCCCCACGTGGCCTCCTCACTCGCCCAGTTACCCCGCACCTGAACCCCTCGGCTGACCCTCCCCATGCCCAGGGACCCTGAAGCCCCCAGCCCTGTGGTCACCATGGCCGACTGACTTGGCCCCTCACTCCCTAGATCCCACTGGCCTGGTTCGTGGGCCGCTTTTTCCAGGGCAACTATGGCAACGCAGCTGTGTGGCTGTCGCTCATCATCGGACAGCCAATAGCCGTCCTCATGTACGTCCACGACTACTACGTGCTCAACTATGAGGCCCCAGCGGCAGAGGCCTGAGCTGCACCTGAGGGCCTGGCTTCTCACTGCCACCTCACACCCGCTGCCAGAGCCCACCTCTCCTCCTAGGCCTCGAGTGCTGGGGATGGGCCTGGCTGCACAGCATCCTCCTCTGGTCCCAGGGAGGCCTCTCTGCCCCTATGGGGCTCTGTCCTGCACCCCTCAGGGATGGCGACAGCAGGCCAGACACAGTCTGATGCCAGCTGGGAGTCTTGCTGACCCTGCCCCGGGTCCGAGGGTGTCAATAAAGTGCTGTCCAGTGACCTCTTCAGCCTGCCAGGGGCCTGGGGCCTGGTGGGGGGTATGGCCACACCCACAAGGGCGAGTGCCAGAGCTGTGTGGACAGCTGTCCCAGGACCTGCCGGGGAGCAGCAGCTCCACTGCAGCAGGGCGGGCATGGCCGGTAGGGGGAGTGCAAGGCCAGGCAGACGCCCCCATTCCCCACACTCCCCTACCTAGAAAAGCTCAGCTCAGGCGTCCTCTCCTGGTGCTACTCCTGCTGGGTGTGCGGGAATCGGCACTCTGGCCCTCAGTGCAGGATGGTCAACTTGCACCCACCGTGCTCAGCTTCAGCTTGGGAAGAGGTCGGCCCTGGGTTTGCGGGAAGTGGGCTCCAGCCAGGATGGCCCAGGGATGGGCAGTCCACAGGGCCTTTCTGGTGTGGGTCTGGTGAGCCGAGGGGCTACGGTACACAATGGCTATGTCCATGGCTATTCGCCTTGGGGCAGGGCTCGGTTTGGCAGCCTCTTTCCTTCACTTGGAACCTGGGCAGCCAGGTGGGCTGGTGGCTCTCAGCTGCCCTCCACGAGGTTGGGGCACCCCTGATCCCCAGGCCTGCCTTGCCCTCTGCTCTTCTGGCACCAGGCTGGGCAGTGCAGACAGCGCAGCCCTGCAGCCTTCAGGACACCTTGTTCCCAGGCCCTGCAATCCACCAAGCTGGATAGATGGGGCCCCCCTTGATGGTAGCGGGAGGTCAGGGGTAACCCCAGGGCCCTGCTGCTGCCTTACCTTGCTGGGGTGACTGCTTGATTAAAGACCCCAAGACTGGACCAGGCCCTGGTGTCCCCAGACCTGCAGCTATGGCCCAACAAGGCAGGTGTTTGAGGAGGCCCTGCACAGGGTCCCAGGACTGCACCAGGGGCCTCATCAGCAACCTGCTGAACTGGTGGTGTGAGGGGAGGGTGGGCTCCCTTGGTGGTATCCTCCCTCTACCCCAGTGGGGGCTGGTGGGCCCTGAGATGGAGGCATCTCCTTGGGCCCTGCTGAGGATGGCAGTAGTGGGTGAGCTCCTGGTGGGGGGATGGGTGTGGGGCCGACTCCTCCATCCCACATGGGCTCCTGTGCCTCTCCCTATCAGTTGGCCAGTGGAGCTCGAGAACAAACTGTTGCTGCCAGATAAAGCAGCAAAGCCTGCTCCACTGCCCAGCGCAGGCCCCCTTCCCTTCCTCCACCAGGCTGAGTGGAGAACCCTAAAGCTACGGGACAGGCTCCCGTTCCCCGTGCCTACACAGGGTGCTGGCTCTGGCAGAAAGACAGTGTGCCCGCCCCGCATCACCTGTCCGAGTGCGAACACCTTGGGAAGGGGGTTCCTGGTGGTCCTGTGACAACCAGAGACCCCCAGGGCCAAGGTGAGGCGCCCACCCCTGGTCCCTCAATAAAGAACTGCAAGCACATGCTGGTCCTGGGGAGTCGGGCAGGCACGGAGCTAGCTGCAAGCATCCGTCTTCCCCCAGGAGGCCACTGCAGCCCGGCCCTTCTGTGCCCTGGGCCCCTCCTCATTGCAGCACCACCCACCGCACCACCCTGGGACAGAGGAAACACATGGAGGCCATAGCATAGAGCCTGTCTGTTTATAGATCTCTGCCTGTCTTGTCCGTCCATCCACTGTGTGTATATATCTGTGTATCTCTGTGGAGCGGGGAACGGGACAGTTGTGTAAAAATCCAAAATACAATTCTGACTATGAACAACCTGCAGGGTCAGTCCAGGTGTGGCTGTGAAGCCCCAACCAAACCACAGGACACGGGGTTGGGGGAAGGCAGACTGGCAGGCCAGGGTGACCCTCCTGACCAGAGGTGCTGCCCAGACCCGAGCCCGTTTGTCCTACTGGGGCTATGGCGGCCGACCCACCAGTGCCCAAGACCGCGAGGCTGCCCTGCCTCCCCAAGACCAGCCCTGCACTGGGGGTGGGGGTGGGCGGCTGGCCCAGCTCCTCCGGGGCCTCTAGGAGACAGTGGGGTCCTTGGCTTTGGGAGGCTCCGAGCCTGTCAGCAGGGAGATGGTGGGGTCCTCGGCGAAGCCGTCCCCTTCGGAGAAGTAGGAGCCCTCTCCCAGCTCAAACAGCACCGGCAGGTCGTTGCTCCCGGTGTCCACGGAGCCGGGGTCCAGCAGGAACAGCGGCTGCGCTGTGTAGTGCACCAGCTGCTTCCCTGCGGGGGTGGGGGTGTCAAGGCGGTGGGGGGTTGGGGGCAGAGGTGGGGCCGGTGGGACTTGGCTCACCTGAATCCGGGCTGCTGTTCTCTGCCTCGGGAGGCCTGGGGGGCTCCTGGGGAGACAGGAGCTCTTGGATCTGTGGGGTGGAGACGGTATTGTGAGCACTCCCGCTGGTCTCGTTCCCCCTCACCCCCCGCCCGCCTACGCACACTGGCCAGGCTGCTGTCAAGGTCAGGCAGGCTCATGTCGGGCACGGTCACCGAGGGGCTGAACAGCTGCGGAGGAGGGAGGGAAGTCAGAACAGCACCCGGGGGCGGGGCGGGGAGGCGGGGCGGGGAGGCGGGGCGGGGAGGCGGGGAGGCGGGGCGGGGAGGCGGGGAGGCGCGGGGAGGCGGGGCGGGGAGGCGGGGCGGCGGCGCGGGGAGGCGGGGAGGCGGGGCGGGGAGGCGGGGCGGCGCGGCGGGGAGGCGGGGCGGGGAGGCGGGGCGGCGGGGCTCCACTCACGTCCAGCAGGGCACTGGTGTCCACGCTGAAGCCGTGGCTGCTCAGCATGGTCTGCAGGTTATCCAGGTTGGAGTCCATAGCATCCAAGTGGTCACTGAGCTCATTCCTGGCCCGGGATAAGGCGGTACCTGAACCAGTGCCCCAGGCCCCACACCCCAATGCCCTCCTGTGGGAGAAGGGCTCCCCTTGACTGTACCCCCCAGGCTGCACCCCCGTGTACGCCTGCACAGGCTGGAGGGGGCAGCGCATTCGAGGACGGCCTGGAAGGCAGTGGAGGCTCTGTGCCCTGCAGGGGTGCGGCTGGGCCTATGCTGGGCATCCCTTTGCCATGAGGGCCTGGGGGCCTTGGTGGCAGTGGACCCAGGAGACAAGGGGCGTATTCAGCTCCAGCACAAGGATCAGGGATTTCAGTGTTCAGGGTTGGTGAGGTTTCCCGTTGCACTGGGAAAACAGGTGGGGCTCTGCTCAGTGTGTGGGTGGCTCAGTCCCTGCCCTGGTGCTGCTGTGGGGATGAGACCCACGGTCTGGTGGCTGTGACCAAGAAAGCCCTAGGCCACAGGGCACACCTGGGCTATGGGACGGACAGCCAGGCTGGGTCCCAGAGGTGCCCTGGAGACCCTGCCTGACAGGAAGTGCAGTCAGCACCGCAGTCTGGATCCTGCCAACACCAGAGGCCGTGCCAGAGCAGGGAGGCCTGTCCCTGTCATCCCTGTCACAGGCAATGACCACAGGCCCGTGGCCAGGGGAGCCATGACGACACTGAGCCCCCGCCACAGAGGGGTCTCGGCTGCTGCCGCCCAGGCCCGACGCTCATGCCCGGCCAGGCTGGGTCTGGTCCACGGCTGTGTGGGAGGGCCCGAGCGCTGGCAGAGCCCTCCTCCCTCCCCAGTGGGGTCAGCGCTAACCCTGGCTGGACTTGGCCATGCGGAGAGGAAGAGGGGCAGGGGAAGAGGCGGGCGACCCTAGACATCTGTGGAGTGCGAGCCAAACTGCAAGATACAAAAACAAGAGCCCCCATTGCAGGCAGGGGCTGGGGGTGTGGAGGCCGGCCCTGCTCACCATCTCCTGCCATGTGTCTGGGCAGCACGACCTGCCAGGGCCCGTGGCCTGTGGCGAGGGTGGCGGCAGCAGGACGGGTGGCTGAGAGCAGGGCCCGGCAGCCTGTCCGGACATGCCCGTGGCTTCTGTGGCGTTTGGGACTGTGGGGTGATCTGGCTGGCACCTGTCTCCCTCCCCAGCCCCGAGCTCCGAGGTTGGGGGTAGGGTCCTGCCTCGCCAGCTGCCCTGCTCAGTCCACTGGGACAGTCGGGGCTGAAGCCCAGGGCTGTGCGTCCAGGCGCTGTGGGTGGGGCCAGGGGTGGGCGGCACTCACTTGTCCAGGCAGGCTACGCTGAGGCACTTTTCAGGGGTGGAGGTGGGCGGGGGGGAGGGAGGCCGGCCCTCGGTGTCCGTGTGGCCCCTGGCGTCCGTGAGGGCTGTGACGGAGGCGGGGGCAGGTTCACTCTCCCGCAGGATGGAGTCAATGAGGGCGGTCGGGGACAAGAGGGTGTCCACGGAAGATGGGCGCCCGGGACTCGCCTCCTCTACCCGGGGGCTCTGAGGCGGGCTGGGGGGCTCCTCCTTGACACGCACCAGGGGGCTGCTGGATAGGGGCCTGCACACGAGGGGGGCCAGGTGAGCTGGCGTCTCGGCCAGCCCCACCTCATCCCCAACTCTGCCCTGGGCCCACAGGGGCTCGCCTCATTGGGGGACAGGATGGCTGGGGTGATGCGGCCCCCACCTCTCGTCTATGCTCCCGCCGGGGGAGGCCATGGGGCTGGCAGGAGCCAGCTCGGTGATGTCGGAGATGATGGGTCCAGAGCTGGCCACAGCATCAGGGGCGTAGAGGCTGGAGCTGCTGTAGGCTGGGGAGGGGGCCTGCAATCAAAGGCAGGAGGTCCATGCAGTGCCGGCAGGGGCAACCCACCCCACTGCCGCCTGCATGCCTGGGCGGGTGCCCTGTCTCCGGCACTCACCGAGTAGGGGCCCGAGCCGTGGACGTGCTCCAGGGAGAACTGCCGGCTATACTTGGGCATGGAATGTGCTGAGCCACTGTCGTTCAGCATCAGGGGGCTGTGGGGAAGGGTGCAGGTCAGCCACCACCCCCCACCTCGGGGTACCCGGGGCACAGCTGACAGAGAAGGGGGACAGCCCTGGGCCCCGGGTGGTGGATGCAGGCATCCCCAAAACCTCACATCTTTCTCTTCACCCCCAGGATCCGGTTTGACTGCACCAGTGAGATCAGGAACTGAATGAGCTGTGGAGAGAGAGGACACAGTTACCCCGGCCCTTGTGGGGCCCCCGCCGGCCCTCTGGCCCTGCCCCCACCTTGTTGACGACTTTCTGTTGCTGGGCATGCTTCTGCCGAAGGCTGGCCACCTCCCGCCACAGAGCCTCATTCTCACTGCAACAGACCAGGCTGGGTCAGTGGGGCCCAATCCCATGAGCCCCAGGGCTGAGGGAGCCCCACAGACCCTCCCTGTCCCCCATGCAGGAGCAGGGGTAAGTGTGACCATGTCTGGCCTGGCCCACCCCAGGATGAGAACTTGTGTGTGGAGGGACTGGGGGCCAGGGCCAGGGCTTGCTGGTCCCACTGCCCCTCCCTGCCGGGGACACCTGGTGTCACGTAGGGTGTTGGGGATGGATCCATGCGAGCCAGGTGCACCCGGATCCTGGCATCCATCCTGGCAAACACCTGGAGGGCTGCCTTGGACACAGGCCAGGAGCAGACCCTTGGGCCGCCCTTCCAAGGCCTGAGCAGCCAGGTTAAGGGAGGACGGTTCTTCAGGCTGCGACACTGGCTGTCCCATGTCCTGTAGGTGCTCAGGGCCCTCGCCAGGCCTGGAGGTGGCTCAGGGGTGGGGAAGAGCTGTCCCCAGCCAGGTGAGCAGGGCCATGACCGCGCTCCTGCTGCTCTGGGAGGCTGGGCCCTGTCAAGCCTGTGAGTCTTCTTGGTAGGCCAGGTCCACGTGGCCGGACTCCAGGAATCACAAAGCCGGTGGCTCCTGCTAGACCCCATGCAGGAGAGTCTGAGGCCAAGGCCTCCTCCATGACGTGGGGGTCAAGAGCGCCTGCTGCACGGAGCCGAGGAAGCCGTACTGGCATTGGGGTTCCCGCATGCCTGGAGCCCCAAAGTGGACGTGAGACCTGAGCTGGCCTTCCGAGGTGGGCTTGCCTCAGTTTCTCAGGTGCCACCGTGTGTTAGGCTCCTGCTAAGGTTTCCCCAGAGCCGCAGGGTCCCGGTGAGGAGGGGCTGGGGGCTAGCTCCATGGGCCCAGGCGAGTGTGGGACAGCGGTTCCAGGAAGGGCCTGAGGTGGGTCTGACCCCAGGCCCGAGGCGGGTGGGACGGGTCTGCTGTGCAAGGCTTGTCCTCAAAAGTAGGCTGGTGGGTCCCGCCAAGCTCGGAGCCAGGCAGAAGCCAATGGCCCAGAGGGCGCTGGGGATGTGCAGAGCAGGGGACCCTCCCAACCCCCTTCTGCACATGGAAAACGGCTGGCCCCAGAGCTGTTGCAGCAGCCACGGGCGGCGGGGCTGGGGCAGAGGCCCAGGGTAGATGTGCGTGGAGCGGGAGGGTGGAGCTGAGCACCTGGCCCCGGTCAGGGCCCTGCCCCCACAGCACCCGGGGCCTCTTGGTGGGCGCCAGGACCCGCTGTGGCCCATAATGCTGGTGTGGGACCTACTGCTTCATGGCCAGGAGCTTGGAGTCCATGCACTCCTGCTTCCCCTTCATCAGCTGCACGTCCGTCAGCAGCTTGGTGACGCTGTCCTGGCGGATCTTTATGTCTTCACTCTTCAGGGTGGACACCTGGATTCCCGAGAGGGACAGGAGTCACTGGAGCAGCCTAGGAGCTTGGCAGGCTCAGGCTCGTCCACTGCAGCCAGGTCCCTCAGGAAGGGGCAGGCTGGGGTGGGAGCCCTCAGGGAGGGGCGGGCGGGGAGAGCTGTGGCAGGTGAGACCGGGCAAGGGTGCAGGGCCGGCACTCACACTGGTCACTTTCCTCTTGATGTTCTCAAGGAGCTGCTCCTGGCCACGCAGGAAGCATGGGTGCTGGAACTCCGTGTCGTCTCTCTCTGGCTTGACCAGGCCGCCCTGCTCGATGTGGACCACTTTCCGGAAGCCATCTGCACATAACAGGGAAGGGGGCAGCTCTGCCTCAGGGCGGGACCAGAACCCCTGAAGAGCGGCCACTGCTCCAGGAGGCTGCTGCGGGGCTTGGCCATGGTCAGACCCTGCCCTGCCCCCTCAGAGCCCATGCCTGGGTGGCCGAGTGGCCTTGGTCTAAGGGAGACCCTGTGTCCCCACAGGGCTCCCTGCGCCCGACACACGTGGAGTACAGCTCCGGCTTCACGGTTCTTCCATGGGGACCCCAGGTTCATACCCACAAGGACCCTCCCCCATGGAAGAGGCGGCTGCTCCCCGGCCCCCAGGCTTGCAGGGTCCCACGCCATGCCCTTGGCCAGCACAGGACGCCCCGTCCTTCATCACAGGGTCCTCCTGCTGGGGTCCCGCCATCTGCAGGTCTGCCTCCCGCACCCCTGCGCTGCCTGGAGGCAGCACTCACACATGTTGAGCTGCCGCACGAAGCTGGCCATGTTGTTGTGCTTGAAGTACTTGGGCAGCACCTCCTTGGCAAACTGGCCCTGGTCGAACACGTGGAAGCTGTTCCCGCTCTGAAAGGGAGACACATGGGTGGGTCACGCGTGGTGGTGAGGGGCAGCGTGCCCAAGCCGCCCCTTCCCCAGGCCGCCCCTTCTGAAACGCAGGCAGTGCACGTTCCACCTGATGGGGCTGGGGCCATGGGAGGCCCAGGGGGCTGGCGGGAGGCGAGTTCGTTCCTGGGACCACCTGCCACACGGGCCTCATCTGTGCAGCGTGACCTGCATCCTCACTGTGAGGCCCAGGACTGGGCGGTGGGCAGATGCGAGGCCTTCCTCTCAGTCGGAAAGCCCCTCCCCAGGGCTTCCAGAGAAGGCCACGTTTCCACTCACAAAGCATCCGCCGCACTCTGGCCACATTTCCACTCACAAAGCACCCGCCGCACTCTGGCCACGTTTCCACTCACAAAGCACCTGTTTAAGCAGGACCTTTCCCTTGGGAACAGCGAAGGAAATGGAGCCCTAATTTCATTACTCCCGAGGAAAACACAGTCGCGTTCAGAAATCCAAATTCAGTCTTGTTTTGTGACGTGAGACAAGAAACAGAGACAGTCAAACACTGCATATACCTTCCTCTTCCATTTCTCTACCGAGCTCAGGCCCAGAGCTATCAGGAGGCGCTGGTGAGGGAGGCATCCCTGTTGGCCGTGGCCGCGGTGGCTCAGAGGGGACATCGAAGGCTTAGGGGACAGCGAGAAGCCCACACGGCGGGGAAGGGGGGCCTGAAGCAGGGCCAGAGAGGGGTGAGGGGTGTCTGCATAGGAAGGGGCGGCTGACTCAGTGAAGAAACTGGTGAAGGGCAGTGGGGCAGGTTTCTCCCTGCCAGGGAAGGGAGCTGCAGATGCAAACAGGGAAAAAGCCAGAAAGACCCCCGTGGTGTGGCACTAGAAGTGGAGAACCTCTTTCCAGCATAGAGAGATGTGAAATACACAGGGATGTACACGTGTCAGGGAGGGAAACGGTCACGGAAAGGACCCCAAGGCAGCAGGAGAGAGACGGCGAAAAGCGCCAAGCCAACTTTCCAGAACTCTGAAAGTTAACCAAAGAATTACAGTAGCACGGGGAGCATTTATTCAAGAAAAACAGCTGAATCTTAGTAAGAACAGTGGGCTTTGTGAACTTTTTTTTTTTCTGAGACAAGGTCTTGCTCAGGCTGGAGTGCACCAGCACCAACATGGCTCACTGCAGCCTCTGCATCCCAGTTCAAGCGATTCTCGTGCCTCAGCCTCCCAGTTCAAGCGATTCTCGTGCCTCAGCCTCCCGAGTTCAAGTGATTCTCCTGCCTCAGCCTCCCGAGTAGCTGACTATAGGCGCCACCACGCCCGGCTCATTTCTGTATTTTTAGGAGAGATGGGGTTTCACCATGTTGCCCAGACTGGTCTCGAATTCCTGACCTCAATCAATCCGCCCACCTTGGCCTCCTGCAGTGCTGGGATTACAGGCGTGAGCCTCTGTGCCCAGCCAGGCTTTGTGGCATTTTACATGCCCTATTCCCACTCCATCTGCAGCCTTAAAAACCAACAGCTGCAGTCCCCGTGGGAACAGCGTCCTGGCAGCCGCTGCGGGGTGGGCCAGGGCTTGAGCTCCTCCAGGGCCCCATTCCCAGAGGACTGTCAGCATCTGACCTAAGAGTCCACTCCCAAGGCTGTCTCTGATTTGACTTGAAGCTCTCCTGAATAAAAAAGCTGTTTGCCGAGGTGTGCCTGTTGAAACCTTTACAGGTGATTTTTGAACGCTGTGGCTGCCTGAGGCAGTGCCTGGCAGCTGGGGAGAAGGAGGTGCCACTAGGGGCTCTGAAAAGCTCTGAGATATTCCAGGACATCTCGCAGCCGTGTACACGTGTGAGCCGTGCCCGTGCTCAGGAAAGACCTGAGCCAGCCCCGAGCTCTCACTTCTGGCTGACCTTGAGGCTCTGTGTAAGCAGGAAGTCAGGCATACAGTTGGGTTGTCCACTGCCTGGCCGAGTGCTGAAGGCGTCCCCAACACACACACACACACACACAGCCCCCGGAAAAGACGGGAGACTCACTGGCCCCAGGCATTCAAGAACATTTCTGCCCCATCACCACCTATCTCAGTTAACTGAACAGAGACGGCAGTGGCCATAAACAAGAAAGAACGCAACCTTTACAGAATTAGTGCCGAAAAGCTACCTGACAGATAACCACGACAAACAGCAGCAATGACAAATCCTGGGGAGGTGGGGGAGTCCGAGCTCCAGAGCTGCCACTCTCAACCGATGAGAGTTCCAGTTTTCCAGCCGGCTGCGCTGGTTCACGCCTGCGGTCCCAGCACTTTGGGAAGCCGAGGCGGGTGGGTTGCTCAAGCTCAGGAGTTGGAGACTGGCCTGGGCAACATGGCAAAACCCCGTCTCTAGAAGAAATACAAAAATTAAGTGGGCGTGGTGGCGCACACCTATCATCCCAGCTACTCAGGAGGCTGAGGAGGGAGGATCCCTTGAGCTCCGGAGGTGAAGGCTGCAGTGAGCTGTGATTGAACTACTGCGCTCCAGCCTGGGTAACAGACTCAAAAACAAACAAACAAACAAACAAACAAAAAACTCTAGTTAAAAAAAAAAATAGAGATATGCAAAGAAACAAGAAGCTAGGACCCATACCCCATACACGGGAAAAAAAAAAAAAGGCAATCAATAGAAACTGTCCCCAAAGAAGCCAAAACATTGGACACTGGACTTACGAGGCAAAGATTTTAAGTCAATCATTTCAAATATGTTCAAACAACTAAAGGAAACCACATCTGAAGAACTAAAGTATGAGAATGACATCTTATCAGAGAGTATCAATAAAGAGATAAAAATTGTAAAGAAGCCCGAAATCAAAATTATGGAGCTGAAGAGTTTAATAACTCAGATTAAAAGTCAACCAGAGGGGCCGGGCGCGGTGGCTCACGCCTGTAATCCCAGCAGTTTGGGAGGCCAAGGCAGGCGGATCACCTGAGGTCAGGAGTTGGAGACCAACCTGACCAACATGGAGAAACCCCGTCTCTACTAAAAATACAAAATTAGCCAGGTGTGGTGGCTCATGCCTGTAATCCCGGCTACTCAGGAGGCTGAGGCAGGAGAATTGTTTGAACCCGGGAGGCAGAGGTTGCAGTGAGCCGAGATCGCGCCATTGCACTCCAGCCTGGGCTACAGAGTGAGACTCCGTCTCAAAAAAAAAAAAAAAAAAAAAAAAAAATTAACCAGAGGGGCTTAAGAGCAGACCTGACTAGGAGAAGAAGGAGTCAGCAAACATGAAGATCAGTCAATTGAGGTGCTCCAGTAGGAGAAAAAAAGACAGAAGGAATAAGAAGGAGGAGCCGGCCAGGCGCAGTGGCTCACGCCTGTAATCTCAGCACTTTGGGAGGCCAAGGTGGTTGGATCACGAGGTCAAGAGATCTAGACCATCCTGGCCAACATGGTCAAACCCCATCTCTACTAAAAATACAAAAAAAATTAGTTGGGCATGGTGGCATGTGCCTGTAATCCCAGCTACTTGGGAGGCTGAGGCAAGAGAATCGCTTGAACTCTGGAGGCAGAGGTTGCAGTGAGCCGAGATTGCACCACTGCACTCCAGTCTAGTGACAGAAAGAGACTCTGTCTCAAAAAAATAAAAACAAAAACAAAAATGAGCAGAGCCTCAGAGACCTGTGAGACACCACAAAAAGTGTAACACAGCCGGGCATGGTGGCTCACACCTGTAATCCCAGCATGTTGGGAGGCTGAGCCAGGCGGATCACCTGAGGTTAGGAATTCGAGACCAGCCTGGCCAACATGGGGAAACCCCGTCTCTACTAAAAATATAAAAATTAGCCGGCACAGTGGCGGGCGCCTATAGTCCCAGCTACTCGGGAGGCTGAGGCAGGAGAATCGCTTGAACCCAGGAGGCAGAGGTTGCAGTGAGCCGAGATCACCCCACTGCACTCCAGCCTGGGGGACAGAGTGAGACTCTGTCTCAATAAAAAAAAAAAAAAAGGATTAAAATGCCTGGTGTGGTGGCTCATGCCTGTAATCCCAACACTTTGGGAGGCTGAGGTGTGTGGATCGTTTGAGGTCAGGAGTTCCAGCCTGGCCAGCATGGTGAAACCCCGCCTCTACTAAAAATGGAAAAATTTTAGTGTCGTGGCTCATGCCTGTAATCCCAGCTACTTGGGAGGCTGAGGCAGAAGAACTGCTTGAACCCGGGAGGTAGAAGTTGTAGTGAGCACAGATCGTGCCACTGCCCTCTAGCCTGGGTGACAGAGCGAGACTCCATCTCCAAAAAAACAGAAACAAAAACAAACCAAAACAAATAAAATAAAAGCATTAAAATAAAAGACCCTGCCACTCAATCTTTGTATATTGGCCGGGTGTAGTTACTCATGCCTGTAATCCCAGCACTTTGGGAGGCCAAGGCAGGAGGATCCCTTGAGCCCAGGAGTTGGAGACCAGCCTGGGCAACATAGCGAGACCCCATCTCTACAAAACATAAAAATTCAATATCCGGCAAAGCTATGCTTTGAAAATGGAGAGATTTCCACTTCTGGAACAGCAATGTGAGGAACTTCATGGAAGTACTTCCTGTGAAACAAGCAAAGCTTAAACCACTTAAAGTCTCAAAACTGTCCTAAACGCATATAACAGATGAACACTTACGGAGTAAAATCTACTGACACCTGGTACGAACATTAAGCCTGGTGGCATCTGAGCCTCAGCCTCCTCTTTCCCTCTCACCCCAGCTCACCATGATGGGTACTACACTCAGGGAGAGGGGAGCAGGAAGATGGGGACCCTTCTCCCCTCAATTCCCAAATAAGGTTTCCTGGATCTCATGGGCTGGGCAGACCACCAGAGTTTCACATCCTCACCGACTCCAAGTTGAAGAGACTAAGATCCTGGTGCACGTGGCCAAGAAGCCAGGGGCTCCCTTCCTCCACCTTGCCCAAGCCTCAGAGAGGAGACTACCCCCGCCACAGCAGGCTGAGGACACCCAGGTCTCTGATCACCCTCCCCACAGCTCCCACCTAATTAAAGCATTTTCAAAACCACAATTTTTTTTTTTATTTTTTATATGGAGTCTCGCTGTCGCCCAGGCTGGAGTGCAGTGGTGCCATCTTGGCTCACTGCAACCTCCGCCTCCTGGGTTCAAGCAATTCTCCTGCCTCAGCTTCCTGGGTAGCTGGTATTACAGGCATGTGCCACCACGCCCGGCTTATTTTTATATTTTTAGTAGAGACAGGCTTTCACCAGGTTGGTCAGGCTGGTCTTGAACTCCTGACCATAAGTGATCCACCCACCTTGGCTTCCCAAGGTGCTGGGATTACAGGCATGAGCCACTGTGCCTGGCCTTAAAAACCACAAGTTTTAAATACAGTTCAGGCTTTCTAGGTTAAAACAGTAGGGTAGAGCACCCATGCTGGGAAAGCCAGGCCAAGAAGATCAGAGGCTGCTGTCTTACCCAGTGCCCAGAAGGGTGGTGCAGAGAAATCAGCCTGGGGAGAGAGGCCGTCCATAAGGAAAGAGCTCTGAAGCTCCCTGAGGAAACTCATTTTATTTGAAAGTTCAGCCCAAGACTGCTCTTGGGAACAACAGCTCCTCTAAGTTAAGAGAAACAAGTGAAACCGCAGGCTTGTTCACCTGCACAGGAAAAGCTACGAAGAGCCCTGCTGGGGCCAGAACAACCCTGACTGACCTCAGACACTACCACTACTCAAAAACCCCAAACACGCCTGCAACAATAATCCAAATAGCGAGACCCCCATCTATACCAAAAAAATGATAGAAGAGACGAAATCATAAAGGACCCCCAGTGGAAACTCTGGAGTAGAATAACCAAAGCAGAACTGCTGGCCGTGTGGTAAATGCTGAATTTCACATGCAACTCCCAAGCTGCTTTCCAAAGCGGATGCAGCATTTGTGTTCTCAGCAGCACGGGTGAGTTCCAGGGGCTCCGCACCCTCCTCAGCACCTGGCTGTTCTAGTCGCTGTCGCTGCGGTTTTCGTGTGCATTCCTCTGACAACGAACGATGCTGAGCACCTGTTCAAGTGCTTATTTGCTATTTGTCTATCTTTTTTTTGATGTATCTGTTCAAATCTTCTGCCTTTTTCAATGTATGTTTTTTCGAGACAGAGTCTGCTTTGTCACCCAGGCTGGAGTGCAGTGGCGCGATCTGGGCTCACTGCAACCTCTACCTCCTGGGATCAAGAGATCCTCCCACCTCAGCCTCCCGCGTAGCTGGGCCCACAGGAGCACACCACCACATCAGGCTCATTTTTTTTTGTAGAGATGGGTCTCCCTATGTTGCCCAGGCTGGTCTCGAACTCCTGAGTGGAAGCAATCTACCCGCGCTGGCCTCCCAAAGTGTTGGGATTACAGGTGTCAGCTACCATGCTCAGCCACTTGCGTTTTATTTATTATTATTATTATCTTTTTTTTTTAGATGGAGTCTCGCTCCACTGCCCAGGCTAGAGTGCAATGGCGCGATCTCAGCTCACTGCAACCTCTGCCTCCCGGGTTCATGCGATTCTCCCACCTCAGCCTCCTGAGTAGCTGGGACTACAGGCACCTGCCATCACGCCCAGCTAATTTTTGTATTTTCAGTAGAGACGGGGTTTCACCATATTGGCCAGGCTGCTTTTGAATTCCTGACCTTGTGATCCGCCTGCCTCGGTCTCCCAAAGTGCTGGGATTACAGGCGTGAGCCACGGCGCCCGGCCTGCCTTTAATTTTTTTTAAATGGTTGTCTTCCTGAGTTGCAAAAAAAAATTTTTTTTTTTGGAGACGGAGTCTCGCTGTGTCGCCCAGGCTGGAGTGCAATGGTGCAGTTTCGGCTCACTGCAGCCTCTGCCTCCTGGGTTCCAGAGATTCTCCCGCCTCAGCCTCCCGAGTAGCGGGGATTACAGGCACCTGCCACCACGCCCAGCTAGTTTTTGTATTTTTAGTAGAGACAAGGTTTCACCATGTTGGCCAAGCTATGTTGCCCCATCTGGGAGCAATCCTTCCACCCGAGCCTCTGAGTAGCTGGCACCACAGGCACCACCACCGTGCACGGCTCTTCTGGATGCTTTTTATTTTTTTTGAGACGGAGTCTCGCTTTGTCGCCCAGGCTGGAGTGCAGTGGTGCGATCTCGGCTCACTGCAAGCTCTGCCTCCCGGGTTCACGCCATTCTCCTGCCTCAGCCTCCCGAGTAGCTAGGACTACAGGCACCCGCCACCACGCCCGGCTAATTTTTGTATTTTCAATAGAGACGGGGTTTCACTGTATTAGCCAGGATGGTCTCGACCTCCTGACCTGGTGATCCGCCCGCCTTGGCCTCCCAAAGTGCTGGGATTACAGGCGTGAGCCACCGCGCCCGGCCTCTTCTGGAGCTTTTAAGATTTTCTCTTCACCAGCCTGTTCCAGCACTTTGATTATATAATGTACCTTGATATGGTTTTGGTTTTATCCTGCTTAAGACTGATATTCTTGGATTTGTGAGCTTACAGCTTTTCAAAAATTTGGGAAAAATTTTGGCCATAATTTTTTTTTTGAGACAGGGCTCTGTTGCCCAGGCTGGAGTGCAGTGGTACGATCATGGCTCACTGCAGCCTCCACCTCCTGCACTCAGGTGATCCTCCCGCCTCAGCCTCCCGAGTAGTTGGGACCACAGGCAGGCACTACCACGCCCGGCTAATTTTTGTATTATTTATAGAGACAGGGTCTTGCTATGTTGCCCAGGCTGGTCTTGAACTCCTGGGCTCAAGCGATCCACCCATGTCAGCCTCCCAGAGTGCTGGGATTTCGGGCAGGAGCCACCGTGTCCAGCCTTTTGGTCATATTTCTGTATTCTCTTCCCCACTGTTTTCTGGAACCTCAAATACGTTAGACCACATGATATTATGTCCTTGAAGCTCGGCTAAGTTTTTGCAGTCCTTTTTCTCCCTGTACATCACTGTGGACAGTTTCCATTGCTTTTAGTTCAGGAATCTTTTCTTCTGAAGTTTCTAATGTTTTGTTAAACCGCTCCGGTGACTCTGAAGAACCACCTTTTTACTTTAGAATACATGCCCTACACCAGTGTCCCCCATCATTAACATCCTGCCTTTGTGTGGTACAGTTGTCTCAAGAACATTAGACACATTGTTAACTAGGACCCACATTCTAATCAGATTCCTTAGCTTTTTACCCAATCCTTCCTCTGCTCCAGGACATCATCCAAAATCCATCCAGTTGTCACATCTTCTTCAGTCCCACTGACTCTGGCACCTTTCAGACTTGCCTAGTTTTTGAGAACCTTGACAATTTTGAGGACTCGTCAAACAGTTTGTGGAATGTCTCTCAATTTGGATTTGTTTGATGTTTTTTCATCATTAGCTGGGGTTACGTATGTTTTTGGGAGGAAGATCAAAGAGGTAGAGTGCTGTTCTCATCATCCTATCAAGAGTACACAACAGGCCGGGCGCGGTGGCTGACGCGCCCAACACTTTGGGAGGCCAAGGTGGGCGGATCACGAGGTCAGGAGATTGAGACCATCCTGGCTAACACGGTGAAACCCCATCTCTACTAAAAATACAACAAAATTAGCCGGGCGAGGTGGCGGGTGCCTGTAGTCCCAGCTTCGTGGGAGGCTGAGGCAGGAGAATTGCTTGGACCTGGGAGGTGGAGGTTGCAGTGAGCCGAGATTGTGCCACTGCACTCCAGCCTGGCAACAGAGCGAGACTCCGTCTCAAAAAAAAAAAAAAAAAAAAAAAGAGTACACAACAGTGATACGCATGTCACTGCTGATGGTGAGCATGGTCCCTGGTGAGGCTGTGTTGCTGGAGGTCTCCACTGGAAAGCTGCTCCTCCTGCTTCTGTGCTCTGCTCTTTGGAAGAGGGTCACTAGGTAAAGCCCAGGCTTCTGGAGTGAGGAGTTAAGCATCACCTCCTCGAAGGGGAACTATCTCAGTAAACAATGTGGAATTCTTCTACTTGGGAGATTAGTTCCAGTGACATTTTGTCCAACTTGCTTCTTTTCTGTATCTTCCATTTCTCAGTCATGTTTTCTTATTTTTTGAGACGGGGTCTCGCTCTGTCACCCAGGCTGGAGTGCAGTGGCACGATCTTGGCTCACTGCAAGCTCCACCTCCCGGGTCCAAGCAATTCTCCTGCCTCAGCCTCTGGAGGAGCTGGGACTACAGGTGCCCGCCACCACGCCCGGCTAATTTTTTGTATTTTTAGTAGAGACGGGGTTTCACCATGTTAGCCAGGATGGTCTTGATCTCCTGACCTCGTGATCCACCCGCCTCGGCCTCCCAGAGTGCTGGGATTACAGGTGTGAGCCACCACGCCCAGCCCTCAGTCACATTTTTGTGTTATTTCTTTGAGCACAGGGAACATTTTTATAATTGTTTACTGTCTTTGTTGGCTAATCCTATCAAAACTGGGCCTGCTACTGGACCCCCTCCAGTGACAAGTCCATTTTTCTGCTTTGGCTTGTCTGCCCATGACTGATTAGATTCTGGACGTGAATTTTTTTTTTTTTTTTTAGAAGGAGTCTTGCTCTGTTGCCCAGGCTGAAGTGCAGTGATGCGATCTCGGCTCACTGCAACCTCTGCCTCCCGGGCTCATGTGGTTCTCTTGCCTCAGCCTCCCAAGTAGCTGGGACCACAGGCGCCCATCACCACACATGGCTAATTTTTTGTAGTAGAGACGGCGTTTCACCATATTGGCCAGGCTGGTCTTGAACTCCTGACCTCAGATAATCCGCCTGCTTCGGCCTCCCAAAGTGCTGGGATTACAGGTGTGAGCCACTTCGCCTGGCTTCCTTCTCTCAAGAGTGCTGTGTGTACTCCGTGCTAGCAGGCAGTGGTGTTTCCAGGGCTTGCCTTGCACTTGTTTCCACGGCATTGGAGTGGCCTTTCCTCTGCAGCTTATTCTGCGCCACTTCCAAGCTGTGTTTCCTCTAAGGTGTCATGAAAGCTCCTTGTATTTAAAGTGGCTTCTATACTCTGGCTGGTGGGAACTGAAATAACCACGGCCCTGTGTGAGTCCTGCTCATCTGTCCCCTTACACTTACTCTTCCCCTTCAAGTTGCTCTTGGTCCAGCTCCACGAGGTTTCACTGTGTGCACCAGCAAATCGGATCCAACCCAAGATGCAAGCGGGCTCACGCGCAGATTGCTGGAGCTCTTTGTTTTGGGCGTAACTCCTTCCTTTCTGGTACCACACCCCACACATTCTAGCTGCCTCAGCTGCCCCAAAGTCTGGGTTTGTTGGGTTCTCTGCACGTGAGTCTGCAAATTCCCTCCACATAAAAAGCCTGGACAATTTTGTGGTTTACCTCAGTCCTCGCCGGTTTTTTCTTTTCTTTCTTTTTTTTTTTTTGAGACAGTTTCTCGCTCTGTGGCTGGAGCGCAGCGGCGCAATCTCGGCTCACTGCAACCTCTGTATCCCAGGTTCAAGTGATTCTCCTGCCTCAGCCTCCCGAGTAGCTGGGATTACAGGCACGCACCACCACGCCTGGCTATTTTTTTTTTTTTTGTATTTTTAGTAGAGACGGGGTTTCACCATGTTGGTCAGGCTGGTCTTGAACTGCTGACCTCAGGTGATCCAACCGCCTCAGCCTCCCGAAGTGCTGGGATTACAGCCGTGAGCCACCGTGCCCGGCCCTAGTTTTGTAACGTCTGAACATTTTCAGCGGCTTCTTATGCCTTAAGGGTTAAATCCAAGTTGAACATGTCAGGCAACCCCTACCTTAGGGGCCATTATGAATTTCACAGGGTCTGCTGGTGAACCCATCAGAGAACCCAGTGTCTCTCTCATCTTCCTGCCTCAGTGGAACAAGGTCCCTCCTCTGCTGACCACAGGCACCTCTTGGAGGAGTCACCGGTCATAACTGGATATCACGAAAACCTGCCACTGGAAATGGGAGGCCCCTGGCTGGTGCGAGATGCCACACGCTGAGAAGTGTAGGTGTCAGCAAACCCCGCAGCTTGCAGTAAACTTGGAGCCTGTGGCCTCATTTTCTGCAGCACTGTGAAGGACCTGAAATGTGTGTGAGATCCTGCCTGTAGGGACACCTTACATAGAAAGTGTCTGTGTCTCTGAGTATCTTCTCAAAGGGCTCCCTGGCCCAAAACGTGAACAGTGCCGTATTCTACAAGGTGGCCCCACAGCCCAGGCCACAAGCCTCTTGTTCCAGCCTCCTGCCAAGTCAAAGCTGTATCTGCTGACCGGTGATCTGGGCTCCTGGGCTCGGCTGGCCGGCTGTTCCCTCTCCGGGTCCCGGGAGTATAGGCTTTAGGAGCAAAGGGAGCGCGTGTGTGAGTAGCTGTGGCCCACGTGTGGGGAGCAGGGACCACCGGAGTCAGGGCATGGAAGCAGTGAGGCAGGCAGGAAGCGCGAGCAGGTGCAGACAAAGTGGCTCACTTTGTGGCCCCGTTCCCTGGTCTGGTTCTGTCCACATCTGAGCCACCCGCACCTTTCTCATAAACACTCTTCTTGTTTCCGCTCTGGAGGAGCTTCCAGCGTGTTCTCGCCACACAAGGACCAAGAGCAGCACAATCGCCCTCATCTCTCATCACATCTCGTCACTGGCTGCCGTGCACAAGTGTGGTGGCTACTGCTGCTCACCATGGCCCACAGGGTCACAGGGAGGAGGCTGAGGCAGCAGCAGCCCTTGCTGCCAGGTGCCTTGAGACATTTGGGACCACCTCCTTTCCTTAGACAGCCTCCCCTCCACCTGCCAGACCTTGAGGAGACCCTGGAGCCAACAGCCCTCAATATACCCGATGGGAGCTGCTTGCTTCCTCTGGGAAGGCACTGTGAGCCCCACCGACCCCTCTCCAGCTCGCCCTGCACACAGGCTGACTCCTCCAAAACTGAGAGACTTTCAGGGCCAGGCTGTCCATCCCTGGTCCCTCAATAAAGGACTGAGCAAACACTAGCCTGTGGAGTTGGGTGGGCATGGGGCACCGGAGGCATCTGCCTCCCCCCAGGAGGCCACTGCAGCTCAGCCCTTCTGTGCCCTGGGCCCCTCCTCACCGCACCCCCCCCACCACACCATCCGGGGCAGAGGAAACACAGGAGGCTACAGCACAGAGCCTTTTTAATTTTTTCTGTGCTATGCACAGAAGCTGTATGAGGACAGATGTGTGCCTTCTTTTTTTTTTTTTTTGAGATGGAGTCCCGCTCTGTCACCCAGGCTGGAGTGCAATGGCGCGATCTCAGCTCACTGCAAGCCCCGCCTCCTGGGTTCACGCCGTTCTCCTGCCTCAGCCTCGCAAGTAGCTGGGACTACAGGCACCCACCACCACGTCCAGCTAGTTTTTTGTATTTTTTAATATAGACGGGGTTTCACCATGTTAGCCAGGATGGTCTCAATCTCCTGACCTCCTGATCTCGTGATCCGCCCACCTCAGCCTCCCAAAGTGCTGGGATTACAGGCGTGAGCCACCACGACCAGCCCCAGCTGTGTGCCTTCTTATGGCCACACCAGGAGGCACTATGGTCCGGGCACACATCAGGCCCTCCAGACCCTGCAGCACTTCTCACAGCTGCTGCTGTGGGGCCTCCAGCATCTTGGGCCAAATACCAGATCTTCCAGGGTGGGGCCAGTGGGCCTGCTGGGTCTTGGCGGCTCTCAGAACCAGGGAAGCAGGGGTGGCCCTGCCTGCCGTGGGAGCTCCGGACACGATCTGTGACCAGGGTCTGAGTGACTGAGCGTGGCCAGGTCGGCTCTGCTTCTGCAACTCCTCGTGTGCTTATGAGTGGACGCCCTGCCCTGCCTTACTTCAGGGACCCCTCAGGCCCTGCCCCCTGCCTCACTGCAGGGACCACTCTGCTCCCAATTGTCCACCCAGAGACCCTCCACAGCGGCCACCTGACCACTGGCTTTCAATGGAACTCTCTCCCGCGATAGGCCGAGGGCCTTGGTGACCTCCAGCTCACTCAGTCTCAGGGAGCCCCAGGGTTTCAGCACATCCTTCTAGAGTCTTTCCAGCTGCACCCATGAGGCTGGGGCCAGGTGAAGACAGAGAAGCATCCAGGAGCCCACATCTAAGGAGGCCCCCACTCCCAGCGCCATCCGAATGCAGGTAGGTCTTAAAAAGGAATGCCTCAGGGCCAGGCGCGGTGGCTCAAGCCTGTAATCCCAGCACTTCGGGAGGCTGAGATGGGAGGATGGCTTGAGCCCGTGAGTTCCAGACTAGCTTGGGCAATACGGCGAGACCCTGTCTCTACTAAAACCTTAAAAAGAAAAAAAAAAAAAAGCCAGGTCTGGTGGTGCAAGCCTGTAGTCCCAGTGACTCAGCTGAGGTGACTGGATCACTTGAGCCTGGGAGGCAGAGGCTGCAGCGAGCTGCAATCATAGCCCTGCACTCCAGCCTGGGCAACAGAGCGAGACCTTATCTAAAAAACAAAAAGTGCTTCCTTAAATTTTGCACCCAGGTGCCCCCTCTGGCCTCACCCTGATCCTGAGGCCTCCGTCTACCTGGGTTCGTTCTAACCTGCGTGACCATCATTCTAGCATTTGTCTGGCACAGGTCATGTGGCTGTGCCTTGTTCTCAGGCTCCTCAGCCAGCTGGGTGGCTCCTGGGGCTGTAATCTCACCATCTCAGATGTCGAGATTACTTTTCATACTTCCTTATCTTGTTAATAAAGATGGGACAAAATCATAGCTTGTAAAAAACTGGGATGATGGTGAACCCAGTTCTGAGGCTTCACTTTCTGCTTTTGTTTGGTTCTCCATGCTGTCAAATTCTCTGAAGAGGCTGTTGCCCTCCTGAGTCAGCTGCAGCCCAGCAAGGCCCTAGAAGAGCCTCTGCTGGTGGACAGAGGAGCTGCTGCATGCAGACGAGGAAGCTGGGCTGAGGGCCGGCACCAGGGCACGGGGCAGGGAGGCTGCGGGTCCCGGGTCTCATGGGTCTCAGTTCTATGGAGGTGCCTGTCAGTCCAGGTATTCAGTCCCCCAACCCCGTCTTTGGGTCTCAGTGGTACTGGATCCAGGTGTACCTTTGGGAGAAGCTGTTGAGAAGCTGGCTGAGGGAGGACCACCCACGTGCACGCCCATGCTCTTATGTGGATCCCCGGGATCATAACCTTGTGGCTGACACATTTCCTCTCCAAGGCTGTGCTGTCCTCCACGACTTGCTGGGTCCCCTCAAGGCCCTTGCCTGTGTGGGTGGGGTGCTCATGGGAATGAGGGTCTTGGGAGGGGGGGGTGGGAAATCAAACAACACAGGGATGGGGTAGCTGCCACAGTCCCCACCAATGGGGTCTCCTGGGCAGTGACCCGGCATTCTGCCTCCAGTGGCTGCAGTGGGAGTCCTGATCTCAGGCCAGGGAGGGGACGTGCAATGGTGGTCCAGACCTGGTCCCATTCCTGGCCAGGCTCAGTAAAGTTACTGGCCAGTTTCTGGGCCTCGGTCTCCCCCAGGTTATTCAGCCTTGAGAGTTAGTCACCATGCCTGTGATTCTGCCTCATCTTCTTGTGTCAAATAGGGAGGGTTTTTCTTGGCAGAATGGTGGTAAGACTCTGAGCCAGAAGGAGACTCTCCCAGAGAAGGCAGCAGAGAGCAAGAGCACCAGGGCCTTCTCAAGGCCTCCGAGAGCCAGCTGGGCCTGGGCAGTAGATTTGTGGGAGGGTGCCCTGTTGGGACTCTGCTGACAGGGAGTCCTCAGGGCTTGTGTGAGTGCTCTCAAAGTCACAGGATGGGATGATCACCTCCTTTCTCCAGGCCAGGCAGCCAGCGCCGGAAAGCTCTGCAGCCCCCTGCGCGGCCTGGAGAAGGGCTTCCTTCCAGTTTTAAGTCAGTGTTTCTGTCTCATTGCCATGCTCGCCCCCAGTGCTACGTCCTGCACCAACCATTGCCACTTCATACTGACCAGGTGGAACCAAACACTCACATTCCAGTTGGCTCCCCATCCCTCCCCAGGGAGAACAGATCCACAGGTGGTGCACCTGTGAGTGGAGTGGAGGCTGGCCACGGGCCTCATCACACCTGCCTTCCTTGCTCAAAAGCCCTGCCCAGAACATGCCTCGGTCCCAAAAAAGGGTACACTGGGCCCTAACCCACATGCCTCATAATCTTTAAGCAGAAACAGCAAGCAGATTACGGGACAGGACAGATCACGCTAGTAGGATTAAGCTTAGAATATCCCAGATAATCGCGGATGCCCCTCCCCCAATGGGGGAGTTATTCCCCTTAACTTCTGAGGATTAAGGGGAATAAGAAAAAGAAGAAGGGCTGGGTGCAGTGGCTCACACCAGTAATCCCAGCACTTTGGGAGGCCAAGGCGGGTGGATAACTTGAGGTCAGGAGTTCCAGACCAGCCTGTCCAATGTGGTGAAACCCCGTCTCTACTAAAAATACAACAATCAGCCGGGTGTGGCAGCACGCACCTGTAGTCCTGGCTACTCGGGAGGCTGAGGCAGAATTGCTTGAACCCGGGAGGTGGAGGTCGCAGTGAGCCGAGATCGCACCACTGCACTCCAACCTGGGTGACAGAGCAAGACTCGGTCTAAAAAAAAAAAAAAGAAAAAAGAAAAAGACGGATAAAAGAAGACAGAAACATGGGAGTATTTCCTTTGCACAAGAATCCAAGGTCTAGAATGAAGAGATGGTGAAATGAAGCCAGCCTCCAGGAAGGTGCACTGTGCCTTAATGGGACCTGGGGATGGGAAGGCCAACACAGAGGTGTCAGCGGGACAAACACAAAGTGTTTCTAACAAGAGCAAAGATTTCCAGTCTTCTCTTTATTTCCAAACACTCTGTAGGTAAAGCAGAGCCTCAGTAAACCCAAGAAGCAGAAAACCTGGCCTCCTGCCTGGGGCAGCTTCAGTTTAGACTTTTCTTCATTCCTAACAGCATAAAGAGGCTGTGCAAATGGGAGGCACTCAGCAGAGCCTGAAGAACTCTGGGGTCTTAGCTCCTGGGAGGCCACACATGCTTGGTGGCACCCTGCCGGTCACGGTGCCTCCAAAAGCTCCCAATGATCAGTGGCCTTTCTTTTTTTTCTTTTTTTTCTTAGACAGGGTCTCACTCTTTGCCAGGCTGCAGTGGCGGGATCTTGGTTCAGTGCAACCTCTGCCTCCCAGGTCCAGGGAGTCCTCCTATCTCAGCCTCCCAAGTAGCTAAGACCACAGGCAAGCACCACCACGCCCGGCAAATTTTTTGTATTTTTAGTAGAGCTGGGGTTTTGCCATATTGTCCGGGCTGGTCTCGAACTCCTGGCCTCAAGTGATCCACCCGCCTCCGCCTCCCAAAGTGCTGGGATTACAAGCAAGAGTCACCCCACTCGGCCAGTGTGGCCCTTCTTCAGGTCATCACTTGCCAGCCGCAGGCGGTGGCTCTGCCCCTCACCGGACACGACGTCACAGCCGGGATGTGAACAGCAGATTCTGATCTCCAACTCCAGACAATCACTGATTTACTTCTGCAAACCGGAGCTGTCCGGTCTTGCAGGGTCGGACCATGTAAACAAGCCTGCTGCCAGGCAACTGAAGACAGAAACACGAATAAAGATGCCCCATAAGGAATGAAAAACAAAACTCCTCTTGGGAAACCCAGATTTGGGATTCGGAAACGGGCTTGAGATCAACCTGAAGCTTCATGACGTCTTACTGTTTCCACTGCCTTTCCTGTTCCACTACAGCAACGCCCTCCACTTCACGTGCCAAGTCCTGACTTTCTCCTAATAGTTGCCGACCCAGCACCCCGTAGGCTGTCCCCTGGGGACGCCGATGTCCTCTGGGGCATAGCGTCCGCTGGCGAAGCCGGGTGCTTGCCCTAAGCGCGGACACTTCCGCAACCGCCCAACAGTTAGCAGAAGCCCAATACAAGAGACGCCCCATTCTCCCCATCCCAGGGAAACTTCGCTGGGGCAGGGGTTGAACCGAGTGTGGGTCTCGTAGCCGCTTTCCCAACTTAAGGCTCTGGGTCTGAGCAGGCTCGGGACCCGCCGCCCTTCTCTGGCGGGGGCAGGGCAGGCTCACCGCGCGTAAGCTGAAGTGCGGCAGGGCCCCTCCCCGCAGCCCTCCCGCGCCGTCCGCCGCGGCCCTGCTCCCTCCCGGTCCCCACGGGCCCCGCGCCCGCGCGCTGCCCTCACCGGGCTCCAGCAGATGAGCGCGTCGGTGTCCGGGTCGCTCACGAGGGTCCACAGCTTGGTCAGGAAGGCCGGGACGTTGCTGGGCCCCGCCGCGCCGGGGCCCACGGGCAGATCCATCTCGAGCAAGGAGGGAATAGGCGGAGGGAGCGGCCGCAAAGAGGGGCCGAGGGCCGGGCTAACGCCGTCGCCGCGCCAGCCTTCCGGGCCGCGCCGCCGCCCGCTGCGCACACACAGCCCCGGGGCCCAGCATGGCCGCCGCCATCTTGCAACGGGCGCGCTCCCGCCGCCGCCGCTGCCGCCCTCCCGCGTCACCCCCGGCGCGAGCACGCAGGCCCCGACCCCGCCCTGGTCCCCGGCCCAGCCGCGCGCCTGCGCGTGTTGGTCCCACCCCCTTCCCTCCACCCGCCAATCGGGGCCGGGCTGGGCGGGGCGCGTCCTCCTGCGCACGCGGCCCGGTCGCTGTCGGAAGCGGCTGTGCGGGTGGCGGCCGGCGCGCGGTGGGGCATGGCGGGTTCGCGGGGTGCGGGGCGCACGGCGGCGCCGAGCGTGCGGCCGGAGAAGCGGCGGTCTGAGCCCGAACTGGAGCCTGAGCCCGAGCCGGAGGTGACTGTGGCGATGCGGGGCGGCGGGGCGCGTCCCTAGAGGGCCCGGCGGGCACGTGGCCGCGCTGGGGCGGGTGGGCCCGGCTTCTGTCACCTGGGCGCCCGCGCCCAGTGAATCGGTCTTGGGCGTGGGTGCAGCTCCTCTATCGGGGGGTCTCAGGCAGAGCGGACTGCGGGGTAAAGGACGGCGTCCGGGAAGCAAAGAAACGGGGGAGCGGGGAGTGGGGACGGGGCGCCCCTTGCAGCAGCCTCTCCAGCCGTTCCATTTGTGCATCCTGCCAATAAAAGGGCTCGGCTTGCGCTCCCAGTAAATGCTTAACCTACGTATACGCTAGTTAATTGCGTTTTTATGCTCATGGGATAGACATGAGAATAAGAAAACCTGAATAGAACCCAGTGTCTGCTGCATTTGCTGTATTAGAACTCACTGTTGCTCTCTGCTAGCTCAGCCCTGTCTTGGTTGTGGGGATCATCAAATTGGGTGGTGGAGGGGATGGACAGCCAGCCCCTCACAGCCCCCTCGGCCGCGGCCGCGCTGGGTTGTTGAAACTGCCCCATTGCTTTGTGAAGCGAATTCAACTCATCCTGGCTCCCATGGGCTGAATGGCCCGCAGGCCACTCTAGGCGCCAGGTTCTGCGACTTCCACCCTTGGACTAAACGGTCCTCAGGAGCCAGTTGTTTGCGCCCAGGCCACGGATGCCATTTCCACTAGTTATTGTGATTGTGTAGCCGACTGAATACCAAGACACATCATGACTCTGTGTGAGAGAGGCATTGTGTGAACACTCGGTATGCAATAGCTAATACATGCAGGTCGTACCTTAAGTGAGACTTGTAAACTATTAGGAAAACAGTAAAATCTAGAATTCTGCATTCAACTGCTTCCTTTTTCTTTTCTTTTCCTTTTCTTTCTTTTTTCTTTTTTTTTTTTTTGAGACAGAGCCTGGCTCTGTTGCCCAGGCTAGAGTGCAGTGGTGCAGTCTTGGCTCACTGCAGCTTCCACCTCCTGGCTAACTCAGCCTCCTGAGTAGCTGGGATTAGAGGTGCCCGCCACCACCAGCTAATTTTTGTATTTTTAGTAGAGATGGTTTCACCATGTTGGCCAGGCTGGTCTTGAACTCCTGACCTCAGGTGATCCACCCGCCTCAGCCTCCCAAAGTGTTGGGATTACAGGAGTGAGCCACTGTGCCTGGCCTTCAACTGCTTCCTAAGAGTCTAAGTTCTTGTTCCACCCTTTAAGGCCAGTGAAGGACCCGAACACTGTGTGTGCCGGTGTCACGCAGCCAGCAGGGCTCTGCTCAGAGGCAGCTGTGGTCCTGCTCAGAGAGAGGAGTGGGTGGGTTGGTGCGTGGTTGCGGTTAGAGTCTCTATCATTCCTGTGACTCTTCAGCCAATCCTTTCAATTTACTGATCAATCGTTGGTCCCAATCTGGTTAAATGAGGAGGCGTCTGCTTCAGGTGGTAAAAGCCCTTTGGGGACCCATTTCTCTTCCAGCCCCCAGCCCCTTTTCTAGTGACCTCTTGGCTCTGGGGCCTTGGATGCCAGGGTGAGGTGTGGAGAGGGCTCAGGCAGGCTGTCTGAGGGACCCAGTGGAGTCCAGCCCAGCCTGACCCCACAGGGCCTCCGGAGTGTCAGTGGGTGGTAGAGAGCAGTGTTAGTTTTGCGATGAGAGCTGAGCTCCAAGAGGAGGAGGTTGTCCTTGAAAAGCCCCTTCCCTGTGAGGTGCTAGGAATTAAAATGTCGATGGCAAAGGCAAGAGGCTGTCTTGTCAGTGGAGGTAGAAGATGAGGAAGGCTCAGGTTGGGTGGATGCTTTTGGTGGAAGTTTGTGACTGGAGGGGTGTGGTCCTGGAGGCCACATGGAGCTGCTGGTGGGTGGCTGGAGGGGCGAGAGGCAGCTCTCCCTGCAGTGTTCAGTGCCCCATGCCTGGAGGGGCAGTTGTCACCAACCCAGTGTTTCCTTGCAGCCCCCCCTCCTCTGCACCTCTCCTCTCAGCCACAGCACCGGCAGCGATTCTGGCGTCTCCGACAGCGAGGAAAGTGTGTTCTCAGGCCTGGAAGATTCCGGCAGTGACAGCAGTGAGGATGATGACGAAGGCGACGAGGAGGGAGAGGACGGAGCCCTTGATGACGAGGGCCACAGTGGGATTAAAAAGACCACTGAGGAGCAGGTGCAGGTGGGTGAGCGAGGAGCCCCCTCGAGGGCTGTCCCCCATGTGCAGGTGGCCTTGGGCTTTCTGAGACTGCCACTGTACTGCCTTCTCCACCGTCCCTCAGAACCCCAAGGCCGGCGTCCCTCCTTCACTGCACCTGGGGCACGCTTGGGCTCTAGGACGCTGGTTTCCATCCCCAGTTGCGTGCCGTTCCCAGGAACTCTGAAAATCCACATGCCTAGGCCCTTCCCCGTCAGACGATGCTCGGGCAACCCTCCTGGCAACAGGTTGGGTTTCCTTGAGGTGGGGATTTTACTGCTTGGAATCCAGTGGCAGGACCCAGCTGAGGAGGGAGCTGAGCAGCATGGCAGGGCTCAAGCAGGCGGCATGGGGGCCCCAACGGAACCCAGCTGGGCCTGACCCCACAGGGCTTCAGGGGCCTGAGCAGCCGACGGGTAGAGGGTTTAACATTGTACCTGTTGCAGCGATGGTGGGGGAGGATGCACCCTACTCTTATTGAGAACAACAGGAGAAAAGCATAATTTAACTAAAACACAGCATTTGTTATTTTTTTTTATTTTTTATTTTTTTGAGACAGAGTCTCACTCTGTCGCCCAGGCTGGAGTGCAGTGGTGTGATCTTGGCTCACTGCAACCTCCATCCCCTGGGTTCAAGTAATTCTCCTGCCTCAGCCTCTCTAGTAGCTGGGATTACAGGTACATGCCATCACGCCCGGCTAATTTTTGTACTTTTAGTAGAGACAGGGTTTTGCCGTGTTGGCCAGGCTGGTCTCGATTTCCTGACCTCAGGTGAGCCACCACGCCCGGCCTATTTTTTTTTTTTTTTTCTAAGACAGAGTCTTGCTCTGTTGCCCAGGCTGGAGTGCAGTGGGGCGATCTTGGCTCACTGCATCTTCCACCTCCTGGGTTCAAACAATTCTCCTGTCTCAGCCTCCTGAGTAGCTGGGATTACAGGTGCCCACTACCAGGCTCGGCTAATTTTTTTTTGTATGTTTAGTAGTGACGGGGTTTCACCATGTTGGCCAGGCTGGTCTCGAACTCCTGACCTCAAGTGATCTGCCTGCCTTGGCCTCCCAAAGTGCTGGGATTACAGGTGTGAGCCACCGCGCCCAGCCCAGCATTTGTTACTCTAAACATTCTGGAAATCGTTTGTAAGGATTTACTCTCCCAGTAGTTTCGGTGTTCTGGAAGTTACGGCCTTGGCAGAGGTCCCCGTGATAGAAGCCAAGGAACCATGGCTTGTTCATTGTGTGCTAGCTGTGTTGGGTTGGCTTGTTTGCTGGGAAGAAAAGATTTAAAATCACACTTAATTCAGGCTTTAATTATACCACTAACATACACAGAGAAAAAATGATGTGCTGTGTTGGCAGTGGTTTGTAAGATTATGGACAACTACGTTACCCCTTCTTGAGTTTTTAAAATGATACAATACTGGGCCAGGCACAGTGGCTCATACCTGTAATCCCAGCAGCTCGAGAGGCCAAAGTGGGAGGATCTCCTGAGCCCAGGAATCCAGGTCACAGTGAGCTATGATAGAGCCACTGCACTCCAGCCTGGGTGACAAGCAAGACCCTGTTTCAAAAAAAAATTATGAGATAAAACATCCTGGAAAATAATGTAGATATTGTAGCAGCACCATTCAGTAGGGTGGAAGCTCCCACTCAGGGCCCTCACACCTAACCCGTGAGCACAGTTAGTGGTCTGGTGTACATCTTTCTGGGTCTTCTGTCCCTTTTTAAATTAAGGATTTACACATTTACATGTTAATGATTTTTTTATTAAATTCTTTCAGCGGGCGTGGTGGCTCACGCCTGTAATCCCAGCACTTTGGGAGGCTAAGGTGGATGGATCACCTGAGCTCAGGAGTTCAAGACCAGCCTGGCTAACATGGTGAAACCCTGTCTCTACTAAAAATATAAAAATTAGCTGGGCGTGGTGGCGCGTGCCTGTAATCCCAGCTACTCGGGAGGCTGAGGCGTTAGAATCACTTGAACCTGGGAGGCGGAGGTTGCAGTGAGCCGAGATCTCACCACTGCACTCCAGTCTGGGTGACAGAGTGAGGCTCTGCCTCAAAAACCAAAACAATGTTTTCGCATAATAACATATCCAAGTACTTGAAAGGTACTAGAGGTGTCTGCGGAGTCTAGGGAGGCGCCATCTTCTCTTCTCGCTGCTTGTCTCCTGGCCCCTGGAGCACCAGGTCCTCTGCACTGCTGAGTGTGTGCTTGTCCTGCCCATTGCCCTGCTCGGGTTTCTGTGACCGCGTAACTGGCTGCCCCATGCAGGGTGTTTTCCAAAGTACCGCTGTCTGTGGTCTGTGTGCTCCGTCATCCAGCAGGGCCTGAGGTGGCAAGGCCGGCCGGGCTGGTGGGGCGGTCCTCAGAGTTCCCCACGCTGCTGGCTGCCCAAGTCCCTGCCTGAGGCCCTGCCCTGTTGTGGCGCTCATGCACCTGCCCGCGTGTCCTGTGCTTTAGCTGAGGGGCCGAGGCCCTGCCCTGCCATGGCGCCCGTGCATCTGCCCGCGTGTCCTGTGCTTTAGCTGGGAGGCCGAGGCCCTGCCCTGCCGTGGCGCCCATGCACCTGCCCGCGTGTCCTGTGCTTTAGCTGAGGGGCCGAGGCCCTGCCCTGCCGTGGCGCCCATGCACCTGCCCGCGTGTCCTGTGCTTTAGCTGAGGGGCCGAGGCCCTGCCCTGCCGTGGCGCCCATGCACCTGCCCGCGTGTCCTGTGCTTTAGCTGAGGGGCTGAGGCCCTGCCCTGCCATGGCGCCCGTGCATCTGCCCGCGTGTCCTGTGCTTTAGCTGAGGGGCACCTTGGGCCCTGTCAGGGTGTTTTCAGTTCTAAAGTGTGATCCTCATGACTGGGTTTAAATTCTTCCAGGTCAGGAGAATGAATTGATGAGGTGGGGGTGCTTTCAGCTTCTTAGTGGGAACCCCTCCCTTTTCCCCCCTGTTCATCAGAAGCCACCCAGGCACCTTGGCCTGCTGAGCGGCCACTCCCTCCTGCCTGCCCTCCGCGCCCCTCTTGAATGGTGGGAGTCCTTTCCCATTGTGCAGCCCTGCAGGTGGAAACTCAGCCGGCAGCCCAGTGCTGCCTCCTGCATGTTCTCTTGGCTTCCATGAGCGTGGCCACGTGAGGCCTCCCAGAGTGCCGCCAAGATGGCCCCGTCATGCCCAGTTAGTGGCCTCAGGTTAGGCCTGTTTCTGTGTCATCCCGAAGGCAGTCCAGGGCTCCTTACGCCTGTATCTCCGCCACCTCCCACTCGCATCGTGGGTCCACGGGGCCGGGCCACCAGGGGCTCTGCCAGACACCCTCGCCCGCCACAGCCATCTGGAGGATTCTGCCCCCGATGCCCCTGCCAGTGGTTGTGGGTCCTCAACCCAAGAACCCTTCCGTTGAGCGGCTTCTAGAATCAGTGCCCCTTGGTTCTGGGAATTCACACCACAGTGACACAGCAGCTTCTCCTGCTGCTAAGTGTCCTTGCCCTGCAGTGGGCGCACCTGGGATTCTGTGGTCCTGGCCACGGCCACTCGTGTGGTCTTGCAGATGGTTCATGGGCCTCGGTGGGTTACTTGGTAAGTGAGGGTAATGTCTGCCTGGCAGCCCCTGAAGGACGAGATGATGTTTTTGCTAATTTCTCTTCTGCCACGTGCTTCTGCCTGTCCCCCCACTCCCTCCTGTCGCTGTTTCCTCCACAGTGGTTGGCAAGACGTGGCCCCTGTGGCCTCTGCCTCGTGCATCTGAAGGACATCCCAGCCACAGCATCACATCAGACTGGAACAGTGGCGGGATGGGGCTGGGCATCAGGCAGCATGCATGTGTCATGTCACGGACACCTCAGGGACACACGAAGTCAGGCAGGGCGAGGGCCTCACTCCCCAGGCCGCCTAGCCCTTGGTGGGTATACCCGGCCCCGATGGTGCTGTGAAGAAGGGGCTGTGTGACTGGCATGGGAGGGAGCTGCGGCTTTTGTTCATCTCTGCCATCCTGGCAGCGATGTGGCTGATGGGTCACCTTCAGAGAGCCTCCTCCATAAATCTGATTCCAAGTGTGTGCCCCAAACCAACCCAGACCGGCCCGGGGCGTCCTGCGGAGAGCCCCACAGTGGGAGGCCCTTGTAGCGGGGAGCCCGGTGACTGCTGGGGGTCAGCTGCTGGCGGCCCCTGTGGAGACCTGGCGACCTGCCAAGGGCTCCGGACCTGCCTGGGTGGACCCAGGGTGGGCGTGCTTCTGGCTGCAGGGCCGGGCCACAGGCTTCCCTCTGGCTTTCTGCCCTCAGGCCTTTAGCATTGACATGCACACGACCCTGCCTCCTTTCTAAGGACTGTGTAGAATTACGTGGCATTCAGTGAGCAGCTGCACGTGGTGTTCTAGGGCACCTTTGGATGCTCAGGTGCTCCTGAGGGGTGTGCCAGGGAACGAGTCTCCTACCCTTCCCTCCTGGCTCCTGTTGCTGCATCCAGGCAACTACTGTTTCCAGTGCTGAAGTCTCTTTCCAGGATGTTCTAGACATATCCAAACTCGCACAGAGTTTTTGAATGGTGGTTTCTTAAGAGAAGGGGCAGCCGTGCGCTGTCTCAGGATGGTTCTGTCAGGGAGGCCATGGCTCTGGTTTGTACAGTGCTTGGTGCCCGTAGAGTGCCTGGCAGCTCGGCCTCAACAGCTCCAGTGGGTGGGCAGTTGCAGGCTTTTGCTCTTACAGTTGACCTGACAGTAACATGCTGTTTCTCACATGTGCACACCATTCTTGGGGAAAATTCCAAGAGAATTTCTAGGTCAAAGGATAAATGCTTTTTTTTGTTTGAGACAGGGTCTCACTCTGTCACTCAGGCTGGAGGGCAGTGGTGCGATGTTGGCTCACCAAAATCTCAACTTCCTGGGCTCAAGGGATCCTCCTACCTCAGCCTCCCTGGTAGCTGGGACTACAGGGTCCCCGCCACCATGCCTGGCTAGTTTTGTTTTGTTTTGTTTTGTTTTGTTTTTTGAGACAGAGTCTCGCTCTGTCGCCCAGGCTGGAGTACGGTGGTGCAATCTCGGCTCACTGCAACCTCCACCTCCTGGGTTCAAGTGATTCTCCCGCCTCAGCCTCCTGAGTAGCCGGGATTACAGGCGCCCGTCATCACGCCCGGCTAATGTCTGTATTTTTAGGAGAGACGGGTTTCACCATGTTGGCTGAGCTGGTCTCGAACTCCTGACCTCAGGTAATCCACCTGTCTTGGCCTCCTGAAGTGCTGGGATGACAGGCGTGAGCCGCCGCACCTGGCCATCAATGCATTTAATTGTGAAGGTGCTTGGAGCGTCCCTCCGCTAGGCGGTGATGCCATGCACTACTGCAGCCGCCCCTCAGCTGCTTTCCCACCACCAGCCTCCCTCATGGTGTTGCTGCTTCATCTTTTCCTCTTGTTTAGTGATGTTTTTCTTTCATTAAGAATGAGGCTCGCACAGCTGGGCTTAACTGAAAAAATAAAAATAAAAAGAATGAGTCACAGGCTGGGCCCAGTGGCTCACACCTGTAATCCCAGCACTTTGGGAGGCCAAGGCAGGTGGATCTCTTGAGCCCAGGAGTTCAAGACCAGCCTGTGCCATATAATGAGACCCCATTTTTACAGAAAATTTAAAAAATGAGCCAGGCATGGCGGTGCGTGCCCGTGGTCCCAGTCCCGGAAGCCCTTCTGTCTCTTCCCTGTGGCGGCATCATCCATGCACTTAGCTGGCTGGAAACCCTCATGGCTGTTGCCCAAGGGCAGGACAGCTAGCTGGTTCTTGTCATTTTGGTCTGAGCTCCCTGGGCCAGGAGCCCTTTGCTGTTTTCTCTCTGTTTGTTTGTTTTGTTATCTGGCACCACAACAAACTGCCCCAAACCATGGAGCCTTTCTTTTTTTTTTTTTTTTTTTTTTTTGAGATGGAGTTTTTTTGCTCTTATCGCCCAGGCTGGAGTGCAGTGGCACAATCTCGGCTCACTGCAACTTCTGCCTCCTGGGTTCAAGCGATTCTCGTGCCTCAACCTCCTGAGTAGCTGGGATTACAGATGCCAGCCACCACGCTCGGGTAATTTTTTTTTTTTTTGTATTTTTAGTAGAGAGGGAGTGTCACCATGTTGGCCAGGCTGGTCTTGAACTCCTGACCTCAGGTAATCCACCTGCCTTGGCCTCCCAAAGTGCTGGGATTACAGGCGTGAGCCACCGCACCTGGCCACCATAGTGCCTTTCAACAACGAGCATTTGCTGTCTGTGTTTCTGGGGTCAGGAGTCCTGGTGTTTTGTGAGGTGCACTCAAGGAGCAGGGTCTGGCTGTGCCCTTTGCAGCTCCTCCCCTGACTGTTGGCATGAGGAGCTCAGGAGTGAAGGTGAAGAAGGGTACTCTGTGTCTGGGGGGTGGTCAGAGGATAGGGATGAGGACAGGGACAGGGCCCAAGAAGATGGGGTGGGTGCTGTACCTCCCCCTTCCTTCCCTGGGGTATCTGTGGGCCACGGCAGGGCCCACAGCTGTTGCTAGTAGCCTCCTTGGGGCCAGTGGGTTTGATTTATTTTTGTGTTTGTGTGGTTTGAGGGCAGGCATCCCTTCCCCACCCTTTGCGTCCCTGCTACAGTGACCCCTCTTTCTGGGTCCACCTGCTCTGGCACGAGCTTGGTGGGCCAGCCTCACCCCAGGGCCCACCCCATCTCCAGCCTCCCTGCCTTGGGCCTGGCAGTCCTGCCTCTTAATTGCGTTCTGTGCCACCTGATGACCCACGAGTTCTGTCTCCTGGCCTGGTTCCTACTCCCTGGGACTTTCTGCAGCCCCTGCCCTTCCAGCTGTTGACTGTGTCTGCGAGCCATCCCACTGGAGGGGCGCCCTGGGCTGTGTGCTCCCTGCCCTGCAGCACCCCTGACACGGGTGCTCCCAGCCCTCCACTGACCAGCCAGGGAGGAAGCTGCCTCCTGCCGGCCTGTGCCTCGCTTCCTGTCCCCTCTCCAGCAGCACACGGCAGCGCGGGCCGCGGGCTCACCGGAGCGAGGACTGGTTGCAGGGCCTTCTCTTTATCGCTGGTGTCTAGTGGATCTGTGGGGTCCGTGCGCTCAGAGCTGTTTTTTCCTTTCTGTGCTCATTTAGATTCATTTTTTTCCCAGCTTTGCTTGGTTTTGTCTTTTCATTTATGTGAGTTTTTCTTTTTATTATTTTGTGCAGAAGTTTCTGTTTTTATCAGTTAATCTGCTTGTCACAGTCAAGAATGTGAGAAAAGACTGGATGCGGTGAGCCAAACCTGTAATCCCAGCACTTTGGGAGGCCAAGGTGGGCGGATCACTTGAGGAGTTCGAGACCAGCCCGGCCAACATGGTGAAACCTCATGTGAATTGCTTGAGCCTGGGAGGCGGAAGTTAGAGTAAGCTGAGATCATGCCACTGCCTCCATCCTGGGTGACAGAGTGAGTGGGACTCTGTCTTGAAAGAAAAAAGCACTAGTAAGAGAAGGCCTAAGACCTAGTATTAAAGTAAGAGAAGGCCTAAGACCTGGTATTAAAGTGAGAGAAGGCCAAAGACCTGGTATGAAAGTGAGGGAAGGCCGAAGACCTGGTATTAAACTGAGGGAAGGCCGAAGACCTGGTATTAAACTGAGGGAAGGCCAAAGACCTGGTATGAAAGTGAGAGAAGGCCGAAGACCTGGTATTAAACTGAGAGAAGGCCAAAGACCTGGTATGAAAGTGAGAGAAGGCCGAAGACCTGGTATTAAACTGAGGGAAGGCCGAAGACCTGGTATTAAACTGAGGGAAGGCCGAAGACCTGGTATTAAACTGAGAGAAGGCCAAAGACCTGGTATGAAAGTGAGGGAAGGCCGAAGACCTGGTATTAAACTGAGGGAAGGCCGAAGACCTGGTATTAAACTGAGGGAAGGCCGAAGACCTGGTATTAAACTGAGAGAAGGCCAAAGACCTGGTATGAAAGTGAGGGAAGGCCGAAGACCTGGTATTAAACTGAGAGAAGGCCTAAGACCTGGTATTAAACTGAGAGAAGGCCGAAGACCTGGTATTAAAGTGAGAGAAGGCCGAAGACCTGGTATGAAAGTGAGAGAAGGCCTAAGACCTGGTATTAAAGTGAGAGAAGGCCGAAGACCTGGTATGAAAGTGAGAGAAGGCCGAAGACCTGGTATTAAAGTGAGAGAAGGCCAAAGACCTGGTATTAAACTGAGAGAAGGCCTAAGACCTGGTATGAAAGTGAGAGAAGGCCGAAGACCTGGTATTAAAGTGATGATTCCAGATTTTTTTTTTTTTCTGAGACAAGAGTCTGTCTGTCACCCGGGCTGGAGTGCAATAGCCTGATCTCAGCTCACTGCAGTCTCCACCCCCCAGATTCAAGCAGTTCTTTCTCCTGCCTCAGCCTCCCGCTGTGATTACAGGTGAGCGCCACCAAGCCCAGCTAATTTTTTGTATTTTTAGTAGAGACAGGGTTTTCCATGTAGGCCAGTCTGGTCTCGAACTCTTAACCTCAACTGATCCGCCTGCCTCGGTCTCCCAAAGTGCTGGGATGACAGGTGTGAGCCACTGGGCCCGGCCTTCCCAGATAATTTAAGGAGAGTTTGGCCTGTGCCGGAGCATAATGCACACTCTTGGGCAGGGGATCCCGCCAGCGTCTCAGCGAAGGCTCTGGGAATGGCAGGTGGCAGGCCGCGTTGCTGCAGCGTGGGAACCCTGGGCTCGGGCCCCCTGTCGCTGTGGTTCTGGGGTCTGGGTGCTGGTGCCGTCTGCTGGAGAGTGGTCTGGAGCTGCAGCTCTGTGGAGTCTGGAAAGGGGCTGCCCAGTGATTCTCACCAGCTGGTCAGTGGTGGAGAAGTTGCCTGGGTGTGGACCACAGAGCTGGGGATGGAACCAGGGGCCAGGGCTGGTGGTAAACTCCGCTCTTGCCTCTGCCTGTGGCCTTGCTTTGGGTTCTTTTGAAGACTGCCAGCTCCAAGCTTCTTGGCCCCCATGGGGGAGTCAGGCAGCTGTTCTGCCACCTGCCCTGACACTTTGCAGCATCAAACAGATATTTTGTAGCATTCTGGATTCGAGGGGTCAGAGTTCAGGCCGAAAGCAGCAGGGTCAGTACACCCTGAGTACAGTGTCATGCTGAGGGGCCGGGGAGCCCCAGAGGGTTCTGGTACATTCCACCTGAGGAAGATCGACACTCAGCTCACATCCTGTGCTCTGGGACTTGGGTGAGGATCTCAGGTGAGCACAGCCGGGCCTCTTGTGTGTCCAGACCGCCCCTGACAGCCATGTTCACGAAGGGTACCCCTGTCCAGCTGTCCCCTCTCCCAGGGCTCAGGGCTGCAAGGACGTGGTCTCCTGTGCCAGGCAGAGCCACACGGCCTTCACGACCTCAGCCCAGAATCCTGTGGTGTCAGTGTGGGCTGCCTCCCTTGGGTGGGTAAAGCAGCCACAAGCCCACCCAGATTTGCGGCGGGGGGGACATAGACTCTGTCTCTTGATGCGATGAAAATCAAAGGTTTGTGGCCGTGTTTTAAAATGGTCACAGTCACCCTTACGCTTGCCAAATAGTCTCTTCCCCCAGCGCTCCCCAGAACCTCATTCCACTGCCAGGGTCTCATCTAAACCAGGCCTGATAGATGGGGGTCCTTGGGCCCCTCTCTGCACAGCTGTCTGCAGTGGGGCACCGAGTCACAGTGCTGTGGAGTGGTCTCTGGTCTGTGGTGGTCCTAAGGTGGCTGAGCACATGGCTGGTGGTGGTCTTGGCCATGGTGGTCTTGGCCCGTGGTGGTCTTGGGGCCTGTGGTGGTCGTGGCCCATGGTGGTTGTGGCCTGTGATCGTCAGGGCCCATGGTGGTATAGGGGACCTGTGGCAGTTGTGGCCTGTGGTGATCGTGGGGCCCATGGTGGTCTTAGGGCCTGTGGCGGTCGTGGCACGCAGTGGTCTTGGGGCCTGTCCTTGAGACCCATGATGGTCTTGAGACCCGTGGTGGTCGTGGCCTGTGGTGGTCTTGAGGCCCATGGGGGTCATGGCCCATGGCGGTCGTGGCCCGTGACGGTCATGGCCCTTGGTGGTCATGGCCCGTGGTGGTCTTGGGGCCTCTGGTGGCAGCACACATGGCCAGTGCCTCATGCAGGGTTGGCCTCCATGCCTGGGAACGACCCTGCCACTCTTGGGCTCCTGCCCCGAGTTACCTTCCTTTTCCCTGAGTAAAAAGGGATGTTTTTCGGCTGTATTTTCTCTGGGCTTTTCAGTTCCTGCTGATGTACTTTCTTTAAAACAAAATGTGGGTTTCCTAGGTACCTGTTGATGAGTCGTTGCTGTCACACGAGCCATCGGCACAGAGCTCTTGGATAGCAGCCTGTCTCTGTGCTGGGCACCCTGCGGCTAGCGTGGGCAGGGCCCTAGGGAGCCTTGGCCGTGCTGAGGTGCTGGGTGTGGGGTCTGTGGTGCAGCGCTGGGTTGTCTTGGTGTCCTTGGCACCCCGACAGCGATGTTCTGGCTCTGGTCTCTGGGCAAGTTAGGACTGCTTCCCTCCTGCTGTCCACGTCTCCAGCAGAACCCTCTTGTGGGCAGCCCTGGGAGCAGAGTTCTCTTCCCACCGAACCGGGACACCGCAGCTCTGTCGCCATCCTCTCCCAGGAGGTGAGGGCAGAGCCCGTGTCTCATGCCTGGTTGGTGGCAGTGGGGCACGGCCTGGCTGGCCTGATGCTGGGGAGGGGAGGCTCTGGTGTGGTCACAATAGGGGGCTCATGCGCTTGGACACCGTTTCTGTCTGGCTGAGCCCACTGTGGGTTTCTCCCTTTGGTCCTCATGGTGACATTCTAGCCCTGGGGCTGGGCAGAGGCCACGCAGGGTTCAGGGACTACAGCAGCCTTTCCTTGGCCCCAGCGGCCCCGCATCCTGCTGGCACCTCGTCCTTGCGCTCCCCCTCGGCGGCTCCCTGCCCACCCGTCGGTCCTTCAGACCCGCCTGCCTCTGCCCAGTGGCGCTCGCCCGCCCACTCTCTCAGCTTTTACTTCACCCTCACGCAACTCTCGTGCTCCATCGGGCCCGACCCCTCCTCAGTCAGGCCACGCACACTGCGGGTGGTGCTGGAGACCCTGGAGAATCCGGGCTGACTCCAGGCATGGGCGTGGCGGGAGGGGGTCCTGTCCCCAGGAGTCCGGAGCGTGGCGTGGGCTCATGTTCCGTTGTCTGTGTCGTTAGGGTTTTGGTGGCCTTTTCCTCTAATTTTTAAGTTAAAAAAAATACGTTCAATGCCCCACAGCATCTGCCTCCAAAATCTGAAGGGGCCTTCTAGGTCAGGCAGTTCCCAGCAGTGGCCGCCCCTGCCCGCACCGCCCCTGCCCGCACCGCCCCTGCCCTTCGGGCGCTGGGCCTGGCTGAGCGCCGTCGCCCCCTGGTGGACTCTGTGCCCCACAGCTGTCCCACGGGGATGCTGCGCCCCTGGGAACCCAGCACCTTCGAAGGCCACCTCTGCCCCCTGCCCAGAGCCTGCCTGTGCCGTGGCCTGTCCACATCCAGCACAGGGGCCACGGGGCACAGAGCGCTGGGTGACAAGTCTTTTGTCACCTGCCAGGACCCTGGGACTGCGGCCCATGAGCAGCGAGGCTGGGACTCCAGCGTGCGGTGCTTCAGCCCCGGCCACTGTGAGGGGTCGGGAGCCCAGCCCGGTACCCGTCCGCAGAGGCCAGGCGGGGGCAGCCGACCGCAGCCGGGTGTGGAACTGCCCTTGTGCGCGTCTGGGGCTTGGGGCCGGGGTCACGGATCTGCTGCGGCTGTGGGGGCTCATGTGCTCCAGGCAGGGGCAAGAGCTCCGTGTCACTGAGCGCCCCAGGCCACTGTCAGCAGCAGGGGGAGACGTGGAAACTGAATCCTTCCTTGTTCCTGGCCTGGGAAAAAACTTAGTCTCCCATCTCTCTTTATATTGAAGGAAAAAACAGGCAGGGGAGGAGCCCGGGCCGGAGAGAAGAGGGGCTCGGGGTGGGGGCGGGGGCGTGCCCGCCTTCGCTCTGGGGTTCCTGCGCCCGAGCACTTTACTGCCCCCACGGGTGAGAGGTGGGCCTGTTTTCCCCATCAGCCTTGGTTCCGCCAGTAAACCCGATCCGGTTGGAGCCATCCTCACCTCCGCAGTCGAGGGCAGAATCTGTTTTCCAGGTTGGGATGTGAATTCTCAGTGGCGCCCACTCTGTGACCCGGCGGGATGGGGTCAGCCTGGGCTGTGGACGTGGTGGGTGGGAGAACGCTGGGCAGGCCTTCTGAGTGTTCGGGGCCCTCTCTGGGCCCTCTGCTGGCTGGACTGGGCGGGACGTGGCCCCCGGGATGGGTGGACAATGTGTGTCCCCCGCCCCTTCAAGAGCATTGGCCCCAGTGACCCTGCTGCGACGGCTGCGTCTCCTTCTTCCCCCCGACCATGCTGCCCCCGTCCCAGGCGGGGCTCGGCAGGAGCGCCATGTGGGGCCCCTGGGAGGAGTCCTGTGGCTTTGACATGAATGGGGGTACGGGTGGTTGGCGGTGGGTCTTGGTCCTCAGCTGGCGGCTTTGCTCCTGACTGCCCCAGTGGCTTCCGTGTCTAGCCTGACACCCGTGTCAGCCCAGGGACAGAGGCCCCGGGAGGCTGCAGTCCAGCCCTCACAGAGGACAGGGCCGTGGGCAGGACCTGCGGCGCCGGGTGCCAGCCACAGCCCCCAGAGGCCCCCTTAGAGCTGGGTGTTCTCGGCCTTGTGCTGAGGCCTGTGCCAGGCTGGAGCTGCTCAGAGATTTCGGGGTGGTGGGCTTCCTGGGATCCCCCCAAGGTCAAAGGGTACCCTGTATCCCCTGAAGTGACCATTTTCTCTCTCTCTCTGCAGGCCAGCACTCCTTGCCCGAGGACAGAGATGGCGAGCGCCCGGATTGGGGATGAGTATGCGGAGGACAGCTCTGATGAGGAGGTAGGACTGGGGCTGCTTCCCACTGGGCAGGGTGGGGCGGCTTCCATCACAGCCTAGCAGGTGCTGGGGGTTGGGGCTGGGGTTGCCCTGGGGGTGCTGGGACCTGCCGCAGGTGGGCCGCACTGTTGGAGCCGAGGCCCACGTGGGCGTCCTGCTTCCCCATCTGCAAGAGCAATTTCGGGGTCTGGGACACAAGACTGCAATGTATGTGTGTCATCATGGCTTGTGAAGGGGAAGGACCTGGGTGTGGCTCCATGCCCCTGTGTCTGGCCTGTGGACGGGCTCTGGGGGCTCCTGTGGCGTCTGCAGGGTGGCTGTGGGCTCCCTGGGCGTGGCGTGCATGGTCTGGGTGGGGGTCATGGTCGGGGTGGGGGTCACGGGCATGGGTGGTGCCCCTGTCGTGTGTGCTGTGGGGTGGGCCACAGGTTGGCTGGGGGCCAGGCGGGCAGAACAGGGCCAGGGCCACCTCCTAATGTCCTGATGTTCTGGGCAGTGGTGGCCCTTCCCTTCCCCTGGGGTCCCCCTGCCCCCCACCCCTGGTGGTGGCTGATGTGGGCTGGGGCCGTTGCCTCTGGACCTCTGACTGAGTCCCAGGAGCACATCTCAGGAGGGGCAGGAGGTCGGCTGTTTCTCATAAGGAGCTTGCAGGCGAAGGGGGATGCGTGCTGCTGGGCTGGGCTCCACCAGCGTGGAGAGGCTGGCACCGGGCTGGGCTCCGCCAGCGTGGAGAGGCTGGCACCGGGCTGGGCTCCGCCAGCGTGGAGAGGCTGGCACCGGGCTGGGTTCCGCCGGCGTGGAGAGGCTGGCACTGGGCTGTGTCCAAGAGCAGATTTGGCTGCGGGGGGCTGCCCTCATTTGGGAGGGGCTGGAAGCTCTGAGAAGCTCTGAAGCCAGAGGCAGTGCCTGCCTATACCCTCCTCAGTGTGGCCTGGCCCCAGGGTAGGACTGTGGTCCCAGTGGAGCACCTGGGTGTGAGGCAGAGTCTCCTTTGGGCCCTGGGGGCTGTGGGGGAAGGAGAAGGCTTTGGTGTAGGGCCTTCCTGAAGGAGCTCTTCCTGCCTGCCTGTCAGGAACTGTCCCCGGGGGGCCTGGGGGAGACACGCGCCCCCCTCCCCCCAGGTTCTTCCCCCATCCTTCGGCTCTCTTGGCTGTGGCTGCAGGAGCCTTGGCCGCCCGCCCGATCCGGTCTCTGCTGCGCGTTCAGAGAACAGAGACAAAACAAAATAAATTGGTTTCCTGGCCGGAGCAGCGGGCTCACTCAGAGCGGGGGGGCCACGCCGCGCACTCCCTGCCTGTCTCCCCTCCCCCTCCCAGGGGCTCTGGCTGTCGGCAGCCACATCCTGTCGGCTACTTTTTTATATTTGGTATTTTGAGAAATCGATGATGATTGTAAACGGAGCGCGGAGGCCGGGGGAGGGGCCTCGGCGGGGCCTGTGGGACCCTGCTGCCCCTGGGGGTGCTTTGCCAGGCCTGTCCAGTGCCACCGCCGCCTGCCGGGTGGGCAGCCCCCTGCTGTGCTGGGAGGAAGCCGGCCAGGGATGTGGGGGCTGCTTCCTCCAGTGATGACTATCCCATATGTTGGTCTGAGTGACAGCGAGGGAGCCCGGGTGCTGCCCGGTGCTCCTGCCAGCACAGCCGGCCAGTGGCTCGAGGGGGCGGCAGAGCTCAGCTTTCAGGAGCCAGGCCAGGCCCGGACAGATGCCTCCCGTCCAGAGAAGTGCGCATCTGCCTGGGCCTCTGTTCCCTTGGAGCAAAGTGGGGTGGCCCTAGGGGAGTGATTTGGGGCCACAGGTGGGCAGGAAAGAGGCTTGGGAGGTGGGAGACAGCCTGCAGCTCTCCCATGAGACAGTGGGGTGAGGAGAGCAGGGCCCGTCAGGCAGCCCCGTGTCCTTGGAGGTGGCCGTGGCACCAGGACCATGGTCCTCCTCGGCACTGGGCAGAGCTGGCTGAGAGAGGGCCGACCTCACTGCCGGGGCCCTTCAGGGCTGTGGAGAGGGCCCCTGGTAGCAGGGCAGGGAGGGCGCCGCTGGGGCGTGTGCTCCTGCGAGCGGCGATCTCAGCTGGAGCGCGTGGGTGGCAGTGGCTGTGATGCTGAGAAGGTCTCGGGCCAAGCTCCTGCTGGTGGGAGGTGCCTCCCTGCCACCCCCTGCCCACCTACCTCCCCTTCTCCTCAGGCCACTTCCCTGCCCTTCCTGGGTCTGGATCCAGGGCCTGGACCTGGATGACACTGGGGCTTCAGGGACCCCCTGCTGGACGCTGACTTTTGAAGACCTGAGCAGCCCCTCACAGGAGAGCTGTACTCCAGCTCTTGGTGTCTTATTCCCCTCCCCCAGGTGCGCAGGCAGCAGCGAGCAGGCGGAGGGAGGCGGGCGGAGCCCCTGGAGGAGGCGCTGGGCCTGGCTGGGGTCCTGCCGCCGGCAGTGGGGGGCCCCCAGGAGCCGGCTGAGCTGCGGCTGCCCCGCCCCCGCATGGCCACCTCACCCCTCTCCCACCGCGCCTGGAGCTTCACAGACGTGATCTCATCCAGCCGCTGGGACCCCCGGGGAGGTGGGCCGGGGTGGAGGGGCGGGGCAAGGGGGCTCTCGGCCTTTGCCGAAGCAGCCCCTCCGCTTTGATTTGAGCGGTTGGGAGAAACTGAGGCCGGGTGGCTGCTCAGGCAGAGGATGCAGCCACCCACCCTCCCCCTGCCTGTGGCCGTGTTTGTCAGGAAAGCGTAGCAGGCTGAGGGATCTGGGTGGCCGTCCACTCTGGCCGGAGGAGCCGCCCTCTGCTGTCCCTTTCCTGTGCCCCGTGGTGCTGGCCTGGGGCCGTCCCCCACGAGGCCTCCACTGGAGTCTGGAGTCTGGGGCTGGGGTGCAGCCTGGCAGCTCCTCGGTGCCCCTGACCCTGCCTGGGCTGTGAGTCAGGTTCCCGCAGGGATGCAGCCGGGCCTGTCTGCGTCCAGAGCCCGTGGTCCCCTCTGCTCTCGCGCCAAGCGCCGTTAATGGCTTCTCCCAGCTACTGAACCGGCAGCTGCCTCCAGTGCTGGCGGCCTCCGCTCCTCCGGGCCGCCCCCGCCCCCGCGTCCTGGCCCCGCGCACTCAGGCTTGCGTCGCTGCTGGCGGCGCGGCCTCGGCTCAGGTTTCCCGGCGAGCGAACGGCCCTCCCCACGCTGCTTGTGGAGGGCGCCCGGGCCTGCAGACCGCCCCAATCTCCCTGGCGGCCATCCACCCCCGCGGCCGCCTGCATGCCTGCCTCCGAGGGGGCTGCTGACTGGGCTGGGGCTGGCCCTCGGGTCTGGTCCCTTTCCACTGAGGAGGGAAACGGGCGCGCCCTGCTACCCAGGCTGTGGGTGGGTGTGTGTAGCCTGACTGCCGCGTGCCCCTTGGCCGGCTTGAAGGCCCTCCTAGGCCTGGCCTGCTGCACTCAGTTGTCCGGTTTGGGAGAGGAGAGACCCTGGGGTCAGTGATGAGGGGCAGGGAAGCCAGGGCCCTCATGGGGGTACCCTGGGCTCTCGGATGAAGCAGGGCTGGGCAGTGGCTGGTAGGTGGGAGTGGCCTCTTCAGAGCCGCGTCCTCCTGCTTGTGGGCTGCAAGGGTGGTGGGGGCCCTGGCCTGCTGTGCCCACTCGGGGCCAGTGTCCTTGGCAGCTGGAACCCGGGTGGGCAGCGGGGGGTGCTCTACAGGGCTCTTGAGCGGAGGCTTTGCCCTGGGGCTGGCAGAGCAGCCTGTGGAGTGGAGCCGGGGAAGGCATTGGAGGGCAAGGTCTGTTGGGCAGGTGGTGACGGCTGCAGGCTCTGGGCCCTCTGGGGAGGCCGGCTGGGGAGAGCTGGGTCTGGGTGTACGTCCCAAGGCCGGGGCTGTTCTGCAGGGGACGGGAGTCCCAGGTACGTGTGTGTGCACGGATCAGGACTGGGGGAAAAGTCTCCAGAATGAGATTTTGGAGGTGTCCGGAGTTGGGGGCTGAGCGGGTGTGGACCTCTAGAGCCCTGTCCCCACCCCACCTGGAAGTTGTAGCTCTGAGTTGTGGGGCTCAGAGCAGGCCGAGGAGGGGTGAGCACTGGTGGGTGTCGGTGGGGGGTGTTTGGGGTGTCATGCCCCAAGCCTGTGCCCCACCCCTAGCATCCTGGTTTCTGGGAGCCCCTGCTTATGAGATGCCAGGCGTTGGGGTGCTCTGCCTGGGAACAGCTATTGTCCCTGGGTCAGCCCCAGCAGAGACCGAGGCAGGCCAGGTCTGGAGGAACCCCTGGGTCGGTAGTGGCTTCTCTCCAGCCTGCAGACCCCCAGGAGGTGACTTGCTGCCCTCCCAGCTGTGGAGGTGCAAGGACCCCTGGGTCAGTAGTGGCTTCTCTCCAGTGGTGGAGGTGCCGGGAGAAGGCCGAGCTGTGTGCCCAGCCTCTAGAAGGGCAGATGCGTGGTTGGCGGGAGCCGGGCCGGAGCTGAGGGCGTCTGGGCTGGTGGCTCCTCCTGCCTGGGGCCCCACCTTGGGCTGGGGGTTCGCTCAGCTGGTTTGGACTTTGAGGAGGAGGAGACTAAGCAGGACCTGGCTTTCTCCCCTCTGGCCCCGGCGCCAGGGCCCAGCACCCCTGCTGGAACCTTCAGTAGGGTGAGATGCAGCAGGTGAGCCTCCCGCCCTGGCCTTGCCCTGAGCACTTCAACAGATAAAACCCTGAGGAAGAGGAGGCGGCCTCACGTCGCACAGGAAGGCCGTGTGGCGCTCCGAGACAGGCGGGCGTTTTGTGCAGGGGAGCGGCGCGAACGCTGAACACTACCCGCATTGTAATCGGAGAGGGGCTGGGGAAGAGAGAGACGGAGCGAGGGCGGCTGACCCCACGCTCCCGGGGGACAGGTGGGAGAGGCGGAACGAGGAGAGAGTGAAGGATTCCAGAGGTGGGCCGGCTTCCTCTCTCGCAGACAGACACGGGAGGAGGCGGGCAGCGGGCCAGCCCCATACCTGCAGTTCCAATCTGTGGTCCTGACAGCTGCAGCCACTTTGGGGAGGGGGAGGGAAGGGGGCTCATCGAGAGCGGAAAAATCCCAGCCGACACATCAGCCGGTTGCGGCCTGTGTCCGGTGCAGTCTGGGCTGGGGGCCTGTCCTTGGGGCTGGGCGGCCCCCAGGAGAGCCCTGATGCTGGGTCTGTGTGTGCCCCCGGCCGGCCGGCCGGGGCTCTCCGTGCGGGGCCTGACCCGGAGGGGTCACATGTGTTTCCTGGCAGCCCGCAGGTGCTGCGCTGGGCGGGGCGGGTGGTGGGCGCAGGCGACCGTGATGAATCATGTGTCCCGCCAGCAGCTCGTTCCCCAGGCCGGGGACAGGAGCTGACAGCTGAGGCCCAGCAGAGCGTTTCCAGCCCAGCTCGGCTCGCAGGGGCGGCTGCTGGCCCAGGGTGCAGGCTGGGGCCCCTTCCGTCCCAGCTGCCTCTGTGGGGCACAGGCGGAGGGAGCCCTGGGTCTCTGTGGAGGTGAGGCCAGCACTCTGGGAAGGGAGCCAGGGGCTGTGGTGGGCAGGGAGCACCTGCCACTCGTCTGCCCGGCGGCTGTGAGCTACGAGTGGATTCGGGTGGGCTGCCGCAGGCCTGGGGGTCAGCCCACGCCACCCCCGGTCTGGTTTGAATTTCTGGAGCAGTGGAGGGTGACGGAGTGTTCCTCCCCCGCCCCTCCCCTCTTGCTGGCTGGCGGGCCGGGCCCTCGGCCGCTGCTACCGGTGCAGCTCAGGGAGCGGCTGGGCTGGCTGCCCAGGCCTGAGGCTGGCCAAGCTGCAGCCGCGGTCGGAGTCAGGCCCGCAGCGGAGGGCTTGGCTGTGAGTGCTGCACCCCAACCAGCAGGGCCCTGGGGATCCTTTCAGCTCCGAGGCCTCCAGGTCGTTGTTCCCTGTTCACTTTCTTCTAGCCTCGTTAGACACCCCAAACTCTGACCCCAGTCCACGGGGGCTCTGACGTCTCTTTCCCCTGCACTCCCTCTTGACCCTGCCCAGACCTCCCCATGCTGGCCCGCACCTTCCCACCTGCTCCTGTCTGGCCTCCTGCATTCCCGCTCTGAGCTGGCTCTGCCCTGTCCTTGGTGCCGGCCGCCGACGCCCCGCACCTGCCCGCTCAGGCCAGCAGCCCCTGATGTCCCTGCCCTGGAGACTTTCACTATCTTCCATCCCATTTGTCCCCAACGTTGACCGGCCACTGAGGTTGGGGGTTCATGTGGAGGTTTGCAACCCCCACTAGGCCCAGGTCTGGAAATGGGAGGCCTGGAGGTGAGGGGTAGGTGGGCTATGGACCCTCCCTACAGAACTACACCCAGTGCCCAGTGGAGGGAGGGCTGGCGTGGGCGCCGTGGGCCTTAGGGTGCTATGCAGAGTGCCCGGCCTGGCCATGCTCCTGGGTCCACCCTGCTCCTCACTCACCAGCGCCTTGGTGCCTGGGAGGGTGGCGGGGCGGGGGTGTGAGGAAAGCTCCCAAGAAGGGAAGGGGCTGCGTCAGCCCCTAGCTGCATGTCCGTGTCCCCCGGGCCCTGGCTTCCCGGCGGGCGGAGGCTTCTGCAGTGACTGAGCTTGTCCTCTCCTCCCCTCCCTCTGGCCAGCTGTGGGCTCCTGCAGGATTAGGGAGAGGAAATTTGGGGTTGGGTTTCTCTCTGAACGAAACCTGCCGTTGTGACTTTTTATCCTGTTATATTTCTATCAGATTGGACTCAGCCCCCCTCTAGCCCTTAATGGCTCTGGCTTTGAGAATTTCCTCCAAAATTACACCACTGCTTCCTGCTCCGCCATTCCCTGGAGCCTGTCTTTGCAGAGGAGGGGCAGTCCTGGGCCAGCCCTGCACCGATGCCCACGTGGGCCACAGCACCTGGTCTCCCCCCGAGGGTGCGTCCCTGCCTGTGCTAGCGGGGAACTGGGGCCGGCCGCCGCCCTGACGCCCGCACCTGGCACCATCAGCCATTGTCCACCCAGCCGGAAGTTAGGCTGTGGCCTGGCAGGGTTGGGGGGAGGTGGTCCACACAGCACCGCCCTTCTTCTCTCTGTGCCCACTGATCTCACACCACTCAATGGTAATTGTCACCTGCAGGGTTTTAATGGCCAGCCAGCTGTGCACAGAGCACTGTGGGGGCTAAACCCACCTCCTGTGGTGGGCGGGGTCTTCAGGGGGCTGGATGGGCCGTGGTGGTGGGAGGAGGATGGCCAGGGGTCCTCCTTCCCACGTGGGCAGTGCTTCCAGGGGCCAAGTGGCACTGGTGCATGAGGAGATGCCCCTCTCTCCAGTCAAGGCTCGTGGAGGCAGGACACCCACTGCCCTCGCTGGGGCTGGGAGCCCCCCCCTCCGCTGGGCAGCACAGCTCGCTCCACTCCTTGTGGCCACCTGCAGCGCCCTCCTCACCCTCAGGGCCCCCGGGTGCCCGACAGGCCCGAGTCGGGGGCACCCTTGCCCTGCTGCTGCCTCTGTCCCTGCCGCTGCCTCCCTGTCCCTGCCTTACAGCGTCCCTGCCTTGTGCCTCGCCCTCCCCATCTTCTGCCACGCAGCTCCTCCCCCACCCTCTCTCCCGGCGTGGCTCCCTTGTCCCCACCCCACAGCTTCCCGATATGAGGCTCTGTGGGTGAGCTAAGCCCATCCTCACCGCCTCAGCCCAGGGAGGGGTGGCCCTGAGCCTGGAAAGTGGGGGCTTCCCAGGGAGCCGGGGTACTTGGCCCAAGGAGGATGGGACCACCAAGGGTGGGAATGGAGGCTCAGGCTGGGGGCTGGGGGTGGATTCTGAACCTTTCATGAGGACAGTTGGCCTCCATATTTGGAAGATACTGTTTTGTTTTTAATTATACAAAATTTTCAGACTTTATATTATCATATCAAAAACACAAGATGCCATCACACAGTGGCCGGAAGAAAAGCCAGCGCAGAAAGTTCCAGTGGGCCCGGGCAGGTGCTGGGGCCAGCGCAGAGTCCCGCTGCCGGCGCCTGTCTGTACGTCCGTCTGTCCCTCGGCCCCGCTCGCAGCCAGGGCTGGCCTGGGGGCATGCTTGCGGTGGGCCTTGCCCAGCTCAGGTCCAAGGTGGGGGCTGTCTGCAGTCACCCCGGGCGTCCACCTCCCCCAGCAGCGTCTGCCTCCTGGCTGCTGCCGGCCACCTCCTAACTGCGAATCGCTGTCTTTCTGTCGCGGTCCTTGCTCTGCAGAGGGGAGGGAGGAGTGTCAGGCCCCGGCAGAGCCCAGCGCCAGTCTGCGCCTCTCTGGCCTCCCTGCTGGGTGCCATCTCAGGTGGCCAGCGCCAAGGCACCTCCTTCCCGGCTCTCCCCAGCTTCCCTCAAGCGTTTTGGGGAGGGGAGCATACTGCTGCACAGCCGAAATTGTAAAATTAAATTTCCCAGATGTTCAGGCCCCAGGAGCTCGCGCGTGCTGTCTGGAGAGGAAATGGGGATTGGGAAAAGCCGTGCCGTATTTTCTCCCTGCTCACCCTGCTTTTCCGGTGCCACCAAGCACAGCAGGAGCTGTAAATCACAGCTGGCCAGCGTCTCCTGCAGGGGCCCTCACCCCCAGCCCCCACATCTCCTGCCAGCCTCTGCCTTCGTGTCCCATGGCCCACGTCTCGGGCAGCCCTACAGGACCTGGTGTCTTGGTGTGCGGCCTAGGTGGGGGACGGACAGCAGGTGCCCAAGATGGCTTAAGCCAGTGCTGGGCCGCAGGGGCTAAGAACCCGGGGTCCTTCCTCTCTTGCCTTGCAGCCTCTTACTTTCTGAACTCAGCTGTTTTCACTCCGCCTTTCAACTTACTGAAAAGGGAAGCTTGCAGCGGCCTGGTCCAGCTCCCCAGCCTCCCCGCCCTGGGTGGGCCCCTTTGGCCATCCCTAGCTCTTACCCCTCATGCAGCTCCCTGCAGGGGACTCCACACTCCACTGGGAGCCGAGTGTCCTAGGGACGCCCTGGAGAGGAGCCCCAGGAGAAGGCCCCAGCCCCCGGCAGGCCTGTGTTACAGGTGTGCCTGCCTGTGCCCTGTTGGGGAGCCCTGCCCGTGTGGCCTCGCCTCCTCTGCCTGGCAGGTGTGGGCTGAGGGGCGCGTTGGAGGCCCCCCTCGGCGCCCCACGGCCCGTGCTCACCAACTTTCTCTGGTTGCTGAGGCAGAAGGTGCAGATCTGTTTGGGCTGGGTGTTCTCGCCGTCGCGGGCGGGAGGCGGCGGGGGCGGCGGCGGGGGGCTGCCGGCGCGCGCCGCGTGGAAGAAGGCGGGCCCGGAGTGGCAGGGCTGTCCGTCGCCGCAGGCCTCGCCCGCCAGCAGCACGTTGCCCAGGTGCGAGATGTAGCTGGAGGCCAGGCGCAGCGTCTCAATCTTGGAGAGCTTGCGGTCGGCGGGCTCGGTGGGGATCAGCGTGCGCAGCGCCGTGAAGGCCGTGTTCACGCTGTTGGTGCGGTCTCGCTCGCGCGCGTTCGCCGTGTGCCGCTGCCGGGGCTCACGGCCTGGCCGGCCCCCTGGCCCCCCGCCCCCGGCCCGCCGGCCCCCCGCCCTCCGCCGGGCGCCCTGGAGGCCGCAGCGCGCCGCGTGCACGCGACAGGGTTTCTCGTCGGAGCCCGAGCTGTCGCTGCCGCGGTCCTCGTCCTCCGACAGCGGGCTCACCTCGGGGTACAGGTAGCGGCCCGGCGGCGCCGGGCGCAGCGTGGCGAAGGACATGGGGCCGGCGGGGGCGCGGCGTCAGCTCTGTCGCGCGCTGCTCATGCCGCCTCCTGCGGCCGCCGCGGGCCTCGCGGGCCGGCCGGGGCGAGGCGCGGGGTCTCGGCTGCGCCCCGCGGTGGCAGCTGCCGGGCGTCGCGCGCACATGTGCGTCCCGGGCCGGAGCGGGGCCCCGAGCTGCGCCTTTATAGCGGCGTCCCGGCCCCTCCCCCGCGCACGCCCCGCCCCTCTCAGCCCGGAGGCTCCTCGAGCAGCGCCCGCCGCGTCCCTCGGCCTTCTGTGGCCACGCTTTGGCGGGGGTGGGGGGGGCGGGGCTGGTCTTTGGGGGCATCGTTCCGTCTCTGGGGATGCGGAGGAACTGGGAGGTCGCTTCTGGGCTGTAGTTACTCAGGGCCCCAAAACTGCAGTGCCCCCCGTCCCCGGGAGAGGGGAGGAACCCACCACCCCGTTTTCTCCCGTGGCACAACTGAGTTAACCCAGCCGCCCTGGCCCTGCTGCCTGACCGCACCCTGTCTGTCTTTGCCTCCCATGTGCGCCAGCGCCTGCCTGTGCCAGGCCGTGTGCAGGGGGCGGGCACAGGCGAGTATTTAGGGGCCTAGAGCTCAGTCTCTCCGCCTGTCTGTCCTGCACCTGCCTCTCCAGGCTTGGCACAGACTGTGCCTTCTGCTAGCTGGCCATGTCCCCTGTTCTTGTGCTGTGTGGACCTCTCACCCCGTCGGTCTCCTTGCCCCTTCCTCCTTCCCCCGTTCCTCTCCAGGGCCACCAGGCCCCTCAGGAAGCACACACATACCCCCATTATCCAATTTGGGGATGGCCCCCTATCTCCATGGGGAGGAGAGGGAAGGACCCTCAGCAGGGGGCAGGGCCCAAGGGGTCCCTCCTGCAGCAGGGGGCCCGGCAGGCTCCCAGCTGTGCTCTGTCTTGCCTGGGCCCCTCCCCGTGGCTACTGTTGCAGGAAGCAGCCTCCTGGGCAGCGGTCCCCAGGCTGGAAGGAGCGAGGGTGGCGGCTGGCAGGGGCTGCAACCAGGAATGTACGTCCAGGAACGTGGCTGTTCTGCCTGGGGAGGGGCCGAGGGCAGACGGTGGGGGGTCCCCCACAGAGAGGTCTTGGCTTCTGCCTCTCTGTGGAATGGGTCAGTTGGGGTCTTCCCCGAGTCCCCGTCTTATAGCTGCCCACTTCTGCCTAAGGCCCCTGCCAGGGGAGGGAGCCCGTGGGTGATGAGGTCATCCCTGTCTGTGGCTGCCCAGAGCCCTGGCCAAGGAATCCAGTGAGGGGGGAGCTCTGGGGTTGGCACCACTTCAGTGGAAAATGTGAAGGTGCAGCTCCGGCGCCTCCGAGGGCGGGGGTGGGGGCAGCGTGGCCGCCATGCCACGTCAGACCCCAGGGCTGGGGAACAGGCGTAGGTCAGGGCCAGTGACCTCAGGGCACTTGAGGCTGGGCCTGCACTCCCCCTGCAACCCCCTCACCTGCTCCCCTGGGCGGCCCGAAGCGGGGGTGGGCCTTGTAGGATCAGATGCCGACATGGTGGCCCCCGGCTGCAGGACATCCGGAACACGGTGGGCAACGTGCCCTTGGAGTGGTACGATGACTTCCCCCACGTGGGCTACGACCTGGATGGCAGGCGCATCTACAAGCCCCTGCGGACCCGGGATGAGCTGGACCAGTTCCTGGACAAGATGGACGATCCTGACTACTGGTGAGGGCTGGTGGGGTGGGGCCAGCAGCCGGGGTGGGCCCGAGGGGTGGGGCAGGGCTGGCGGGGTCTGACTGGCGGTCTCCAGGCGCACCGTGCAGGACCCGATGACAGGGCGGGACCTGAGACTGACGGATGAGCAGGTGGCCCTGGTGCGGCGGCTGCAGAGTGGCCAGTTTGGGGATGTGGGCTTCAACCCCTATGAGGTAGGTGGCAGGGGCTGGCCCCTGGGCGGCGGGGGTCCTGGAGGCACCAGCAGGGCCTCAGCCACTCTGGCCCACACGCCCACATCTTCTCCCCCAGCCGGCTGTCGACTTCTTCAGCGGGGACGTCATGATCCACCCGGTGACCAACCGCCCGGCCGACAAGCGCAGCTTCATCCCCTCCCTGGTGGAGAAGGAGAAGGTGGGGCACACAGCCCCTGGGGCTTGGCCTGGGCTGACCGCCCCGCACTGCCCGTCCTGACCCGGCTGTCTATGCAGGTCTCTCGCATGGTGCACGCCATCAAGATGGGCTGGATCCAGCCTCGCCGGCCCCGAGACCCCACCCCCAGCTTCTATGACCTGTGGGCCCAGGAGGACCCCAACGCCGTGCTCGGGCGCCACAAGATGCACGTACCTGCTCCCAAGCTGGCCCTGCCAGGCCACGCCGAGTCGTACAACCCACCCCCTGAATACCTGCTCAGCGAGGAGGAGGTGGGCCTGCATCCTGGGGGCCGGGACCCTGTCCCCATGCTTCCCTGTGACCCTCCCCACCCCTGTGTCTTGGTCTCCACAGCGCTTGGCGTGGGAACAGCAGGAGCCAGGCGAGAGGAAGCTGAGCTTTTTGCCACGCAAGTTCCCGAGCCTGCGGGCCGTGCCTGCCTACGGACGCTTCATCCAGGAACGCTTCGAGCGCTGCCTTGACCTGTACCTGTGCCCACGGCAGCGCAAGATGAGGGTGTGTGGGGGTGGCACACCAGGGGGGTGGCACAGGGGGCAAGGCTGACCTGGCGCTCTCCTGCCCCAGGTGAATGTAGACCCTGAGGACCTCATCCCCAAGCTGCCTCGGCCGAGGGACCTGCAGCCCTTCCCCACGTGCCAGGCCCTGGTAAGTGGAGACTAGGGGGCTGGGGTTGCACCCTCCCAGTCTGACTCCTCACTGCCGCCGCCTCCTCAGGTCTACAGGGGCCACAGTGACCTTGTCCGGTGCCTCAGTGTCTCTCCTGGGGGCCAGTGGCTGGTTTCAGGTGGGTCCGAGCTGGGGGCAGCCTTGAGCTGGGGGGCAGGTGGGATGGCCAGGTGTTGAGAGCTGTCTCTGCCGCATCCAGGCTCTGACGACGGCTCCCTGCGGCTCTGGGAGGTGGCCACTGCCCGCTGTGTGAGGACTGTTCCCGTGGGGGGCGTGGTGAAGAGTGTGGCCTGGAACCCCAGCCCCGCTGTCTGCCTGGTGGCTGCAGCCGTGTAAGTGGAGGCCCTGGGGGCTGGGGAGCCAGGGGTGGCACTGTGCTTAGGGGCCGTGTCTGGGCCTGGCTCACAGGGAGGACTCGGTGCTGCTGCTGAACCCAGCTCTGGGGGACCGGCTGGTGGCGGGCAGCACAGATCAGCTGTTGAGCGCCTTCGTCCCGCCTGAGGAGCCCCCCTTGCAGCCGGCCCGCTGGCTGGAGGCCTCAGAGGAGGAGCGCCAAGTGGGCCTGCGGCTGCGCATCTGCCACGGGAAGGTACGTGGGGCGCCTTGGGGGTGAGGCTGCAGCGGGAGGGGCCCGGCTCAGCCACTCAGCCAGCCTTGCTCTCCTGCAGCCAGTGACGCAGGTGACCTGGCACGGGCGTGGGGACTACCTGGCCGTGGTGCTGGCCACCCAAGGCCACACCCAGGTGCTGATTCACCAGCTGAGCCGTCGCCGCAGCCAGAGTCCGTTCCGCCGCAGCCACGGACAGGTGCAGCGAGTGGCCTTCCACCCTGCCCGGCCCTTCCTGTTGGTGGCGTCCCAGCGCAGCGTCCGCCTCTACCACCTGCTGCGCCAGGAGCTCACCAAGAAGCTGATGCCCAACTGCAAGTGGGTGTCCAGCCTGGCGGTGCACCCTGCAGGTGAGGGGTGGGGGCGGTGCACCCTGCAGGTGAGGGGTGGGGGGGGGGGCGGTGTACCCTGCAGGTGAGGGGTGGGGGTAGGGGCAGTGCACCCTGCAGGTGAGGGGTGTAGGTGACGGGCAGGGCAGTGCACCCTGCAGGTGAGAGCGGGAACACCTGCATCACAGCCTTTGGCCCTAGGTGACAACGTCATCTGTGGGAGCTACGATAGCAAGCTGGTGTGGTTTGACCTGGATCTTTCCACCAAGCCATACAGGATGCTGAGGTGAGGAAAGCTGGGGGTGGAGGCGGCCAGCAGAGCCCCTCCCTTCAGCCCGAGCCTGCCTTCAACCTGGTTCCCTCCCCCCAGACACCACAAGAAGGCTCTGCGGGCTGTGGCCTTCCACCCGCGGTACCCACTCTTTGCGTCAGGCTCGGACGACGGCAGTGTCATCGTCTGCCATGGCATGGTGTACAAGTGAGTGCTGACCCTGCCTGGCCCCCTCCCCAGGGCAGTGGTGTCTGGCCGTGCCCTGAGCCCTCCTCGTCCCCACAGTGACCTTCTGCAGAACCCCTTGCTGGTGCCCGTCAAGGTGCTGAAGGGACACGTGCTGACCCGAGATCTGGGAGTGCTGGACGTCATCTTCCACCCCACCCAGCCGTGGGTCTTCTCCTCGGGGGCAGACGGGACTGTCCGCCTCTTCACCTAGCTGTTCTGCCTGCCTGGGGCTGGGGTGGTCGTGCTGAAGTCAACAGAGCCTTTACCCTGTGCTGCCTGGTGCTCCCACCTTCTTGAATTGGGGTTGCCAACAAAGCCGCCCCCACCACAGCGCCGAGCCTTCCCCTCACTCAATTTTGCAAAAACAGTGGGGACAACACAGCCAGTCCAGGGCACCCTCTGGCCCATCCCCTAAGAGGCTCAGCATCGCACCCTGTCAGTCACTCGCTGGGAGCAGATGAGTTTATTGGGCACATCCCTCACTGAAGGGCTTGGGTTTGGTCCCCAGCAGTGCCTGTTCTGGGGCCAGGCCCCTCCAGTCGTGTGCCCAGGCTGTGGTCCTCAGGAGGCCCTGTCTTGGAGCTCAGGCACAGGTCTGGGTGCATACTCCTCGCTGGGGGTGCTGGCCGGAGCCTTAGGCGAGCTTCACCAGGCGGCCCAGGGCCTCAGCAGCCCTCGTCCGCACCTCGGGGGCCGGGTCCTTCAGCAGGATCTGGAGCGCTGGGGGTAGAGGAGGGGGGCTGCCTGCGGGCTGTGACCTCGGCATGCCCATGCCTGCGCGTGGGCCACGCTCTCCTGACAGCCTCTGCTGGGAGGCTCAGGAGCCAACGGAAAGATCGTTTTTCCTTTTTTAGTGTTTTTTAAGCTCTTTTGGAACAGTTAAGAAGTTTCCGTGAATTACTAGAGACGATGAGGTCACCAGTGACAGGGAAAAAGTCCTGAAATCCAGGAAAATCACTTAGTCCCTGCGGGTGCCTACAGGGTCAGCAGGGCCCAGCGGAGGGGCCCCGTGGAGGGGTGCTCACCCGCAATGAGCTGGTCCAGGTCCACCTGCGGCTGCTGCCTGGGCTCCGAGTGCAGCACCAGGAACCCTGTGAAGTGGGGGCATCAGGCGGGGCTGCCGGGCGGCGTGGGGGTGGGGCAGGGGGTGGTGCTTACCGGTGAACAGGGGTGCAGCAGCTCGGACGTTCTCCCAGCTGCTCTTGAAGTAGAACAGGCAGGTGGTCAGGAGACGGCCCAGCAGGTCTGGGAAATGGTGCATCTGGGGAGAGGCCTGGTCAGTGCCGCCTGGCCCCGCCCCACCCACCACGCCCCGCCTGGCCCCACCCCTCACCAGGTGCTTGCAGGTGGTGTTGAGGAACTCCCCGAAGTGCAGGGCTCGGCCCTCCTGCAGGTGTTTCTGGAAAGCAGCTGAGAGCTCCTCACATGCCAGATTGGGGCCACACATGCGCAGGGCAAACCTGCAGGCCTAAGGGATGCGGCACTGGGGCCAAGTCCAGTTGAGGCCACCCACCCCATCCCACTCACCCCCTGGCTACTCACGCTGGCCACGGTGGCCTGAGGGTCCTGCAGGTGCAGCAGCAGGGGCGCCAGCCCGCCCACCACCTGGTCCAGGAAGACGTCCTCACAGTCTCCGTGGCAGACCTTGTTAAGGTGCCCAAAGAGGCGGATAGATGCCGTCCGGAACTCCATCTTCTCCTGGGAAGGACATGCAGCATACGTCTCCTCACAGGCTGTGCCCCTGCAGGCCTGCCTGCCTAGCCCCCTGCCATTGATGGGTGCCCTTGCCTGACCCGGGCCAGGAAACACCCCGACGGGTGGGGGCCTTACGGGTGGGGGCTGCCAGGCCCAGCAAAGCAGCAGCCCTGCAGGTCCGCGCTCTCCACGGTCACCTAGCCGAGGTGGGAGACAGGGAGGAGGGTGGGGCTGGGGCTAAAGCTCAGAGTAAGAGGCAGGAAGGGCTGGGGCCCTCTTCCCTCCCCCTGCCCCAACCAGCCTACACTGTCGAAGAAAGGCCGGATGCGGATGGCCACGTGCAGCAGCCCTGAGCGCAGGTCCCAGGACTCCACCAGGTGCACCAGCCTCGCAAGGCCCAGCATGGCCTCCAGGGCCACTGGGCTGTGAGGGTTGTCCCCGTCGTCCAGCCCGCCAATCATGGCTGTGAGGAGCTGGGGGCCGTGGGTTCGCACCTGAGGATACCTTACACTCAGCCTGGGTCCCAGAGTCACCGTCTGCTACCCCACAAGACAGGGTGGCCTCCATGCACAGCCCCCCACCCATGCTGCCTGGGACCCAGAGGGGCTGGTGGCCACCCCACCTTGTCAGGGCAGCCGGAGGCCAGGTTGGCCAGGCCGCGGAGCACCAGCCTCCGCACGCTGGCGCATGTGTCCTTCTGGCGAGCCGCCAGGCTCTCCAGCAGCGAGTCCAAGAGCATGAGGTCGTTGGCCACGTTGCTGTTCAGCAGCTGCAGGCAGAGGTGCTGTGACTTCCCTCTCCCCGCTGACCCCAGGGCTCAACCCACCAGCCCAGGCCCAGAACACCAGAGGCTGTCCCCACGCCGGTGTGGCAGACAGAGGTGGAGCACCTACTCCCTGGGTCTCCGATCAGTGGCGACCCCTCCCTGTTGTGCCGCTGGGGCCTGCTCTGACGCCCGCTGTGCTCTGCTGCACGGCCTTGGGCAAGATTTTGGCATCTTTGGCCACGAAGGCCAAGACCACACCACCAAGGGCACCTGGGGTCCCAGGGGCCAGCCCTGTCCAGCTACAAATGTACCCAGCTGGACTTGGGGAGAGTACAGGCTGCAGGGAGCCTCGGTCCTCCTCTCACCAGGCACAGAGGGGGTGTCCCTGGGTGGGACTGAGTGAGTTCTGGCATGGGGGAGGAGGTAGCTAGCATCCACATAACCTCCCTCACAGACCACGGTCGAGGGGGCCTTTTAGGGGTAAGAAAAGGGCATCCCGTGCCTGTCCTGAGCAGGAGCCCCACCTTGGTGCCCAGCATCCGTCCCTGGAAGGGCCTACCTCGGCCAGGAAGGCGGTGGTGGTCACCCTCTGGTTCTCATACGCACTGCTGTGTGTGCATGCCAGCGTCTTCAGCACCAGGGGGAGTCGGGGCCCTGCGTGCTCAGCCATGGCCCTGGGAAAGGGGGCCGCTGAGGGTGCAGGGGCTGTTGCTGTGCTGAACCCTACCCAGGCACCTTCCACCCTGCACAGCCCTGGTCCGCTCCACCGCCAGCTGCCAGGTTCTGGGAGTTCTATGTTTCAGAGATGCCTCCCAGCTTGCCTCGCCAGGCCTCTGCAGGGGTGCCTCCCTACCCCTGCCCCAGAGAGTGAACAGGCAGGAGCCCAGGGCACCATTGGCCTGACACGCATGGGCCCCCGCCTGATCCTGTCATGTTCTGGGCTCGAGATCCGGTGGAGCCCAGCCAGTGCTGGAGCTGCAGTGGGCTGGGCCCGCTCACCTGGCCAACCTGGTGGCCCCCTCCTCATGCCCCGCCGAGGTCCTGAGCAGTTCCCAGCCTCCCTCCAGGTCCATGCGCTGTACCACATCCTCGCTGCCGCTGCGGAGTAGCATGGACCGCAGGGTGTCCACTGCAGAGCTGCAGGATTGCCAGGGTGCTCAGCTGGTAGGGCACACACGCCTACCTCCCTTCCTGATTAACTCCTCAGGTCTGCACCCAATGCGTGTTGCCCACCTGGTGGCTAGCCCTATCCCTGCCAGAGCCACTCTCCAGGAAGCAGGCTCTGGGCCATCTGCTAGAGGCCCCCCATTTCCCCACCCAAGGCAAGGACGCAGATGTTGGCTTGGAGGTGAGCTAGTAGCAAGGTCAGCCTGTGGCCACCTGGCCACCAGCCTGAGAGCTGGACACAGGCAAAGCCCTCTGGCTGCACCGGCCTTCCTTTCCGGACACCCAGACGCTGCTGGGCACCCACACCACAGGTGCCCCCCACCCCGGGCCTGTTCCTGCCTGGCACCTCGGGTTCTCACACCTGTACCCCAGGAGACTCCACAGCCCTCTGGGAGGCGAGCAGGCCCCTGATCCACTCCCAGTGTCGGCTGAGGCTGGCTGGCAAGTGAGCGGGAGGATGGTGCCGAGAGCTGGAGGGGCTGCTGGCGTGCTGAAGAGCAGGCGCCCTGGGCGTGCAATGGGGGCCACCTTGGCCAACTCTCTGACTCCCCAGACCTCCACCAGGCAAGCACCTTGCCCTCTGGTCTCCCTGGCAGTGGCTGGGCCAGAAACTGGCAGGGAGAGTCTGATGTTGAAGCCTCTACAGGGCCCAGCTTGAGCCTGGCATCGACCATCGGCTCAGATGAGCCCTTCCCTGCTGAGGCTGCTCCACTCCTGGCTGCCAGTGGGTGGGGCGTAGTGTGTGACCCAACAGGCACGGTCTGGGGCAGAGGATGCCCTGCACCAGCGTCCCCACCCAGCAGGACCCTCCATTTCAACTCCACAGCCCCTGCCATGTGGCTTTCCGCTGCCCTCGAGCACCTCACACTTAGGCCCCCGCCGCCTTTGGACCTCTGTCCCCACAAGGCTTCGTCCTCAGGAGCACCTGGCCCAAAAGCAGACAACCCCCGAGCGGCACGGGCCGTGTGGTGACCGCTGGTGGTGGTGACAGTGCCACTGCCCTGGTCACCTCCTGCCAGGTGTCCCACAGGGCCCCTGGTGTGCTGCGACGTGGAGTGGGCCTAGCAGGGAACAAGTGGCCCCGCCAAGCTGGGGGCCAGGCCCTACTCGCCTGGATGGTGTGTGAGGCCCTCATGCAGGTGGGATCTAGGAGGAGGGTGTGGTGGGCACAGGAGCATGAGACAAGCTTGTTAGAGATCTGGTGATGGGCCCCATGAGGCTTCTGGACGGTTGGGTACACAGGGCTGGTGATGCCGGCAGGAATGAGGCGGCCTGAGAGCTGGACAGGGGCTGTAGGAGCTGAGGGCCACGGGGGTCTCGGCAGCCCAGGAAGGAGGTGCTGGGGGCCTGCTCCCAGTATACCACTGTCCCCATGGGGTGTGCCTGGGTGGTCTGGTGCTGACCAACAGCAGGGCCAGCCCCTCACACAGCCCTTGATGAGTGTCCCCAGGCTCCTCTCTCTCACGGGTTCCCTCCCCAAGGTCGGACGTACGAGAAGGCAGCTCTGGAAAAGCCTGGAGTCCCATGGTTCCAGTGTTGGGGCCTGATCTTTGAGCCCAGGTAGCCTGGGTGCCAAGGGGGCTTCCAGCCCTGGGAACAGGACAGCCAGCACTGACCACAGGCAGAGGACAGAGCCACACCAGTCACTGCAGTTCCTGGGAGATGCCCTTGACACATACAGGCCAGGCCAGCCGCAGGCGGAGGGAGGACCCACCGGGCCACAGTCAGTTCAGCTGGGCCTCATGGTCTGAGCCAGGGCCTCATGGTCTGAGCCAGGGCCCAGCTTGAGTGCAGCTCTGCCTCCAGCTCCACACCCTGCTCCAGGCCTCGAGCCCTGCAAGGCCCCATCTGGACCAGGGGCTGCGCTCCAGGCTGCAAATGGCGCAGGCACAGCAACTCACAACCAGCTTCGACAAATCTAACGGGAAGCGTGTGTTTGGCTCACGAATGTGTTAGTGATTTGGATGAGGGTGCCTCCCTTGTTTGTGTGCCCAGGACATTTAAGAATGTGGCACCCACAAGGGTCCGACCCACTGGCGAACGGCCTGTACACCAGGCTCTGCAATCGTCCCAGTGAAGGGGCACCTGGGGGTGGGCGTGGGGCCCGCAGCCCTACAGCTCGGGGCGGAGGCACTGATTCGCAGCAGGCCAGGCCCAGGGGCTGGTGGCTGCCCCATCCCATTCACATTTTCCACTCAGTTTGCTAGGGGCAGAGCAGCGCTGGCAGCCGGCCCCACTGGGCTTTACGAGCTGGCCTGGGTCTGAGCAGCCTGTGGTGCTGGGGCAGGGGGAGGGGGCTGAAGTGCGGCTGTCCCCCTGGTGTGTCCTGGCCAAGGGGGGCAGGGGGAGGGGCTGAAGTGAGGCTGTCCCCCTGGTGTGTCCTGGCCAAGGTGCACACCCAAACCTGGGCGCCTGGGTGGGATGGAACCAGAGCCCTCCTGGGCAGGTGCGGCATGGCAGCCCTGCGTTCACATGGGCTCGTGGTCCTGGGGTCAGGCCACACAGCCACGCCTGCCCAGGGTGTCAGCCTCCTCTGTCTGTGCTATGGCCCCAGGCAGGTGTGTAGGACCTGGAATGCTTCATGTCAGGCACCTGGGCAGCTCTTACGTGTGGGGCTGTGAACACGTGCCAAAGGCCGCTCTGCTGGGGCAGTTTCAGGGACAAAGCTGGTCCTGCCATGGTTGACCCCAGCCTATACCCCAAAGACTCCACACAACTCCACTCCCAGGAGAAGGCACCACCCGGATCCTGCCTGAGCTGCCACACGAAGCCCCCACCAGCTGCCTGTGTTCAGCACCACCGTGCAGACCGCCCGCAGAGGCGAGGAGGGAGGCCTTCACAGCCAGTGTGAGAAGGGTGGCCATGGATGTCACCACTGACAGCTCAGCCCTGCACCTGGGTGAGGCGCCAGCTCCCTGGAAGCAAAGTCACTCCCACACTCCCCGTGGTTCAGATCTGCCGTCCGCCCCCACCACGCGCGTGCACACGCATGCCTGTGCTTCCGAATCAGTACTGGAGGTGGGAAGTGGGGACCCAGATACCTGCAGGGTTCCAGGTTCCTGGTGGCTAGGGCTGGACTGGCACCCCTCCTTTCCTGGGCCTGCAGGTTCCGGGGCAGCTGGACACCCACGGTGCAGCTGACGCGCAGCAGAAGCACCACAAACAGCTGGGGGTAGAGCTCGAGCACCGCGGGCCCCGCTGCAGGCGTGGACATGACCTCAAACAGTGCACAGGTAGCCTGGGGGAGAAGTCATCACAGGGCCATGCCTCCCTCCAGGCCGCAGGAGATCTGAGCCCTGCACCCAATGAGACTGCATCCCCCTTCGCCTGCATCATGTGCTCGGAGGTCTCAGATCCCAGCTGCAGCGCAGGAAGGGCGAGGCGCACCACTGCATGGCTTGGCCCTCAGGGGTAGAGGCAGGAGACAGGGACAGAGGGGCAGTCAGCCTTCACAGGACAGACCTCAGGCCATCTGTTCTCAGCTCCTCAGAAAGGAGGAGGAGGGAATTCTCACAGCTGCTTTACTGCTTAAAACACTGCCAAGCTGGGTTTATTTTTTTTCCGCAGGATAAAACATGAAGTGGCCTCCCCTGGGGGCCCACACCTGTGAGGCCTTTACGAGCCTGAGCTCAGAGCTCCCAGCCCGGTGCTGCCTCCAGGTGCCTGTGGGGTGGCGTCCGGGCCACCTCATCAAAAGGCCTGCCCCCGGGCACCCAGGCAAGCGGGGCAGGGACAGCGTGTCAAGGTGGCCCCGAGAGCCCGACTCACCGAGAGAGGCAGCAGCGTGGCCACGCGGTCTGGGGTGCGGCCCAGCAGGAAGGCCCGGCTCTCCTTGAAAGGGACGTCCCTACTCATCTTCTCCAGCAGCAGCCCCAGGACCTGGGCAGCTAGGCGAGGCTCCACCGCCAGCGCCCGCCACAGCATGCAGGTGTGGCTGGAGCAGAGCAGGAGAGTCACTTTGAGGCCGTGGCTGGTCAGGGCGCCTGCCCCCCGCCACCTGGGTGCCGTGGACCCTGGCTCCACGACGCTCAGACACAGCCACCAGGCTCAGCTGCAGCCAGCTGGGAAATGGCCTCTTGGCCTCAGATCTGAGCTCACCCCTTCCCCTGACTCCAGGGATCTGTAAACAGAGCTGGTAATAAAGGACACAGAGAAAAATCTGGGCCTATACACACAGGGCCCAGGGCAGTGGTGTGGGAGGTCCCTGGGGAGCTACTGGGAGGGAGAACAAATCTTCCCTGGAGGAAGCAGCATCTGGCCCAGGCCTCAGGACGTCACAGGGTCAAAGAGCGCAGCTCCCAGGGAGACCTGGCAGTGCTGCCAAGAACACTCAGATGGCACCGCAGACGCACCGTGAGGCAGCTACGCTCAGCGTTTGCAGAAATGAACAACAAACTCTGAATATGACGGGAACTGAAAATTCTAAAAACAGATACAGCAAATTTGAAAGAAAACCAAACAGCTCTTTTAGAAATGAAACACTAATGTACTCAGTGGACATATTTGGTGCCAGTCTAGATACAGTAGAAGAGAGAAACAGTAAATAGGAAGATTAAGAACTTACCCAGTGAATAGGAAGATAAAAAAATTTCAGATAAATTATTACAGAGAATAACGTGGGAAGGCAGAGGACAGAATAAGGGACGCGGAAGATGGAATGAGGGCTAACGTACATTTGATGGATGTCCCAGAGGCAGAGGAAACAATGGCTGTCAAGGAGTAGGTTGGGGTTTTCAGAACTGGTGAAATATACTGACCTACAGACAGGGAGCCCTGAAGCCGCCTGGCAGAACAAAGGAAAAGCAACCCCCACCTGCAAACTACAGATGAGCAACAAGCAGGCAGTGGCTTCCTGGACAGATGCGGTGCTAGGAGACTTCACCTGGCTCTCAGGAGCAACGACAGAAGCCAGAAACAGTGATGTGCTGTCACACACCTGAGCAAACTCCACTGAACTAGGATACTAAGCCACGGAAAGAACAGTCACAAGGGATGGCCAAATAAAGACATTCTCAAGTAAACAAAGGCGGACAGTGTGTCACTGATCCTTGTGGTGGGAATTCCAGGAGCGTCCTTCAAGCAGAAGGCAAGCAGCAGAGGGCTGGGCGTGAGTGTGGGGAGCAAATGACCTGGCAGGAAACGTGGACAAATGCACAGGAGGGCAGGCACACAGCACGCGCCAGCAAGGACGCGGTGGCCGTCGCTGAGGCGCCAGGAGGCCACAGACTCAGCCACTGTGGGCCCCCATGAGGCTGCATACAACAGCCAAGCCAACCTGTGCCCAGGGAAGGGCTGGCAAGCTTCTGACCAGGACAGACAATGGCTCAGGCCTTGGGGGCCGGGTGGCCTCTGGCAGCTCATCAAGCCTGCCGCTGTAGTGCGAGAGCAGCCACAGACAGCGTGGAAGTGGACGGAGCGGCTGCTTCCGGAAGCTTTAACTCATGGACACTGGAATCAGGATTTCCTATCATTTTCACGTGTCATGAAATATTCTTTTTGTCTTTTTCTGACCATTTATGAATGTAGAACCCATCCTTAGCTCACGGGGTGGCAGGGTAGAGATGGCCACAGTGACTCCACTTCTTTTTTTTTTGAGACAGAGTCTTGCTCTGTTGCCCAGGCTGGAGTGCAACGGCGCGATCTCAGCTCACTGCAACCTCCACCTCCCAGGTTCAAGCGATTCTCCTGCCTTGGCCTCCTGAGTAGCTGGGATTACAGACACGTGCTGCCACGCCTAGCTAATTCATATATATATATATATATATATGAAATAAATTTTATTTATTTTTTGAGACGGAGTTTCGCTCTCGTTGCCCAGGCTGGAGTGCAATGGCCCAATCATGGCTCACTGCATCTTCCGCCTCCTGGGTTCAAGTGATTCTCCTGCCTCAGCCTCCCGAGTAGCTGTGATTACAGGCAGGCACCACCACGCCTGGCTAATTTTGTATTTTTAGTAGAGATGAAGTTTCACCACGTTGGTCAGGCTGGTCTCGAACTCCCAACCTCAGGTGGTCCACCTCCCAAAGTGTCGGGATTATAGGCGTGAGCCACCGTGCCTGGCCAATTTTTTTTTTTTTTGAGACAGAGTTCTTGCTCTGTCGCCCAGGCTGGAGTGCAGTGGTGCAATCTCAACTCACTGCAAGCTCCGCCTCCTGGGTTCACACCATTCTCCTGCCTCAGCCTCCCGAGTAGCTGGGACTACAGGCGCCTGCCACCTCGCCTGGCTAATTTTTTATATTTTTAGTAGAGACGGGGTTTTACCATGTTAGCCAGGATGGTCTCGATCTCCTGACCTCGTGATCCACCCACCTCAGCCTCCCAAAGTGCTGGGATTACAGGGGTGAGCCACTGCGCCTGGCCATGCCTGGCCAATTTTTATATTTTCAGTAGAGACGGGGTTTTGCCATGTTGGCCAGGCTGGTCGCAAACTTCTGACCTCAGGTAATCCTCCTGCCTCAGCCTCCCACACTGCTGGGATTACAGGTATGAGCCACAGTGCCCGGCCTTGATTCCACTCCTATATACACACGAAAGAGAAATGCATGCTCTACCCACCAACAGACACTCCCAGGAACATTCAAAGCATCGCCATCCCCAGCAGCCCCAAACCAAAAAACAATCTGAATGTCCATCACCTAGAAACACACACACAGTGCAGCCCACACGGCACCCAGCACTGTCCGGCAAGGAGAAAGGATGGGCAGCAGCACCCGGCACTACCCGGCAAGGAGAAAGGATGGGCAGCAGCACCCGGCACTGCCCGGCAGAGGAAGGATGGGCAGCAGCACCCGGCACTACCTGGCAAGGAGGAAGGATGGGCAGCAGCACTGCTGTGCTAAGCAGAGGCCGGGAAGACCCACCACACAGCACAATCGCCAAAACCTCTAGTGGTGGCGGTCAGGTGGCCGTGACCCTCTAGGGGACTGAGGGGCACACAGGAGCCTGCTGGGGACCGGACACCTCCTCTGCCTTGACCTGGAAAGTCCTGCAGGACCCAGTGACTCCGTGCTTGCCCTTTGTGTGAGCCACGCCTCCACGGAAAACGAAAACAGTGATTGATGAGCCAGGCGGTAATCACGGAGGAAATACAAGTCAACGCCGGCTGTGCCCAGGAACAATGGTCATGATGACTCGGGCGCCCAGCAGCCCAGCCAGACCCAGACCTCAGCCTGCATTTGGGGCCCATGCTGGACTTCAGTGAGGACACATGCAGCCACCTTTAGGGCAAACGCTAAAAGAAAAGCAACAGACTGCAGGATTACAAACTGAGTGGAGAAAGTGAGGTAAGAGGGACACTGTCAATCTAAAAAAGGACAAGAAAGAAGATTTTTAAAAAACAAAATGTGTAACAAAGACGCAAAAGATATGACAGTGGATTTAAACTCACTCTTATCAGTAACAAAATGCAGCTATTTACCATGCAAGAGATTTAAAACAAACACACAGAAAGGTCAACAGTACCAGGAAGGAGCAGGGCCACCAGACAAGTGCACCTCTGAGCAGAAGGTGCCTGCGGGTCCCCCCTGCCAGGAGGAAGTGGGCATTGCAGCTTGGATGCACCTAATGGGAGGGCGTCAGAGCACATGAAAACAGCAAAGCTGACAGGGTAAAGGGCCAGGTGCAAGGAAACCTGTGTTCCCCGTGGCAGCCTCATGCCCCCGCCTGCCAGGGGAAGGGTCACTCTGCCTTGCCCAGCATGGAGTCTCCCGGAGGTCACAGGAAGCCAGGTGCCCCTGGGCCAGCCTCTGTCCATGACTAAGATGGCAAAGAAAGGAAGGGCCAGCAGACCCATGCTCCGGAGGCCTCGGCGAGGAAGGGGGACCCCAGTGGGCTGGTGGGTGGTAGACACGCCCTGCCCTTTGCTGGGAGCTGGGAGGTGTGAGCTTGGGAAGACATAGTGATGTATGGTACAGACAAGGTTGTCCTTGGGCTCCTGAGGGGGCTCAGATCAGGCAGTTCCCAGGGGTCTGCTCACAGGCAGCAGTGGATGCCCTGCAGAGGACAAGGCTTGGAGTAGCCGGAACCAAGACACAGGGTGAGGGGCAGCCTCCAGTGTGTGCTGGAGCCTGGGGCCAACAGAGCAGCCAGGCAGTTTTGGGACCTTAGAGGAAGGCAGAAACAGCAGCTTCCCTGTGGGGGTGCTGTGCAGGGCCCACCGGAGCCAGTGAGGATCCCAAAACGCCTGGAGAGGAGAGGTCCCCGTGGGTACCTGAGAGACTGGGGCCTGGCTCCATGTCACTTTCTGTCCCACGTGGCCTACAGCCATGGGAACTCATGCAGAAAGTCGGGGTGCAGAGCCGGGTGGAGGGCTCGGGGAGCATCATTCCAGGGGGAGCATCATTCCAGAGGGACCCCTAAGCCTGGAGTCTGAGCTGGGTACCTGTCCAAGGGCAAGGGGCTGCCCAGGAGGCTGGACACCACGGCTGCGCAGTGCTGGGTGGCCAGGAGGTACACGCTGTGCTGGGCGGCCGGCAGGACGTGCTCTCCCTGGGCCTCCTGAAGCTTGGAGCGCAGGACGCTCACGATCTCGGGCACCTGTAGATGGGCGGGACACGGTGGTCAGGCCACGCGTGGGGGACAGCTGTGGGCACACCTACGCCAGCCCAAGGGGGTGGGGCCATGAGGGAGCCCCATGAGATGCAGAGCTCCATACTGCTGGTTCCAGCCTGAGGTAGGGCCAGGATCCCCCGTGGGCCACGGACAGCCCAGAAGCCAAGGAACTGGAGCCACGACCTGGATTCTGCGTGCAAAGTGGCCAGTGCCCCGGGAGGTAGAGGAAGCGCCAAGGGCACATGTGGCCCAGAGGCTGGTTCGGAGCTGGGCAGGCATCCAACAGAGCCAGCGGCCCCATGCCCTCACAGCACGCCTGCTGGGTGCAACTCTCAGGCTCCCCTGGCAGGCCCACCGGAGGCAGGACCCACACAGCTGCCAACGGCACTCCTGCGGGAGCTGGGCTGGGGACGTGGCGGGAAGGGAGAAGGAGACAGATTCCCAGACCGAGGATGGAGCTGGGCCTGAGACGGAAGGATGGGACTTGGGGGGGGCTGTGAGTTTGCGACTGTCCTGCTGCTCCAGAAAGCAGGTGAACGGAACGCGGGGGAAACGTGGGCAGGAGGACGCTGGCCCTGGGACCCCCAGGCCCACCACAAGTCCAGCAGCAGCATAGCATGAGCCTCACTCTGGGGGACGGCCTTGTCACGAGGGGGCTCCCTGCTCATGATGGGTATTGGCCTGGGAGTCTCCTCTCCACCCTCAGCCATGGTGACCCCTACTGCCAAATGCTTACTGCACAGCTGGAAAATACCACCATGTTGGGTGAAAACAAAGCAATGGGCCATGAGGTCAGGCTTGCCTCTCCCTAGGGGACGGCTGACACCCTGTGGGCTAAGGGAAACATGAGCGCTTTCACCCGCCTTTTCACTTCCTTTTCCCCCCTTATTCTCTCAGCACTTGTTTTTGCCAAATTCTAACCCCTGTCTTCAGACATAAGAGAAAGATTTCTCCATGGTAGTCCTGTAGGGAGAGGGGGCAGAGCAGTGGGGGTCACACCCGAGGAGGGCTGGGCAGGGTGGTCCAGGACAGGCCAGGGCCAGCCTCACTGTTTTCTCCCGCAGTGCCACCTCTCCAAGAGCCACTACCCCACTCCTGCCCTGCCCGTCCCACCGCGCCCTCTCCCACCTTCTCCTGGAGCACCCCCCGCGCCCCGCCCTCTCCCACCTTCTCCTGGAGCACACCGCCCCGCTCCTGCAGCAGGCAGTTGATCATGACGGTAGCTGCTCGGGAGCAGTTCTTTTCGGGGTCTCCCAGGGCCTCAAACATGGTTAGCAAGAGGCTGATGAGCTGGTCTGGGGGGAGGCGCTTGGCAATAATCTAGGAGGAAGGCGATGCCAGAGGTTGAGGGAAGGGGGGCACCCCCAACGCCACTTCTGTTAGGCATCGGGTCTCAGGGGCTCGCGTTAGGGCGGGAAGCCACACCCCTTCTTGCAGCCGGGCCCCAGCCGCTGGGCCCTGCGCCTTCAATGAGCTCGCTGCACGGGGGTGGGGTCTCCTTCTCCGGAACCTGCCAGGGCCTGCTGGAACCTGGGCGGGCTCCTGGAAGGTGGTGCCTGGGCAGCTGCAGGGCTGGGGTCACAGTACCCTCCCTCAGGCTCCTTCTGACCAGTGAAGTGGGCTGGGAGCAGCCCTGTGGTGCAGTCGCCCTGGAGCTCTCTAGAACACGGGGTCAAGGGCAGGTGAGCCTTAGCTCACACCTGTGATCCCAGCACCAGAAAAGGCCCTGGTGACCTACCCCTCCTTCCTCTGCAGGAGACACAGTCTCTGGACCTGGAAGGCCATTCCTAAGCACCAAATGGAGACAGGCCGTGTTCCAGCTTGGGGACCCACATGAGAGCACGGAGGGAGGGGCAGCTTTCTCATCCCCTTGGAAGGACTCTTTTTTTCCCCCCCGTAATGCAATACTTTAATAATACTCAAGCTTGTGTTGTGAGCTGAGCCTCAGAGTAGACCAGGCAGGCATGGGTCGGGGAGGGGACGCGGTGCCCAGGGTCATCCTCCCTTCAGATGGCAGTAGACAAAGCACCTTGACCAGCTGGAACCAAGGGCAGGCCCCTTGGCAAGAGGGCTAGAGCCCGCTGCACCCTGCAGGCGATGACCCTAGCCCCCCACGTGGCTCTTGGGTAGCCTCTGGGGACAACACCACACAGGGCAGCCGCTGAAGATTCTGTTCCAGAAACCTGCATCTTCATGAGCAGGCCAGGGTATCAGTGGCAGACAGAGGGCGGCTGTGCCTCATGGCACCCCATTCTCTCCTTGGCCTCTGCCAGGTCTCAAGACAAATAGCACCTTCCTCTCATATGGACTGCACTGCCCCAGCGTAGGCGGGTGTGGGTGATGGGGCCAGCGCAGGGCAGCGCCGGCAACTAATGCAAACACCCAGGCCCTGCTCATGCCCACTGGCCATGGGTGGCACTTCCAGAGGCTAGGGGAGGCCAGGTGCCACCTCGGAAGTCCCTGTTAGCCCCAGACAGTGCCAGCCTGCCTTCCGGCCGCAGAGCTCCCAGCTGGTACCTGGCCTACACTGTGGCAGGTGTGGAAGAGAATGGCGGGGTCAGGGTGCACGAGGCCGTCCTTGAGGCTGAGGAGCCGCTCCGCCACGTCATCGCGGTAGTCCCGGGAGAAGCCTGAGAGGCGGCAGGAATGAGCAGTCGGGCCCAGGCCCTCCCTGGCGATCCCACAGCCTGGACTCCGCACCTCATCCCTCCAAGCACCCCTGCACGACCACTGGCCCCCACACTCCTGACGAGGGCTCACCCTCATAGCCGAGCTGGAGGTACAGCAGGGAGTAGACACAGTCCACGGCCTCCTGGCGGGTGGCAGGCCACAGGTCCGCACACCGTGGGGAGAAGAGGCCGATGAGAAGGCCCAGGTTGTGGAAGGGCACCAGGGCCTGGAGGAGGAGATGCCTGGGCTATTAGAATGCTGGGGGTGGGTGGATGCCACCTATGCCACCTGTACCCAGAGGAGGGCTGGAGTGTGGCCAGGAGTGCTGCTGGTGTCCACGAAGCCCTGGGCCCTCAGTGTGGCCAACACAGCTCCCAGTGAGTTCCTCCCTCCCCTCCTGCTGCAGCGTGGGCGCTGCTCAGCTCAGCTCTGACCACACCTCGTCTACACCAGGGCCACACAGGCTCCCAGGCCGGGCCCCTACAAGAAGGAGGGCCAGGCCATGCCGACGTGGGCACGCAGGCGTGTGCAGGCAGACGGACAACTGGGGTGAGGAGGGGGCCCCAAATGGGAGGAGTGCACGGGCTCTGCCAATTTGGGTGAGGGGCAGGACTGTACAAGACCCCCTCACACCCTGACTGTCCTGGTCCTGCCTTCCAGAGCCTTTCTGCTCTCCTCAGTCCTGCTCCTCCCATGCTCCTATAGGCAGACAGCTTCCTCCTACTTCCACACCTCCTCCCTGGCAGACGCACCTGTCCCCCTCCCACCACCTGCTCCCTTTTCAGCCCCCACGTGCGAGGCCTTCCTGGGAGGTGCTCCCACCCTACCCTTGCACAGGATCCTGGGCTCAGATGGAAACCTGGTATCTACTTGGGCGCCACTGATGAGAAAGAATTTCAAGTCAGAAGGGAAAGGCTGGAATGTTAGAGAAAGACTGCAGGGTGACCAGCCATTGTTCTTAGACTGGGCATCCATCACATCATGCACCAAGGTAAGCTTCAGCCAGACCAGGGTTATGTGATGAACAGGCCATGAAAGTATGAGGTGGGAAGAGCCCTGAACACACGAGATTTGACCACATAAAGAATGAAAGTTTCGGCAGGGCGCGGTGGCTCATGCCTGTAATCCCAGCACTTTGGGAGGCTGAGGTGGGCAGATCACTTGAGGTCAGGAGTTCAAGACCAGTCTGGGAATTCAAGACCAGTTCAAGGCCAACAGGATGAAACCCCATCTCTACTAAAAATACAAAAATTAGCCGGCAGTGGTGGTGGGCGCCTGTAATCCCAGCTACTCGGGAGGCTGGGGCAGGAGAATCGCTTGAACCCAGGAGGCGGAGGTTGCTGTGAGCCAAGATTGCGCCACTGCACTCCAGCCTGGGTGAGAGCGAGAGACTCGGTCTCAGAAAGGAAAGAAAGGAAAGAAAGGAAGGAAGGAAAGGAAGGAAAGGAAGGAAAGGAAGGAGGAAGGGAGGGAGGGAGGGGAGGAAGGGAGGGAGGTGAGGGAGGGAGGGAAAGAAAAAAAAGAAAAGATAGTTTTGGTGCATTAACAAAAGGCCAGGTGCAGTGGCTCCCATCTGTAACCCCAGCATCTGTCATCCCAGCACTTTAGGAGGCCGAGACAGGAGGATCACTTGAGCCCAAGAGTTCAAGACCAGCCTGGGCAATGTAGCAAGACCCATCTCTACAAAAAATAAAAGAAAATCAGCTGGGTGTGGTGGCATGCACCTGTAGTCTCAGCTACTCGGGAGGCCAAGGCGGGAGGATCACTTGAGCCCAGGAGTTCCAGGCTGCAGTGAGCTGTGTTTGCACCATTGCACTCCAGCCTGGGCAACAGAGTGAGACCCTGTCTCAGGGAAAAAAAGAGAGAGAAAAGAAAGCCTAGAATAATCCTGACAGATGATAAAAAGATATTTAGCAAAATCTAATACCTGTTCCTGATAAAAGTTCTCATTAAAACAAATAGATGCTTCTGGAACATGATAAAAATATCGCCAACCAAATCAAGCACCGCGCTCAACAGTGAAGCCCTGGAGACCAGAGGTGCATGTTCCTTCCGGCTAACAGTGGACCCCTGATGACAACGGACTCTATTCTGAGCAGCCATCCCTGACAACTCCTGGCCCTGACAGGCCCTCAATCCAGGTCTCAAGGAAGAGGACTGTGGCCTGAGCTGGGGCGGCGGCCAGAGGAAGCCAGGAAGGCAGCTCACACTCTGGGTCATGAGTAACACAGGCAGCAGCACCCGGGCCAGGGACCCAGGTACTCACGCTGACACGCAGGTGCTCCAGGAAGTAGCGCAGCAGGAGGGCGCTCAGGCCCAGGGCCCGCGCCCGCTCGTGACCTCTTGGGGACTTGATCCATGGGCTCAGGTGCTGAGGAAGAGGGGCGTCACACAGGTACTGCTCAGAGGGCAGCCCTGGGGGCAGGAGCCTTGTGCATCGTGGGCCAGCTCAGTGTCCCTGCCAGGCCATCCTTCCTGGGCTACAGGGGGCCAAGCCGGGGACCCAGAGTGGTGCCAGCCTTAGGCCACCGTAGCTCCTCTGGCCCTGCCACTCTGTCCTCCAGTCTGGTCACAGACACAACCCAGCCCAGGTGGATCCAGGGCCAGCCAGGACTGTGGAGGGACAGGGTGGAGGCCACCTTGGTCCTAGAAGAACACACTCCGAGCATGGGGGTCGGCCCCACCCTAGCACCACCCTGGTAGCGGCCCCCAGTCAGGAGCCATGGGTACCCGTGGGCCCCTCCATCCCCGCGCCATGCAGTGGCGGGAGAGGACAGGCTCCAGAGGTCCCACCTGGGTCAGGGCCTCCCCAACTGCTTGCCAGCCCAGATGGGAGGGGGTGCACCTGCCTGTTCATAAACCACCCCCAAGTGCAGAGAGCACCAAACTGTCCCTGTGGTGCCCACATGTGGAGAGAGGGCCAGCAGCCAGGTGGAGTGCCCTCTGTGCCCCCATCCCCATCCCCATGACAGTTCCCCCCTGCACACCTCAATCATGATCTGCAGGCCTTGGGGGGTCATGTTCCGCTGCAGGAGGCTCGTCAGCAGATCCTCAAGGGCGTGCAGTGTCTCCAGATACAGGGACTGGAAGGAGAGCCAGGCCGTCCAGCCCCACCAGTGACCCCGCAGCCTACAGTGGCCTCCCACCACTCTCACGGATGTGGACACAGGCAAGGGAAACACAGGGATACCTTCTGGCAGCCTCCGTCCTCCTCCTTGGGCTCAGGCAGCAGGGCCATGATGCTGTGCAGGCAGCCATGGATCACATCCGCCCGGGCCTGCTCGTCCAGCGCTGGCTCCACGGAGCTGAGAGGCAAGTTAAGGGCCCCAGACAATGATCCTAAGGCTGAAACTCAGACACCCAGTAACCTCCAGGCCTGTGTGGGCAGCACAGCCACTGCCATGTTTACTCTGCTCCAGACCATGGCGGCACCCCATGCAGCATGCGCACACACAAGGCGTGCACACACGCAAGCACAGGCACACACACGCACATGCACACGCGCATACACGTGCACACACAATGCACACACATGCACGCACACACGCAGCTGCACGGGCCTGTGCAGAGGCAGGAAAGGATACACCAAGTAAGTGCAGGTGAGCATGGCTTTCTTCCGAATAGGTGTCCTCAAGGAGTCCGGGGGCTCTGCCCTGATGAACTCCTGGGTGAGGCAGGTGCATGACTCAGCCCTTGGAGGAAACGCCAGCTCTCCTCCCTGGTCAAGCTCTGTCCCCCAGCCTAAGTGACAGGCGGGGCCCGAGGAGCAGAGCCCCATGTGTCCCTACATGGCCCCTCCCATGTTCCCAGGCTGTCTTCACATTATCACCCTCAGTGCCCCAGTCCCCACCTCTGGCCTCAGTCTCCCAGGAACCTGCCTGAGGACCTGCCAGGCCACGGCCACGCTCACCATCATCTGTGCCACCAGCTCTGCTTTCCGGGTGAAGTGGAAGGAGCCAGCCTGGGTGCTGCTGCAGATGGCGCGGCTGACCATGCACACACTCTGGACAAGGCACAGCTTCAGGGCTGGGTCCTGCAGGGACGCAGGGCTACAGGAGACGCCCACGCCCGCCCTCCAGGGCTGAACCCGCGCATACCCCCTTTTCTTTCCTCTGAAACCAGAAGTGCTGCACTCTGCTCTCAAAGGAGCTCTCTAGCCAGCCCTTTTGCTTATCAAAGTCCATGTGGAAGAAGCGGGGGGCCACCCAGGGGTTCCCCCATGTCACACTCCAGAGAAGACAGGCCACAGAGCAGACACTGTGTGGTGTGACCAGAGGGCCCCCCACAGCAGGAGAAGAGTCCTCCGGGGAGTGCTGAAGGGCTGGGAGAAGAACCTCTCAGAACAGCCCCGCCCTCCCAGCCACCGCAGGAGAACCAGAGGGCCTATTCTTCAAGGAGGGGCTGACTGTCCTGAGAGAGGGGCTTGTCAGGTTAGTGCCAGGGAGGCCAGAAGGGAAACTTGTTAGTGAGGCTGGGGTGAGGCCTTGGGGGCCAGTGGAGCCTCCACTGCCACTTCCACTGGCTTTGGGCCTTGGCCCCTCTCCTAGGTGCTCACTGGGGTCCGGGGAGGTACAGCCCCCATGAGCACTGGGGAGCAGAGCCAGAGGAGGTTCCAGCTGTCCTGGGACGGGTGGGGCTGGCTGAACTCCCTGGGGGGCGACAGCCCACGACCCGGCCCCTCGGAGGCGCAGACGCCTCCCTTCTTCCCACTGCCGTCCAGGGCCCAGGCCAGGGAAGGAGCCCTGGTGATGCTCTCGAACGCCTCCTGGGGACGGAGACCAGGAAGCCCCAGCAAGCTCCAAGCTCCCCCTCCGGCCTCTGCCTATGAAGCTCAACCCGCCCAGAGGAGAGCCGAGAGGAGAGAAGCCAGTCCAGCACTTAATTCCTACACACTGTACCTTGGTTTCTACCTTTATTCCTAGAACCTGAACAACAAAAAGTGAAATGAGTTAAGACGTGACTCCCCGGCAGCCCCAGCTCCCCTGCGTGGCAGGCCCACCGCAGTGCCCACCTTGGTGCTGAAGTGCTGGCAGATGTTCCGGAGGATGTCTGACTCTACCTTGGCCAGCACCAGCTCCCGGGGGGCCCGGGCCGCCACGTGCCCATAGCACAGGATCAGAGCACTCTTCACCTTCTCCACTTCGTTCTCACTTCGATCCTGAGAGGCCAGAGGAACCAGCGGGACTTCAGTTACACAATTACACTCCCCGACGGGAATCCTCGGCTCAGAAACTCCTGAAATCCTCCCAGAAGAAGGGCCAGAGCCAGTCAGTGACAGCAGAGGTGTGACCCAGCCGTGCACGGCACCACCTGAATCTGGGGATGGGGAGAGCCTCTTTGCAAGGGGCAGGAGCACAGGCAGCCAGCCAGGCATGGGCCCACTGGGTACCGAGTAACAGAGGGCCAAGGGCCGAGGTAGCAGAGGGCCGAGGGTCAAGGCAGCACAGCCACGTGAGAGAGTCAGGCAGGAGGCAGCTGAGAAGAGCTCAAGGCCCCACCCTTGCTCGCTGCAGATCAGCCTCCATCCGCACAGCAAGGGCTGGGAAGCCCTGCATGCTTGGTCCAGCCCTGAGATGCTGTAACTGGGACAGTTACGGGAGACAGGAAATAGAGGGACCACAGCCGGGTTGGGGGCCTGCAGCAGGGGCCCACTCCTTCCTTAAACCAGGCTTAGGCTCCGCCAGCACAGCTGGTGGTTTGGCAAGAACGCAGAATCTGCCAGCCACCAGGGGGCAGAGGCCTGCCCCAGCCGCGAACCCCTCTCATCACCCACACCTGGCAGAGACGTGGCCCTGGCCACAGCTACGTTTGCCTCCGGGAGGCCATTCTGCCGCCCTCCCCACTGGGAGCACCCACGCACAGGTCCTGCCCATGGAAGGAATGCAGGAGCAAAAATTGGTCCAGGGACGCAACCAGCTTCCTGCCCCACTCCAGCCCGCAGGGCACCCCCTGAGCCTCAAACTTGTGGATAGACAGCCGTCCCCAGCCCTGCACCGGTGTCACCCTAACCTTAAAAATGTTGAGAATGCCAATGGATTTTCTGAAGACCTCTGACCTCACGAAGTCCTCCAGCTGGGCCAGCGTGTCCTCGAGGTGGGAGATGGCACAGATCCCGAAGCAGCAGGCGAGGCCCTGGGGGGCAGCACACTTACCCCGGGCAGGGAAGAGCACGCACTGCCACACATGCACGCACACTGTCACGTGTGGACACGGGCACACCCACATGTACACACATGCGCACACTTGCACACACATCAACACATGCACACACCCTCTCTGCATATACGCACACCACCTGTGTATGCACACACGCACACACAGGCACACAGGCTAGCCAGCTGCCTCAGAGAACAGCAGGTGCCACCGTCCTCCAGCCCTGGGGTGTCTGGGGCTTCTGCAGGGAAAGCGGCCCCACCTCGCGTTCTGCCTCCTCCTGGTATCTGGCCGTCTCCAGCAGCTCTTGAAGGTGCTTCCTCACCACCTCCTTACTTGAAGCAGCACCCAGGGTGGTGCCTATGCATTTGTACAGGAAGTTCTGAAACAAAACCAGAGAACACGGCTCTGCCTGACTCCTGAGTACAGGGAGACCCAGCGCTGCCATGGGGCTGCCCCTGGGGTGCACCTCCTGCCCACAAGCTGATGAGAACTGCAGGGTGAGTCTGGGGCAACATCTGAGGAATAAGCGGTGGGGCCGGTGGGCTCTCGCACTCCTGGCCCTCAGCCACCACAAGGAGGCTCTGCCAGGCCACCAGGGCCACGGGAGACAGGGCCCAGACAGCAAGTGACAGACACGAGACCCAGAAACTCGGAGCCCAAGTACCACACCAAGAACGCCAGCAGGTGCCCCACCTTCTCCTGGGGTGCCTCATCGTAGCAGGGCAGCTGCCTGCACAGCTCCAGGCTCAGCTGGCAGATCCACGCGTTGTCAGAAATGATGGCCAGGGTGTCTCGCAGGAACTGCAGGCCAAGATGCCACTGAGGGGCTGGGAGCCCGACCCCTCACAGGGCTGGCTGGAGCCTGGGCACATCCCCATGTGCTGTGGCTGCAGGGGCTGCAGACCGCCTTCCAGCGGAGGCCGGGGGCGGCAGAGCCAACCCTCAGGGGACAGCCATGCCACAGTTGGCTCACCAGGCAGGGTGAGAGGTTGCCCCCGACGCTTGGGGCTGCGACTGCTAGAGGGCCGGTGCCTTGTCACAGCAAGGCCCCCGCTGCAAGGCTGCTGGGGTCTTCAGCCTTGATGCTGCCTGATCCTTGGCTCCCCAGCCAAACCACGAGGTGAGGTCGAGGCAGGTGGCCCAGCCTCTGCCACCCCAGCACCCCCCAGGCCAGACAACACCTTAAGGCCCAGGATGGGCCGTACCCCGGCCCTCACCATCAACAGCTTCTCCTCCCACTCCTCCTGTGGCAGGGTCTCTTCTGTGTGCTCTGAAACGACAGCCGCGCAGGCCAGCCCATCCCAAAACGCACCAGTGGGGCTCAGAGCCCAGCACCTGCCCTGGAGCTGGGGATGCTCAGCACAGACAGGCCCCGCCGCCCCGCTGCCCCCCACCTGCTCCCAGGAAGCACCCAGCGGGAGTGCCTTTCAAGCCCCAGGTCATCTGGGGCCTTTCTTGGACAACAGGGGAGACTGTATTTTCCAATTATACAACCCTAGTCCCCATTGGCCACCCTAGTGCCACTTGGCAAAGGTGGGGTCAGAGCTAGCACCCTCCTACTCTGAGACCTGCCCTCCCCACAGGGCTATGCACCCCATCCTGACCCTGGCCTCACCATCCAGGTACCCCAGCAGCAGCGGGACAGTCGTTTCCCAATGCTGACCCAGCAAAGGGTGAATGTTTGGGTGCAGAACACTGAGGAGGCGCAGCGCCGCTGCCCCACGTCCGTCCCCTAGGTAGGGGCTGGAAGACACAACCTGAAAAGAGGCAGCGTGGGAGCCGGGTCTGAGCAGGGAGCACTGGTCATGCCCACAACCTGCACCTGCAGGACCACATCACCCGACGGGGAGCCTGGCTCTTCCCAAAGCTGGGCCGCCCACGTAGAGGAAAACCACACCTGAGCCCTGACCGCGGCTGCCCACTGAGAAGGTAACCCCTTCCAAGCCTGGGTGGAGCACAGGGACACAGAGTGGGGCGCTGGGCACGCTGTGAAAGGGCGAGGCTCACCAACAGTCTTCCGGTTACAGCATAGGGAGACGGGAGGCTCGCTGGAGATGAGAGGTGGAAATAGTCAGTGGGGGGCTGCCTGTAGCCCTGGGGCGGGTGTCAGGAACTGGAGGATGGGGAAGTGGGGGCAGGAGTGGGGAAGTGGGGGCAGGAGTGGGGAGGTGGGGTACGGCGCGGCACGCACCATGGGCGTCGTACTGGATGAGGAAGGCGTCGGCCCCGGCCTCCTGCCTCTTCTGCGCCAGATGCACGAGGCTCCTGCAGAGCGGAGTCAGGGCCCCAGTGAAGCGCACAGGGGTGAGGAACTGGAGCAGGTATGGCCAGAGGACCTAGGGGAGCAGAGGGCCTGGTCTGCATCCGCCCAGAGGGCGGTCCCATGCAGACAGGGCCCTGCCGGAGCTCCAAGGTGGAGACAGACCCTTTGCTGGGCCTGAGCACCCTGGGCCACTGCCCTGGAGAGCTCTGTTGTCGCCAGGCAGGGACGGGTGCCGTGCACTCACGTGACTCATCCTGTCCACGGTGGTGCTGACCAGGTAGAGGGTGCGCACGCTGATGGCCCGCACGCTGTCGGCCTTGGGGTCCTTGCTGCCGGGGCCTGGCTTCTCAGGCTGGAGGAAGGCAAAAGGCAAAGGCGTGCGTGGGCGGCCATGGCTCTGGGCCTGAGGACACAGCCTGCCCGGAAGCGGGGCAGACCCTGAGCCTCGCCGCAGGTCACGCAGACATGTGCACCACCTGCCACAGACAGGAAAGGCACTCTCCGCTAAGATCACCCAAGAAAGCAGGCTTACCTGCCTCAGTTCTCATCTTCAAAACAAACAAAACCTTGAGCATTTGCTAAGCTACTGACTCCATAAAAAATCACTGCTCGTGAGGTTGCAATGCCTGCAGGGGAGGAACAGGATAGCCTCTGTGGGAACGTTACCCATGTCAGAAAACCTGGTTCCCACCAGGACGCCACCCAGCCTCGGCAGCCACGGTGGGCTGGATGTCTGCTGTCCTCTCTGTACGCTCAGCTCCCCAGAAGGCGTCCCTGTAAGCAGACGACTTCTGTTTCCCACACGTTCCATTCAGGTTTTGAAATACCAAAAAGTAAAAGCTCAACCACAAAGCGGCATATTTGGAAAAATGGCAACACTGCAGGGACTTCTAATCCCTCTCTTTCAGAAGCTGAAAGTCACACAGAAAAAAAAAAAAAAACAGTGATATTTAGGCCTTGAACTTCAATTTTTACAGTAGGCACTAAAAATATAGATAGAACTTCATACCAAACATACACTTTGAAATCCTGACCATTAGGCCAAAAATAATATTGCAACCAACACTTAAAAGCAGAAATCAACCTGGCCAGATTCAATATAACAATAAATCCACAACACCCATGAAAACCTATCGACCTGGAGATTTTAAAGATCATAAAAGAATCATTTGCGTTAATAAAGAAACCAAATAGAAACTGCAAAATACCTGATAACGAACAGTGAGGACATACTCCACCAGAAACACGAACGTTAGGACACAGACTGGGGACAATGCCTGTGCGAAAAAATGCACCAAAAGTACCGCAACAGGGAAACAAGGAACCACAACGGGGAAATGAGGAGCCAAGAACAAGGAAAATCCCAGCGACAGGGTGTGAAAAAGTATAACCGTGAAATAAAGAATTCAATTCAGGAAACGAATAATGTAACGATTCACTGAGGAAGAAATTACTAACTTGGAAGAACAGGCTGCCGAAGACTTCAAGGAAGAAGAAATTTAAAAAGAATGGAAGAAGAAAAAGCTAAAAGATGTGAAGACAGCAGTGCTAGCCTTCGGATAACAGATACACCAAAGTCAGTGAGACACAAAAACAGGGGCAAGAAATACTCAAGAAATAAAGGAGCGAGCTTCCCAGAAACAAGAGACCAATAGCTCATGGAAGGGTCCGCAGAGCAGAGGCACGGGCAGCCCCAGGTGAGCTGGGACACCGTCCTGCGCCAGAAAGGGCAACAGGGCCTCAGGACAGGGGCCTGCGCGCTCGAAGGGTGCTACCGACCAAGTGTGGGACAGTTTGAACACCAAGGCCAGCAACAGGGACTGCGCATGGACCCCTGCGTCAAACAGCAAACCACGAGTCCATGCGGAGAGAGATGCATGCACATAAGAATAGGAGAGGCTCTGGCCAGGCGTGGTGGCTCATGCCTATAATCCCAGCACTTTCGGAGGCCGAGTTGAGCGGATCACAAGGTCAGGAGATCGAGACCATCCTGGCCAACACGGTGAAACCCCGTCTCTACTAAAAATACAAAAAATTAGCCGGGCGTGGTGGCGGGCGCCTGTAGTCCCAGCTACTCGGGAGGCTGAGGCAGAAGAACGGCGTGAACCTGGCAGGCGGAGCTTGCAGTGAGTCGAGATTACCCCACTGCACTCCAGCCTGGGCGACAGAGCGAGACTCCATCTCAAAAAAAAAAAAAAAAAAAAAAAAAAAGGAATAGGAGAGGCTCTGTCACAACAGAGGCCAAAGAACTAAGTACAGCAATATCACTGGAGTTAGAAAACCATCCATAGATAATTAAAAACAATTGATGTTGACTAAGTGTTTATTTACTTATTTTATTTTGTTTTATTTTATTTTATTTTTTGAGATGGAGTCTCGCTCTGTCACCCAGGCTGGAGTGCAGTGGGGTGATCTCAGCTCACTGCAACCTCTGCCTCCCGGGTTCAAGCAATTCTCCTCCCTCAGCCTCCCGAGTAGCTGAGATTACAGGCGCCCACCACCATACCTGGCTAAATTTTTTGTATTTTTAGTAGAGATGGGGTTTCACCATGTTGGCCAGGCTGGTCTTGAACTCCCGACTTCAAGTGATCCACCCACCTCGGCCTCCCAAAGTGCTGGGATTACAGGCGTGAGCCACCGCACCCGGCCTGATGCTGACTAAATGTTTAATCACAAGAAGATGTTTACTTAATCCCAAAGATCTCCCTACAAACTACTTATTTATTACAAGGCAGAAACAGCAACTTTCCAGTGCAGAAACCGAGCATAGACAAGTGATCAGAACTAACAAGATCAACACTGAAACAAACCAACACTAGGACCCCCGATATGATACACTGGTGGGGACATGCACGATTCCATGAGATTCCTCCCAAAACTGCATCACCTGGATCAAATCATGAGAAAACACCACCATACCTGAGCTATTCAACAAAATAACTGGTCTCAATTCTTTGAAAGTATCCAGGTCAACAAACACAAGGGCAGGAGGCTAACAGGGCACAGCAGCCACATAATGTATGTGTCTGGGCTGTACCCTATACCAGAAAGCAGCTAAAGGGACAGAACTGGGATGACCGAGGAAGTGCATGGATCAGGTGACATTATGGTCTCCATGTAGAATTTCCTGATTCCAACATCTGGACTATGGTTGTGTAGAACAATGTCCTTATTCTTAGGAAATAAACAAGATATTTAGTAGTCAGTGATAAAGGGACACGATGTCTCAATTTTCTCCCAAATGAGTTGGAAAAAAATTGTGCATGTATGTACCTATATGTGTGTGTACAGATTACAAATATCATACAAAGGCATAAGAAAAGCATATACCATGATCTCTTACATAGACATGAAAATCCTCAACAAAATACCAGCAAACTGAACACAACAATGTATAAAAACGATTATACACCATGACCAAGTGGGATTTATCCCAGGAATGCAGGTTTAACATCTGAAAATCACTTAATGAAATGCACCATATCACTAAAATAAAGAACAAAAACGACAAGCTCATCTTAGACACAGTAAACAGCACATCAAATCTAGTACTTCTTCATAACAAAACCGTTCAGCAAAGCAGGACTAGAAGGTGGTACCTGTGACCTGATGAAGCCCCACAGCAGGAATCATACCTGATGGTACCGGCCTAAATGCTTCTACACAAAGAGAAGGAACAAGACAAGGCTGTCTGCTCGCACCGATTTTATTCAACAGTATTGGACGTTCTAGCTGGGACAGCTAAGCAAGGAAATTAAATAAAACGCATCCAGACTGAAAAAAAAGAAGTAAAACTATAGTTGTAGATGACACAATCCTTATAGAAATCCTAAGAAATCCAATAAAAACTATTAAAATAAGCAAGTTCAACAAGGTTGCAGTATACAAGATCGATATGAAAGAATAATTGTAGGCCAGGCACAGTGGCTTATGCCTGTAATCCTTGCACTTTGGGAGGCCAAGATGGGCAGACTGCCTGAGCTCAGGAGTTTGAGACCAGCCTGGCCAACATGGTGAAACCCTGTCTCTACTAAAATACAAAAACAAATCAGCTGGGCATGGTGGCGCACGCCTGTAATCCCAGCTACGCGGGAGGCTGAGGCATGAGAACTGCTTGAACCTGGGAGGCGGAGGTCACAGTGAGCCGAGAGGGTGCCATTGCACTGCAGCCTGGGCAACAAAGTGAAACTCTGTCTCAAAAAAAAAAAAAAAAAAAGAAAGAAAAAGGATAATTGTTTTTCTATACAGTAGCAAATAATAAACTGAAAATGAAATTAAGAAAATAATTCCGACTAGGTGCAGTGGCTCACACCTGTGGTCCCAGCACTTAAGGAGGCCAAGGTGGGTAGATGGCTTGAGGTCAGGAGTTCAAGACCAGCCTGGCCAACATGGTGAAACCCCATTTTTACCAAAAAAAAAAAAAATTAGCCAGACATGGTGGTGGGCGCCTGTAATCCCAGCTACTCAGGAGACTAAGGCAGGAGAATTGCTTGAACTCAGGAAGTGGAGACTGCAGTGAGCCGAGACTGTGCCACTGCACTCCAGCCTGGGAGACAGAGCAAGACTCTTTTTGAAAAAAAAAAAAAAAAAAAAAAAAAAAAAAAAAAAACGAAAAAGAAAGAAAATAATTCCATTTACAATAGCATCAAAAAGAGTAAAATATTTATGAATAAATCTAACGAAAAACGTGCAAAACGTATACTATGAAAACTACAAAATGTTAAAATAAAGACCTAAATAATAGAAATACATCCCATGTTCATAGATACAAAGATTTTGATATTGTTAAAATGGAACTACAGCCGGGCGCGGTGGCTCACGCCTTAATTCCAGCACTTTGGGAGGCCGAGGCCGGCGGATCACGAGGTCAGGAGATCGAGACCGTCCTGGCTAACACGGTGAAACCCCGTCTCTACTAAAAATACAAAAAATTAGCGGGGCGTGGTTGCAGGCGCCTGTAGTCCCAGCTGCTCGGGAGGCTGAGGCAGGAGAATGGCGTGAACCCGGGAGGCAGAGCTTGCAGTGAGCCGAGATCGCGCCACTGCACTCCAGCCTGGGCGACAGAGCAAGACTCCGTCTCAAAAATAAATGCATAAATAAAAAGATGGAACTACTCCCCAAACATATACAGATTCAGTGCAATCCCTATAAAAATTCCGGATGACTTCTGTGCAAGAATTGACAAGCGGATGCTAAAATAAATTCACATGGGAATTCAAGGGACCCAAAATAGCCAAATGATCTTGAAAAAGAACAAAGTTGGAGAACTTGTATTTCCCAATTTCAGAATTTGCTACAAAGCAACAATGTTCACAGCAGCATTATTCACAGGAGCCAGAAGGTGGCAGCACCCCGAGTGTCCATGAAGGGACAAGTGGGATAAGCACTTCGCCATCTCCACACAGGGAATATTGAGCCCTGAAGGAGTGAAATTCTGGCAGCGCCACACCATGGGAGAACATTCAGGACCTTATGCTGAGTGGGAGAAGCCAGACACAAAAGGACAAACGCTGTTTACGTCCACTTACACGAAGTGCCTCGAGCAGTGAAATTCGTAGAGAGAGAAGGTGGATGGTGGGTGCAGGAGCTGCGGGAGAGAGAAGGTGGATGGTGGGGTGCAGGAGCTGCGGGAGAGAGAAGGTGGATGGTGGGGTGCAGGAGCTGCGGGGGAGAGAAGGTGGATGGTGGGTGCAGGAGCTGCGGGGGAGGGAAGGTGGATGGTGGGTGCAGGAGCTGCGGGGGAGGGAAGGTTGATGGTGGGTGCAGGAGCTGCGGGGGAGGGAATGGGAGTTAGCATTTAATGAGGACAGAGTTTCTGTTTGGGAACATGGACAAGCTCTGGAGCTGGAAGGTGGTGATGGCTCCACAACAATGTGAATGAGCTTAAAGTCGCTGAAGTGTGCACTTAAAATGGGTTGAGACAGTCAAGTTTATGATATTTTACCATCATAAAAATGTTTTACTGAAAAAGCAATCATGGCCAGGTGCTGTGGCTCTTGCTTGTAATCCCAGCCCTTTGGGAGGCCAAGGCAGAAAGACTTCTTGAGCCCAGGAGCTCTAGACTGGCCTGGGCAACACAGAGAGACCCCATCCCTACAAAAACAGAACTTAATATTAGCCAGGTGTGGTGGTGCCCACCTGTGGTCCCAGCTACTTGGGAGACTGAGGCAGGAGGACTGCTTGAGCCTGCGAGGTTGAGGCTGCAGTAAGCCATGATTGCATCACTATACTCCAACCTGGGTAACAAAGCAAGACCCTGTCTCATAAAATAAATAAATAAATAAATAAATAAATAAATAAATAAATAAATAAATAGGCCAGGTGCGGTGGCTCACGCCTGTAATCCCAGCACTTTGGGAGGCCGAGGTGGGCAGATCACGAGGTCAGGAGATCGAGACCATCCTAGCTAACACGGTGAAAACCCATCTCTACTGAAAATACAAAAAATTAGCCAAGCGTGGCGGTGTGCGCATGTAGTCCCAGCTACTCAGGAGGCTGAGGCAGGAGAATGGCATGAACCCGGGAGGCGGAGGTTGCCGTGAGCTGAGATTGCGCCACTGCACTCCAGCCCGGGGGACAGAGCAAGACTCTGTCTCAAAAATAAATAAATAAATAAATAAATAAATAAATAAACAAACAAACAAAGCACTCAATCTAATCTACCATACTAACAGTCAAAAGAAGATAAAATACATAATTTCACCAATAGATGCACAAAAATGTTTCAATTTTGACATCAATCCATAAAATCCATAATAAAGTCTCAGAAAACTAGAAATAGAAAGGAATTTCTTCAAGCTCATAAAGGGCATCAATGAAAACCTATTACAGGTGGGAGCAAAAACAGTGCCTCTCATGGAGACAGAGAGTAGGCTGGTGGTTACCAGAGGCCGGGAAGGGTAGAAGGTGGGGGTATGAAGAGAGGCTGATTAATGGGTACAAATATATATTCAGAAAAAAGACCTAGTATCCTATAGATCAGTAGGGTGACTATAGTTTACCCTACTATAGATTATGGATTATAGTATAATCTATTGTACATTTCCAAATCGCTAGAAAGGAATAATTAGAATGCTTCTAGCATAAAGAAAGAACCAACATGCAAGGTGGTGGCTATCCCAGTTACCTGGATTTGATCTCTACACATAATATGAATGTATTAAGTTATCACAGGTACCCCGAGTATATGTACATCTATCATGTGTCAATAAAAACAAGCAAGCAAGCCCATTTCGGGCGTGACGTTGTTTCACTGGGCTTCGCTTTACTGTACGTCACAGGGGCTGCATTTTAACCAAGTGGAAGGTCTGGGGCAGCCCTGTGTCCAGTGAGTCTACGGGCGCCTTTTTCAACAGCCTGTGCTTGGTGTGTGTCTCTGTGTCACATTTTGCTCATTCTTGGAATATTTCAAACTGTTTCATTAATATTATATCTGTGATGGTGATTTGTGATTAGAGATCTCTGATGTTACTATAATTGTTTTGGGGTGCTATGAACTGCAGTATATAAAACTGCAAGCTTAATCAACGAATGTTGGGTGTCCTGACCCACTGGCCAGCCACTCCCCACCTCTCGCCCTCTGCTAGGGTCTCCCTGCTCCCTGAAAGACAACAATAATGAAATTAGTCCAATTAAAACCCTACAATCACCTCTATGTGTTCATGTGAGAGGAAGAGCCGCACACCTCTCACTTTAAATCAGAGGCCAGAGTGCCTCTGCCCGGCCGCCCCTACTGGGAAGTGAGGAGCCCCTCTGCCCGGCCACCACCCCGTCTGGGAGGTGTGCCCAACAGCTCATTGAGAACGGGCCATGATGACAATGGCGGCTTTGTGGAATAGAAAGGCGGGAAAGGTGGGGAAAAGATTGAGAAATCGGATGGTTGCCGTGTCTGTGTAGAAAGAAGTAGACATGGGAGACTTTTCATTTTGTTCTGTACTAAGAAAACTTCTTCTGCCTTGGGATCCTGTTGATCTGTGACCTTACCCCCAACCCTGTGCTCTCTGAAACATGTGCTGTGTCCACTCAGGGTTAAATGGATTAAGGGCGGTGCAAGATGTGCTTTGTTAAACAGATGCTTGAAGGCAGCATGCTCGTTAAGAGTCATCACCACTCCCTAATCTCAAGTACCCAGGGACACAAACACTGCGGAAGGCCGCAGGGTCCTCTGCCTAGGAAAACCAGAGACCTTTGTTCACTTGTTTATCTGCTGACCTTCCCTCCACTATTGTCCTGTGACCCTGCCAAATCCCCCTCTGCGAGAAACACCCAAGAATGATCAATTAAAAAAAAAAAAAAAAAAAAAAAAGAAAACCTTTTAGTGAAGAAAAATCCAGGACCTGATGTCTTCACTGGTGAATTCTACCAAAGAATTCTTCTTAAAGAAGAATTAATGCCAATCCTTCTCAAACTCCTCCAAAAAATTAAAGAGGAGGGAACACCTTCTAACTAACTTTACCAAGTCAGCATTACCCTGATACTAAAGCTGGAAAAAGACATCACAAGAAAAAAATTATAAGCCAAGATGAACAATGATGTAAAAATCCTCAATAAAATACTAGCAAGCCATATTCAACAGCATATTAAAAGATCATTAAAAAAAAAAAAAGCCAGAAATGATTAAGCTTAGTGAGGAAGGCATGTCAAAAGCTGACACAGGCTAAAGGCCAGACCTCTTGTGCTAGTCAGCCATGTTGTGAATACAAAGGAAAAGCTCTTGAAGGAAATTAAAAGTGTTACTCCAGTGAACACACGAATGATAAGAAAACAAAACAGCCTTATTGCTGACACTGAGAAAGTCTGAATGGTCTGCATAGGGAATCAGACCGGCCAAACATTCCCTTAAGCCGAAGCCTAATCCAGAGCAACTCTTTTCAACTCTGTGAAGGCTGAGAGCAGAGAGGAAGCTGCAAAAGAAAAGCTGGAAGCTGGCAGAGGTTGGTTCATGAGGGTTAAGGAAAGAAGCCATCTCCATAACAAAAATACCAAGGTGCAGCAGAAATTGCTGATGGAGAAACCGCAACAAGTTGTCCAGGAGATTAGCAAAGAGCATTATTATTATTATTATTATTATTTTTGAGACAGAGTGTAGCTCTGTCGCCCAGGCTAGAGTGCAGTGGCGCCATCTCAGCTCACTGTAGCCTCTGCCTCCCAGGTTCAAGTGATTCTCCTGCCTCAGCTTCCCGAGTAGCTGGGAATACAGGTGTGGTCCACCACGCTTAGCTAATTTTTGTATTTTTAGTAGAGACGGGGTTTCACCATGTTGGCCAGGCTGGTCTCGAAGTCCTGACCTCAAGTGATCCGCTGGCCTCAGCTTCCCAAAGTGCTGGGATTACAGGCATAAGCTGTAATGACTGCAAAGGAAAAGCTAAGAGAAAACAAAAAAGCCTTATTGCTGGCATGGAGACATTTTAAGAGCATTTTATTATTTCTTTGTTTTTGTTTGAGACACAGTCTTGCTCTGTCACCCAGGTGGGCAGATCGCTTGAGCTCAGGAGTTTAAGACCAACCTGGGCAACATAGCAAAACCTATCTTTAAAAAAACAAGACAAAACAAAACAAAAATTAGCTGGGCATGTTGGTGTGTGCCTGTAGTCCCAGCTACTCAGGAGGGTGAGGTGGGAGGATTGAGTCCAGGAGGCTGAGGCTGCAGTGAGCTGTGATGGAGCCACTGAACTCCAGCCTGGGTCACAGAGTGAGACCCTATTCCAAAAAAAAAAAAAAAAAAAAATTCATAAGGTAATTAATCGATTGCTGCCATAGACAGTGATTTCTCTCACAGATCTGGGCAACAAAAACTGAAAACCTTCTGGGAAGGATTCACTATAGTAGATACCATGAAGAGCATTTGTGATTCATGGGAAGAGGTCAACAAAATCAACATGAACAAGAGTTTGGAAGAAGTTGATTCCAAACCTCATGGATAACTTTGACAGGGTCAAGACATCAGTGGAGGAAGTCACTGCAAATGTAGTGGAAACAGTAAGAGAATTAGAATTGGAAATGGAGCCTGAAGATGGAACTGAATTGCTGCGATCTCATGATCAAACCGGAATGGATGAGGTAGTGTTTCTTTTGGATGGGCAAAGAAAGTGGTTTTTTGAGACTGAATCTGCTCCTGGTGAAGATGCTGTGAACGTTGTTGAAACGACAACAAAGGATTCAGACTATTCCATAAACTTAGTTGATAAAGCAGTGGCAGGGTTTGAGAGGAATGACGCCCATTTTGAAAGATCTACTGTGGGTAAAATGCTATCAAATAGCAGTGCATAAGACATAGAAAAGTTTTGTGAACAGAAGAGTCAATCAATGCAGCAAACTTCATCATTGTCCTATTTTAAGAAATTGTTGGCCAGGTGCAGTGGCTTACGCCTGTAATCCCAGCACTTTGGGAGGCCGAGGCGGGTGGATCATGAGGTCAGGAGATTGCGACCATCTTGGCTAACATGGTGAAAACCTGTCTCTTCTAAAATACAAACAATTAGCTGGGTGTGGTGGCGTGTGGCTGTAATCCCAACTACTTGGGAGGCTGAGGCAGGGAAATTGCTTGAACCCGGGAGGTGGAGGTTGCTGTGAGCTGATATTGCGCCACTGCACTCCAGCCTGGCAACAGAGCAAGACTCTCCATCTCAAAAACAAGAAATTGTCACAGCCACCCTAACCTTCAGCAACCACCGCCCTGATCAGTCCAGCAGCTATCAATATCAAGGCAAGACCCTCCACCAACAAGAAGATTATGACTGGTGATGGCTCAGATGATCCTTAGCAATTTTTTTAGCAATAAAGTGTTTGTAAGTTAAGGCATGTACATTGCTTTTTAGACATAATGCTATTGCACATTTAATATACTACAGTATAGTGTAAACATAACTTCTTTTTGAGAGGTTCTCGTTCTGTTGCCCAGGCTGGAGCATAATAGTGTGATCACAGCTCACTGCAGCTTCAGCCTCCTGTGCTCAAGCAATCCTCCCACCTCAGCCTCTTGAGCAGCTGGGACCACCGGCATATGCCACCATACCCAGCTAATGTTTTTAAATTTTTTTGTAGAGATGAGGTCTGGTTACATTGTCCAGGCTGGTCTCAAATTCCTGGCCTTAAACGATTTTCCTGCCCCAGCCTCCTAAAGTGCTTCCCCAAACAACATTCTGTTTTCTTTTTTCAGGTAGGGTGTCACTATGTCACCCAGGCGGGAGCGCAGTGGTGTGATCACAGCTCACTGCAGCCTCGACTCCCTGGGCTCAAATGATCCTCCCACCTCAGCCTCTCGAGTGGCTGGGACCTGAGGCATGAGCCGTCAGGCCCAGCTAATTTTTTTTTTATTATTTGTAGAGATAAGGTCTCGCTATGTTGCCCAGGCTGGTCTCAAACTCCCAGGCTCAAGTGATCCTCCTGCCTTGGCCTCCCAAAGTGCTGGGATTACAGGTGTGAGCCACTGCGCTGGCCCAGCATTCAACTTTTTGTGTGTGTGTGACAGGGTCTCATTCTGTCACCCAGGCTGGAGTATAATGGCATGATCTTGGCTCACTGCAACCTCTGCCTCCCAGGCTCCAGTGATCTTCCTGCCTCAGCCTCCAGAGTAGCTGGGACTACAGGTATGTGCCACCATACCCAGCTAATTTTTGTATTTTTTGTGGAAATGGGGTTTCGCCAGATTGTCCAGGCTGGTTTTGAACTCCTGAACTCAAGGAGATTGAATGATCTGCCCGCCTCAGCCTCCCAAAGTGCTGGGATTACAGGCATGAGCCACTGCGCCCAGCCCCCAGCATTCTTAATAGTAAAAGGCAGTATGTTCCCCTTATGGGAACAAAGCAGGGGTGGCTGCTCTCACCACTTCTATTCATTCAGCAGCATGCTAGAGACTTCACCAATGTAGTAAGTCAAGAAAACAAAAAAAGCTAACCCAGATTTACAAATAAAAGTGCCTATATGAAGAAGACATGATGCTCTATGTAGAAAATCCCAAAGAATCTATAGAAAAGCAAAGCCACAGGATACATGGTCAATATCTAAAAATTAATTGTATATTCTGTATGCTAACGATGAACAGTTAGAAATTGAAATGAACAAAATTGTACCATTACAATGGCAGTAAAAACAAAATAGCTTTTACAAATCTAACAAAATACCAGAATATACAGAATCGACATGCTGAGAATTACAAAATACTGGTGAACAAAATCGAAGATCTAAATAAGTGTAGAAATGTACTGCTTTCATGGATTGGAAGACGGAATATTATCAACAAGATGACTCTAAAATTTACAGGGAAAAACAAAGGAACTAAAATAGCCAAAACATGATCGAAAAAGACCAAAGATGGAAGACTCACATTACCTGACTCCAGAACTTACTATAAAGCATCTGGGCATGGTGGCTCACGCCTGTAATCCCAGCACTTTGGGAGGCCGAGGCGGGTGGATCACTTCAGGCCAGGAGTTTGAGACCAGCCTGGCCAACACAGTGAAACTGCATCTCTACTGAAAATACAAAACTTAGACGGGTGTGGTGGTACACGCCTATAATCCCAGCTACTCAGGAGGCTGAGGCACGAGAATTGCTTGAACCTGGGAGGTGGAGGCTGCAGTGAGCCAGCATGGCACCATTTTACTCCAGCCTGAGTAATAGAGCAAGACTCCGTCTCAAAAAAAAAGAACAACGTAAAGCCATGGAAAGACAGTGTGGTACTGCTGACAGATGATGACAGATGCCGCAGATGAGTGGAGCTGGAGCGTTAGAGAGAATCCATACAGTTGCCTGATTTTCGACGAAGATGCAAGGCAATTTGTCAACGTACAGAGAAGAGTGTTCTCAACACGTGGTGCTGGGACAACTGGACATTCACATGCAAAAAAACGAGCCTCAAACACACCTCACATTTAACAAAAATTAACTCAAAAGGCCGGGCACAGTGGCTCATGCCTGTAATCCCAGCACTTTGGGAGGCCGAGGCGGGAGGATCACCTGAGGTCAGGAGTTTGAGACCAGCCTGTCCAACATGGTGAAACCCTGTCTCTACTAAAAATACAAAAATTAGCCTGGCGTGGTGGTGCACGTCTGCAATCCCAGCTACCCGGGAGGCTGAGGCACAAGAATTGCTTGAACCCAGGAGGTGGAGGTTGCAGTGAGCTGAGATCACGCCATTGCACTCCAGCCTGGGCAATAGGGTGAGACGCCACCTAAAAAAAAAAAAAAAAAAAAAAACTAAAAATGAATCATAGGCCTATATGTGAATCCTAAAACTTAAAACTTTTAGGCCACGTGCAGTGGCTCACACCTGTAATCCCAGCACTTTGGGAGGCCGGGGCAGGCAGATCACCTGAGGTCAGGAGTTCAAGACCAGCCTGGCCAACATGGTAAAACTCTGTGTCTACTAAAAATTTAAAAAATAAAAAATTAGCCAGGCATGGTGGTGCATGCCTGTGATCCCAGCTACTCAGGAGACTGAGGCAGGAGAATCGCCTGAACCTGGGAGGCAGAGGTTGCAGTGAGCCAAGATTGCACCACTGCACTCCAGCCTGGGCAACAGAGTGAGACTCCATCTCAAGTAAACTGGCCATTAAAAAAAAATTAAAACTTCTGCTCTCTGAAAGACAGTGTTAAGAAAGTAAAAAGACAAGCAACAGACCTGTAAGAAAATGTCTATGGGCAGGAGCAGAGGCCCATACGTATAATCCCAGCACTTTGGGAGGCTGAGGCAAGCAAATCACTCAAGGCCAAGAGTTAAAGATCAGCCTGGGTAACACAGGCTGTCTCTATTCAAGAACAAAACAATATGTATTAAAAGTTAAAAAAATACATATTTATAAGCCATAAATCCAACAAAGGACTTGTGCCCAGAATATAGAAAGATCTCTCAAAATTCTATAACAAGAAAACAACCCAATTTGAAAATGGGCACAAGAAGTGCCACCCATGGTGGCTGGCGCATGCCTGTGGTCCCACCTACTCGGGAGGCTGAGGCAGGAAGATCACTTGAGCCCAGGAGTTTGAGCCTGCAATGGGCCATTATCGTGCCACTGCACTCTAGCCTTGGCAACAGAGTGAGACCTTGTCTCTAAAAAATTAAAAAACCAAACATAATTTAAATGGAAAAAAAAAAAGAAAGTTAGGTGTGGTAATATAGATAAAACAGTAAAATAATAACTAATTCTAATCTTTAACTCATGTTTCTCCAAAAACCTTAAAGGGGAATCTACATCCAGGCGAGGCTCCCTGATTTGTCTTCTCCTCCCCAGTGGCCCTGCACCTGCCTGCTCCAGAATCATCCGGCCACCCCTTGGGCTGAACCACAGAGCCCAGCACCCAGTGGCACCACAGGGCCTGCCGCTGCCGCTCACCCCCTCTACAGTGTGTCTGGCGAACACCCCAAGGCCCACTTGTCTCAGAGCAACATGTCCTGCTTTGCTTTTTGAACATTTTATCATGAATAATTTGAAACATGCAAAAGTAGAAAGGTCGATACACTGAACCCCACACATCAAGCAATGGAGACTGAGTGAGAGGCTCCACGGAAACAGCAAGGTGCTGTGGTTAAAACACATTTGAGTGCTGGGTGTGCTGGCACACACCGGTAATCCTAGCACTTTTTCAGGCCGAGGTGGGAGGGTTGCTTGACCTCAAGAGTTCGAAAGCAACCTGGGCAACATAGTGTGATCTCGTCTCTACAAAAAATAAAAAATTAGCCAGGTGTGGTGGCATGAGCCTGTAGTCCCAGCTACTCAGGAGGCTGAGGTAGGATGATCGCTTCAGCACAGTTCAAGGCTGCAGTGAGCTGTGATCTCGCCAATGCACTCCAGTCTGGCTGGCAGAGCGAGACCCTGTCTCAAAAATAATAATAATTATTATTACATAGATATAAATATCTGAGTGTTAGATTCCATCCTATTCAAAATGGTTTTTCTTTTGGTTTTAGAAAACCTTAATAACGTTTTCTAATATTCAAAGAAACCTCCAACTCCCAAACTCTTGGGAACTGAAAGACTAAAACAGAGGCCTTGGCTCTCCAGTTCATGCCTAACGACCCGTGGAGCTGCCATGGAGACGCTGAGGTCAGAATCAGCTGAGCTGGTGGCGGCCCACCTGCTGGGGCCTGCAGAACAGGCATGTGTGCGGCTTCCTCACTGACGACCACGCACTTAGAGGCAACATCACAGCATGCAGTCACTGAGCTCAGATGTTTCCAGTTAAATTCACGTATCCCACTTGAGGCACAGTGGGCACCACAGTGATGGTCACGAGAACACAAGGAGGGCGGCGTGTCTGTTCTGAGCTGGCCTTGGTGGACAGACCAGCTTTGCCAACTTGAAGAACCAGACCCAGAGCTGCAGGGACTCAAGCACCGATGCGCTCAGCAGCCAGCGGGCTGCAGCTCAGGGTGACAGAGGGCTGTCTAGACCATCTGTGGGTTATTTCACCACGTTCTACCTTGCTCTCCTTCAAGAAATTGGCATTTGTACAGTAACTTCTTAAATAGAAAAGCCCCAAATAGGACAAACTCTCCATTTCCTGCTTCTGCGTTCTGAGTCCTGGGAGCTGCTGAGAGGACTGGCTCAATGCAGAGGCTCTGACTGAGAAACCAGAGGGAGCCAGGCACGCATGTGCCTGTAGTCTTGGGGGGCTGAGGCGGGAGGGTCTCCTGATCCCAGGAGTTCCAGGCTGCAGTGTGCTATGATCACACCTGAGAACAGCCACTGCACTCCAGCCTGGGCCACAGAAGCAAGACCCTGTCTCTATTAAACAAAAGACAGCAGAGGGCACCTCCGCACGCAGACTGCAGCCCACATATCCACCCTCTGCTGGGCCAGTGGCTCCTGATGCCAGTGCCTAACACAGGCCAGGGGCAGCGTGGGCCTAGGAGGCAGGCAAGGTGGCAGCCCCTTACCTCCTGCTCGGGGGGCAGCGCGCACTGCTGCACGATGTACTCGATCATCGCCTCACCTCCAGGCTGCTCCAGGTAGCCGTGGTGGGCCATGGCGCTAATCACCTGCACCACTGCCCGCTTCACCTGCCCAGAGAACAAATGGGAGATCAGGAAGGGGACGCAGAGACTGCCATGCCAGTCCAGCCAGCAGAGAGGAACCTCAGTCTTCCTCCCACCCACATCCACACATGTGCCCACAACTGCAGTTACACTGACACCTGTACCTGCACCCATACCTGGGCCTGCACCTGAATCCACACCTGTACCTGGACCTACCTCCACATCTGTACCTGGATCTACCTGCACCCACATCTGGGCCTGCACCTGTACCCACACCTGTACCTACCTGTATCCATACCTGGGCCTGTACCCACATACCTGGGCCTGGGCCTGTACCCACATACCTGTGCCAACGCCCACACCTATACCCACACCTATGCCTGCACCCACACTTGCACCTGTGCCTGCATCCATACCTGCATCTGTACCTACCTGCACCCACATCCACACCTATGCCTGCTCCCACACCTGTACCTGAACCTACCTTCCTCCACACCTGTGCCAGCACCAACACCCATACCTATAATTACCTGCATCCACACCTAAGCCTGCACTCACACCCATATCTATACCTACCTACCTGGGTCTGCACCCACACCTGTACCTGGATGTACCTGTACCTGCACCTGCACCTGCGCCTGTGTCTGCTTTTTTCTCTGTCCCTAAGCTGTGTGAAGGCCCCTTTGCCCCTGGAAGGCAGCCTTCCTGCCAGCTTGTGGATGTGCTCAGGTCCGTAGGGAAGGATTCTTCTCCTCCAGTTCCCTTTGCCTCCCTCCCCTGCTGCCAGAGGAGAGCATCTCACTTACTTTCCCTCCTCCATCCACTTCCATCAAGCTGCACCCCAACTCCAAGAGAGCTGCTCTGCTGAGGGCTCCACCCAAAGCCACCCTGCCCCCAACCCCCAGCCTCCTGGGCACTGGCAGCTGCCCTTCCCAGGCTCCAAATACACCCATCCCTCCGTCTGGGGCTCACCCTGGCCTCAGGGGGTGGGGCTGCTGTCTTTCTGAGCTAGCTTCTCTCGTGTGATCCCCATGTTTCCTGGGGTGTACCATAAATCTGGTCCCTGAATCTGCAGTTGTCACCCCAGCAATCCTAGGAGTTGAGCCTGCATGTCCAGCCTCGCCCAGTAACCATGCCTGGTGACTCGGAGGCACAGCCAGGCCAATGTGGCGCAACCAGCCCTTCCCCTGAGCCATGGCTTCTGCCCATGCTGCCCTCCCTGGGGATCCTTTTCTCCAGCATCGTGACCACGCCTCTGCCCCTTCAGCTCTCACGTCCAGCATCCCCACCCCGAGGAGGCTTCCCCAAGCACTTCCTCCTTGTGCTATCTCAGAGAACAGGGTGGGTGTGGAGGAGCGAGCCGGTTGGTCTCAGACTGCCCAGACTGTGTGCGTTTAGCCACCTGGCATTGCAGGTGGTGTCCAAAAGGACCAAAAGACCCTGTCAGGGGTACGGTGGGGAGAAGAGCTCTGAACGCTGGGGAGTGTGTGGAACACGTAAGGAGCACCGCAACAGATGTGGCATGGGGTCCGTTTCAGTACCTTCTGGGGAAACAACAAGAGTCTCACAGAAGGACCTCAAGAGGAGGCCCAGCACAAAGGCTGGAGCAGCCCCCGAGAAGGCTAAGGGTCTCTGTTCCCCCTGTAGCAAGCAGGTCCTACCCAAGACAGCAGCCCCTGGGTAACCTGGGTGCAAACCTGGGTGCAGTCCTAACTTTCGCAAAGATCCACCCGCCCAAAGCTAGGCCTGGCCTCTGCCCTGGGGTCCTGGGAGGTCATCACTAAGCCCCAAACATCTGGCCTGGTAAGAATGTTCTTGTCCACCTGGGGTCTTAGGCCACACCAGATGGTCTCATGTGACAGGTGGAGGCTACGGGCCACGTGGCATCAGCTCCACCTCCAGAGGGGCTGGAGATAGCTCAGCCACGAGGGCGCCAACCGGGTCCACATGACAGACCCCAAGGCAGGAGCTTCCCTGGTTGTGATGCTCTGTGACCCACATTGCTGCTGTGAAGAGGGGCGGGGGGTCTAACACTGTCCGCGACCCCAGGGGAGGATGGCTGGGAGCTCTGTGTGTGGGCCCTCCTGGATTCTGTCCCAGGCACCCCAACCATGGCTGATGTGGACCTGCATCCTTTTGCTGCAATCACCGCGAGCAGAGCAGCACTGTGAGTTCCAGGTCCTTCTAGAGAACAACTGAGCCTGAAGGAGGGGCTAGGGACCCGCGGGCCTATAACTGGTGCCAGTGTAGGGTGGCCTTGGGGACTGTTTCCTGAGTGAGATGTGGGAAAAGCACCAGCCACACACTGAATGGCACACTGTCATCCTTTGTTCCCAAGCTCAGTCCAGCCAAGGGTGGTGGCCGCCTGGTTGGTGGGTGATCTCACAGCACAGCCTGGCCACACCCTGCAGCTGCCTGTGGTGTGGTGGTGCAGCCTGGGCTGGCCCATGTGGTTTACCTTGCTGTTGGTGTCCAGGAGAGGAAGCCTCATGGAAGACAGGATAAAGGGCTTTTTATCTTCCATCTGAGCAGCTGCAAGAAACAAACAGGACAGCTCAGCCTACCACTGAGATGAGGACCTCAAGGTCCATTCCACATCACCAGGGGCCTGGCTTCCCCGTGGTCCCCGTGTAGGAGGAAGAGGGAGCATAAGGAAAGCATACCCACTTTTCTTCAGGGGACAAATGATTTACTTTCCTCAAATAACATCATTCTACCTAATCCAAAAGCTAAGTGGCTGGTAGTTTAGGGCGGTCGGTCGTAGAAGAATGGGCCTGAGTCAGGTACACGCAGGTTCCAACGCCGGGGAAGTTCCTTCAGTGGTACTCAAGCGCTACAGCATCAGAATCACTGAAGGCGGATTAAGCACTGGGGGCAGGGTCCTCTCCTGCTCCCCCTCCAGGCGCTGACTCAGCAGGTCTTGGGGGGCTCAGGTGTGCATTTCTCACACATTCCAAGGTGAGCTAATGCTGCTGGTCTGGGGACCCCCTTGAGAACCATCAACAGGGCCTTCATTTCTGGATATTTAAATGGGGATAAAAAGTGGATATCTAAGAGTGGCTGAGAGACTATAAAAATGAAGGACACTGGGGACAGTGCAAGTGCCCTCTGAGGTCCACTGCACAGGACAGGACTGCTGTCCCACACGACAGTCCTTGGAGAGAAGGGTCACGACAACCCAATGTCACAGATGAGGAACTGGAGGCCCCAGGGACTGCGGAGCAGCAAATGGCAGAGCTAGACACAGCCTCTTCATGCCTGGAACCCAGTGCCTTAAAGCTGCTCATACACCCCATACCCTGGCTCCTCAATGCAGGCACACCTGGGTAGAACACCTTGTCTCTCACTGTCGGTTTCGAGGCCAGCTGCAGCTCTCTATGCCAATGTTCCCCTAATTAATGCTCTGAGCTGGCATTTAGTGCTTCTTTGGGATCCCAATTGGTTCCTTCTCTGAGGGTTTGGTATACTCCCTTGTGGGAACTCCCCTGTCACGTCTGGGGCGACTCCAGCCCTGGGTTAGGAGGATGAAACAGACGTGTGCCATAGAAGCTCAGAAAAGACAGGTTCCAGATCTAACCATGAGACATACCACACTGCTTTTAGAAGATGCTGTAGAAGGATCTTCATAGCCTCAGAACTGGGAAGTATGGAAGGCAATAAGAAAAGATGTAAGGGGTTAGGTGTGGTGGCTCATGGCTGTAAACCCAGCACTTTGGGAGGCCAAGGTGGGCAGATCACTTGAGCCCAGGAGTTCAAGACCAGCCTGGACAACATGGCCAAACCCCTTCTGTACTAAAAAATACAAAAATTGGTCGGGCGCGGTGGCTCACGCCTGTAATCCCAGCACTCTGGGAGGCCGAGACGGGCGGATCACGAGGTCAGGAGATCGAGACCATCCTGGCTAACACAGTGAAACCTTGTCTCTACTAAAAATACAAAAAATTAGCCGGGCATGGTGGTGGATGCCTGTAGTCCCAGCTACTTGGGAGGCTGAGGCAGGAGAATGGCGTGAACCCGGGAGGCAGAGCTTGCAGTGAGCTGAGATCGCACCACTGCACTCCAGCCTGGGCGACAGAGCGAGACTCTGTCTCAAAAACAAACAACAACAACAACAAAAAAAAACACAAAAATTAGCTAAGGGTAGTAGTGCACACCTATAGTCCCAGCTACTTGGGAAGCCGAGGCACAAGAATCGCTTGAGCCCAGGAGGCGGAGGTTGCAGTGAGCTGAGATCACACCACCACACTCTAGCCTGAGCGACAGAGCAAGATCCTGTCAAAACAGGGGAGGGGAAGGGAGGAGGGGAGGGGAGGGGAGGAGGGGAGGTGAGGGGGGGAGGGGAGAGGGGAGGGGAGAGCAGAGGGGAGGGAAAAGGGGAAGCGAGAGGGGAGGGGAGGGAAGAGGGGAGGGGAGGGGGGACAGGAGGGGAGAGGGGAGGAGAGAGGGGAGGGGAGAGGGGACGGGAGGGGAGAGGAGGGGAGGATGGTAAAGGACCACTGAAGTTCAGTGAAGTTCAGAATTTCTGTTAATCAAAATAGTATGAATTGAGCTGGAAGGACAGCCACTGTGGTGGACACAGCAAAGGGTGCAGGGAATTCCAACAAGTTGATGAGAACAAGACTCATCAACAGAAAGACGAAAGATGTGAAAAAAAATCTCAAGGGCCAACACCCACGCAACGCCACTGGGCTTCCCCGCTGGCCAGAGAGACACAGGATGACGGCCTGACTGGAATAGGTGCAGGAGTCCGGTGCAAAACCTCATGGGAGTAAGGATGCTGGAACAGGTAGAATGCTTGGAGGCTGCTGGAGAAACTGGCATGGGGACTTTGGAAAACACCTCGGCATCATCTAAAAGGCAGAGGATACACACACCTGAGACCCAGCAAGTCCATCTCGGGTAATGTTCCTGCACCAGAGGAGCTCTGACATATGCAGGGCGGCCTGTTTATGACAGCAAACTGCCAAGAGCCCAAGCACACACCACACTAGGATAGGGGCTGACGGGGCGCTGGCTTCCAAGCCATGGGGCAAGACACAGCAATGGAATTGAGTAGACGGGCACTAACACAGCCACCCAGAAGGATCCTGGGCCACTAACGCAGCCACCCAGAGGGATCCTGGGCCACTAACGCAGCCACCCAGAGGGATCCTGGGCCGCTAACGCAGCCACCCAGAGGGATCCTGGGCTGCTAACGCAGCCACCCAGAGGGATCCCGGGCCTCTAACGCAGCCACCCGAGGGATACTGGGCCACTAACACAGCCACCCAGAGGGATCCTGACAATGCCCTACTGGATAAAGAGGTAGGGACTCACACAATAGCAGCAAAACTAAAACAATAAGGTCTGGTCTCACAAAAATTAGGCAGGTGTGGTCACGCACACTTGTCATCCCAGCTCCTCGGGAGGCTGAGGTGCAAGAATCGCTTGAAGCCGGGAGGCAGAGGCTGTAGTGAGCCGAGATCGTGCCACTGCACTCCAGCCTGGGTGACAGAGTGAGACCCTGTCTCAAAAGAAAAGAAAAGAAAAAACAACAACAACCAACAATAAGGTTTGGTCCCTGTGAGAGTCAGTGACTGCCGTGGAGGGGCTGATGGGCCATGTGTTCTGAGAACTTTCAGCCTGGATAGATTGAGCATTCCCTTATCTGAAATGATTGCGACCCGATGTGTTTCAGATTTTGGGGTCTTTCAGAGCTTGGAATATTTGCATATACATAATGAGAGTTCCTGGAAACGGAATCCAAGTCCAAACACAAAATTCATTTATGGTTCATATACACCGTACACATATAGCCTGGAGGTATTTCATACAGGATTTCTAAAATTTTGTGCACAAAGTTTGTGTACACTGAACTGTTAGAAAGCACAGGTGTCACCTTTTAGCACCCATGTGGACAATCTGTGGTTGTCTGCCACCCCTGTCACTCCTGACTAAATTTATATGCTACCAATAAGCAATCATTTTGTTTCGTTTTTTTAAGTGATGAGATCCCACTATGTTGCCCAGGCTGGTCTCCAACTCCTGGACTCAATCCTCCTACCTTGGCCTCCGAAAACGCAGGGATTACTGGCATGAGCCACCACACCCAGCTCAATAAGCAATCATTTCTTACACTTATTCACACATAAGAACTTAGCAATAGGCCAGGCGCGATGGCTCACATCTGTAATCCCAGCACTTTGGGAGGCCAAGGCGGATGGATCAGGAGGTCAGGAGTTTGAGACCAGCCTGACCAACATGGTGAAACCCCGTCTCTACTAAAGATACAAAAATTAGCCGGATGTGGTGGCAGGTGCCTGTAATCCCAGCTACTCGGGAAGCTGAGGCAGGAGAATCGCTTGAACCCAGGAGGTGGAAGTTGCAGCGAGCTGAGATCATGACACTGCACTCTAGCCTGGGCGACACAGCAAGACTCCATTTCAAAAAAAAAAAAAAAAAAAAAAAGCAGTAAAAAATATGACATACCATTAATACAATGAAGACATCATGTGTTCAGGGTAACCAAGTGAACAGTGGGACCACCAGAACACCTGGAGCAGCCATTAAACAGCTGCAGCAGCAATCAACAGCAGCTTCCAGTCTCCACTCACAAACAAGACTGTTGAGTACTGATGGCAAAGACACTGGACACTGTGTTTCTTCTTATTATTTTTTTGAGATGGAGTCTTGCTCTGTTGCCCAGGATGGAATGGAGTGGTGCGATCTCGGCTCACTGCAAGCTCCGCCTCCTGGGTTCACGCCATTCTCCTGCCTCAGCCTCCTGAGTAGCTGGAATTACAGGTGCCCGCCACCACGCCCGGCTAATTTTTTGTATTTTTAGTAGAGATGGGGTTTCACTGTGTTAACCAGGATGGTCTCGCTCTCCTGACCTCGTGATCTGCCCACCTCAGCCTCCAAAAGTGCTGGGATTACAGGCATGAGCCACTGAGCCAGGCTCTTTGTTTTTTTTGAGACAGGGTTTCACTCTTGCTGCCCAGGCTGGAGTGCAATGGTGCAATCTTGGCTCACTGCAACCTCCGCCTCCCAGGTTCAAGTGATTCTCCTGCCTCCCAAGTAGCTGTGATTACAGGCATGTGCCACCACGCCCGGCTAATTTTGTATTTTTAGTAGAGATGGGGGTTTCACCATGTTGGCCAGGCTGGTCTTGAACTCCTGACCGCAGGTGATCCGTGCCTCGGCCTCCCAAAGTGCTGGGATTACAGGCGTGAGCCACCGCACCCAGCCCGTGTTTCATTATTTTTCTTTTTTTTTTTTTTGCGACAGAGTCTCGCTCTATCACCCAGGCTGGAGTGCAATGGCACAATCTTGGCTCACTGCAAGCTCTGCCACCCAGGTTCACGCCATTCTCCTGCCTCAGCCTCCCGAGTAGCTGGGACTACAGGTGCCCGCCACCACGCCCGGCTAATTTTCATTGTATTTTTAGTAGAGATGGGGTTTCACCGTGTTAGCCAGGATGGTCTCGATCTCCTGACCTCGTGATCTGCCGGTCTCGGCCTCCCAAAGTGCTGGGATTACAGGCGTGAGCCACCATGCCCGGCCTGTGTTTCATTTTTTAGGTGAGAAGAAACCTCAGATGCAGCTGAGGGACCAGGAAGTGGTCCTCTAGGGAGGAGGGGCATTCTGCCAGATGCTTTTTAAAGTGATTCCTCCAGGGTCATCTGCCTCACTAACAATGGTTTTTGTCTTAGACATCACTCTGATTTTGTACACTGCCATGGTTTCTTGCTCTGTTACGTGTCCTGCTGCTCCAGCTCTTCAGTAAGCCCATCGCACACTCACCACGGTGTTTCTGTACATTTCCTATAGTGTTAAGGTCATCTTCATCATGATGTCAGTGTTCAAAAAGTTTCGAACTTTGGAACATTTGTGATTTCTAATTTTTAGATTACAGACAATCAACCTGTATTTGTATTTCCCAATAAAAGATTAAAAAGTTTGATGGTTGATAGTTGAGTGTCAACTTAATTAGAGTGAAGGATGCAAAGTATTGTTCCTGGATGTGTCTGTGAGGGTGTCACCAAAGGAGATTAACATTTGAGTCAGTGGACTGGGAAAGGCAGACCCATCCTCAATCTTGGTGGGCACCATCTAATCAGATGCCAGCATGGCCAGAATAAATGCGGGAAGAAGAATGTGGAAAGACTAGACTGGCTTAGCCTCCCAGCCTGCATCTTTCTCCCGTGCTGGATGCTTCCTGCCCTCCAACATCAGACTCCAGGTGCTTCAGCTGTGGGACTGGGACTGGCTTCCTTGCTCCTCAGCTTGCAGACCACCTATTGTGGGACCCTGTGATCGTGAAATTCCCCTTCATATACACATGTATCCTATTAGTTCTGTCCCTCTAGAGAACCCTAATACAAAAAGTTAAAGAATATAAACGAACAACCCAATAGAAAAATGGACATGAGCCATGAGCAGTTGCCTCCCAGAAGAGGAGACAAAGGGAACGAACAATGGCTGGGGTGGCCGCGGCCCCACACGAGAATGCAGAACACAAGCAAGCCAGGGTGTGGCTGAGGATTTGGGCCCATTCAGGCCCATGTCCCTGAGATTCAAGACAACAAACAAACTAAAAAGCACCAAGGAAAAACCAAAAGTTACGGTCACCGATAACATTTCACATGCACCGGGGTTTACCTGCAATATTTTATTCACTCCTCAAGTTTATGGGGAGGCCAACTCCCTGCTAGGCCCTTTATAAGGCAGATGGGGCTTGCCCTCAAGTAGCTTATGTCCTAATGGAAAAGACACAAAGACAACTGGACAGTAAATAAGATCACCACACACTGTGGCAGCATCAGGAGAGGTGCAGACGAGAGGCTGAGAAACATATTCATGGGGGTGCTGCACTGGAAGAAGGGGGTCAACACCAAGGGCTATTCTGAAAAGTGACCCTGAAGCTAAGACTCAAAGGAAGAGAGCTGGCTATGTGGGAGCCACAGAAAGATGATTCCAGGCTGGAAGAGCCTCCAACATCAGGCAGCCGAGTGTGGCCAAGGAGAGGTCCCTGGTGGGAGCTTGGCCCAGGTTGCTGGTGGGAGCAGAAAGGCCGTGGTGAGGAGCAGGGCTCTGTTCCAACTGCAGGGCACTGCAGGACCAACATCAGGATATTCTATGAAATTACTGTGTTTTAAAGAAAAAGAAGAACATCTTTTGGACATCAGAAAACAAAACCAAAACAAAGAAACAAAAAAAAACCCCATGGCATCTAAGAGGATAGAAAATTAGATTATCATCAGACTTCGATAACAATGCTTTATGCCAGAATAGGGTTGCCAGATAAAATATGAGATGCTCAGTTAAATTTGAATTTCAGATAAACAATAAATAATTTTTTTTTTGAGACGGAGTCTTGCTCTGCTGCCCAGGCTGGAGTGCAGTGTGTGATCTTGGCTCACTGCAACCTCTGCTTCCCAGGCTCAAGTGATCCTCCTGCCTCAGCCTCCTGAGTAGCTGGGATTATAGGCACACGCCACCACGCCCAGCTAATTTTTGTATTTTTAGCAGAAACGGGGTTTCACCATGTTACCCAGGCTGTTCTTGAACTCCTGACCTCAAATGATCTGCCTGCCTTGGCCTCCCAAAGTACTGGGATTACAGACGCGAACCACCGCTCCCAGCCCAGCAAATCATGTTTTCAGTACAAAAATGTCCCACACAATATTCGGGGCATCCTGTTTATTTGTTTTTGCTAAATCTGGCAACTCTCTGCCAGAAGAATATGGAATAACTTAAGACACTCAAGGAAATGTCAGCCAAGAATCCTGTAACCAGCAAAACCATCAACGATAAAAGGCACAATAAACTATGATCAGCAAGCATGAGGTCGAAGATCATGTTCCCATGAGCTCTTCCCACGGAACCTACAGAGAAAGAGCTTTGGACAACAAGAGTGGCAGAGAGCCATGAACAGAGGATGGGGCTGAGGGCCACATGGGCAGTCGCCCGCAGAACCAACACCAAGAAGGCAGAGAAGGGAGAGCACGGGATGTAACAGCCGTGGTGACTCAAGCAACAGACGCGGGCGCGGCCGTTAGATCAGCAGGCTGCGGAGCAGCACGTGCAGGGCAGTCCTCATGTTTCAGTCGTGTGACTGCTGATGGCAACATCAGTGTTATTCTGGTGTTAGTGCTGCCTGTGTAACGAGATCAAACAAATGGTAATTATGGGATAGTCCAATTCTATTAACCTTGAGAACTGGATTCCTGAGAACAGAGATAGAGACGTAACAGAAAAGAGGTTAGATGCGGTGGCTCATGCCTGTAATCCCAACACTTTGGGAGGCCGGGGCAGGTGGATCACTTGAGATCAGGAGCTCAAGATCAGTCTGGCCAACATGGTGAAACCCTATCTGTACTAAAAAATACAAAAATTAACTGGGTGTCGTGGCGCATGCCTGTAGTCCCAGCTAGTAGGGAGGCTGGGGCATGAGAATCGCTTGAACCTGGAAAACAGAGGTTACAGTAAGCCATGATCCCACCACTGCACTCCAGCCTGGGGAACAAAGCAAGACTGTCTCAAAAAAAAAAAAAAAAAAAAAAAAAAAAAGTAACAGAAGAGAGGTAAAAATCTCTGAGGTCCATATGTTGAACTGGAAGTATCAACATGAACTCATAAGGTATTTTATCTATCTACTGATAGAGATATTTCCTAGCTCTGTCTACTGAAAAGGCCCAGGAATAGTAACCATCCAGAAGTAATGAGCCCTCCAGAAACAGACTACTGTCTTAAAAGGTAACTTCTTGGCTAGGTGCAGTGACTCATACCTGTAATGCCAGTACTTTGGGAGGCCGAGGCAAGTGGATCACTTGAGCCCAGGAATCCAGGACCAGCCTGGGCAACATAGTGAGACCCCATCTCTACAAAAAATAGAAAAATTAGCCAGGTGTGGTGGTGTGCACCTGCAAGTCCCAGCTACTTAGGAGGCTGAGACAGGAGGATCCCTTAAGCCCAGGAGGTTAGGGTTGCAGTGAGCCGTGTTTGAGCCGCTACACTCCACCCTGGGCGACAGAGTGAGACTCCATCTCAAAAACAAACAAACAAACAAACAAAAAAACAACACAGCTTCTCACTAAAAGGAACCAGGGCTATTTTTGTAGAAATGGCCAATTCCAGGTCTAAAGCAAGAAACAGATGAAAGAAGCCTAAAACATGAGCTGCCAAAGACCAGCAGGGCCGTATCAGAGGGATTCAGATCTCAAGAGGCTGCCGCTTGCCAAAGATGAGACGATCTGAGCTTCGGTGATGGTGATGACTGCTCTGGATTGAAGCCATCAAATGCGTCCTTCCAAACCACCTCTGGAGGGTGATAGGAAACCAATCCACTACCTTGAAAACTGATAAATAAAAACACAAAAGAATCAAGGGCTGAACCTACCTTTCTTTTTCTTTTTTTTTTTTTTGAGATGGAATTTCACTCTTGTCGCACAGGCTGGAGTGCAGTGTCGCAATCTTGGCTCACTGCAGCCTCTGTCTCCTGGGTTTAAGCGATTCTCTGCCTCAGCCTCCTGGATTAGCTGGGATTACAGGCCCGCATCACCATGCCTGGCTAATTTTTGTATTTTTTAGTAGGGAGGGGGGTTTCACCATGTTGGTCAGGCTGGTCTTGAACTCCTGACCTCGTGATCCACCTGCCTCCGCCTCCCAAAGTGCTGGGATTACAGGCATGAGCCACTGTGCCCGGCCAACCCTGCCTTTCTTATATGAACCATACCCCTGGGTAAGCAAATGGTACCTGGGGCAAGTATCTCTTTGTCAAGGTGTTCCACTTAATGAAAAATAAATGATAGAATTATAGTATCATCCTCCCACCAATTAATTAATTAATGGATACAGGCATTCAGCATCAATGCTGCTAAGACTGACGTTCAAAGGAGAGAATACCACATATCACATGACTCCTATCGTCTTGCCCAAGGGACTGAGCTTGAGTCTGAATCTGTTTCTGAATCCAGCTGCCAATGTGCTAGAAATTCAGATGGCAGAGAAACATGTTGACTTGCACCTTGACAATGCAGTCAGCAAAACTCAACGATGAGCAAATCCACAGAATAAACAGCCAGGTTCTTCTACAGATAAATTATAAGAGAAAGAGAAGAACGGAGGGGAACCTGTAGCTTATGAGGGACTTAAATATGGGGAGTTGCTGTTTCACAGGCACGGAGTTTCAGTTTTGCAAGATGAAAAGAGTTGTGGAGGCAGATGGTGGTGACAGTTGCCTGACAATGAGAATGTACTTAACACTACTGAAGCATTTGCTTAAAAACGATTAAGATGCTAAATTTTATATTGCATGTATTTTACCACACTAAAAATAAACAAAATCACCAATGGTCAAGCCTCCAAAAAAAGACTTAAATCTATGTAAAAATATATTTATACATTATTATCTCTATATAAATTTGAATGTATATATATATAGAGAGATAGAGAGAGAGAGAGAGACAGAGTCTCCATCTGTCACCCAGGCTGGAGTGCAGTGGCACGATCTTGGCTCACTGCAACCTCTGCCACCTGGGCTCAAGCGATTCTCATGTCTTAGCCTCCTGAGTAGCTGGGACAGGTGTGCGCCACTATACCCAGCTAATTTTTGCATTTTTAGTAGAGATGGGGTTTCATCATGTTGCCCAGGCTGGTTTCGAACTCCTGGCCTCAAGTAATCTGCCTGCCTTGGCCTCCCAAAGTGCTGGGATTACAGGTGTGAGCCACCGCACAGGGCCTGTTTATGCAGTGGCGTAATCTCGGCTCACTGCAACCTCCCCCTCCCAGGTTCAAGCAATTCTCCTGCCTCAGCCTCCCAAGTAGCTGGGATTACAGGCACCTGCCACCACGCTGGCTAATTTTTGTATTTTTAGTAGAGACAGGGTTTCCCTGTATTGGCCAGGCTGGTCTCAAATTCCTGACCTCAAGTGATCCGCCCCTCTCAGGCTCCCAAAATGCTAGGATTACAGGTGTGAGCCACCGCACCCGGCCATAGGTAGGCTTTTAAAGTGGACACAGCTAATCATAAGGGAGTGATTACTATAAAAATCAGGATAGCTGTTACTTGTTGGGGAGTGAAGAACTGTGACTGGAATAGGATGCAAGGAGGGGCGTCTCGGTGGCAACTTCAGTCCAAAAGACCTGGTGGTAGATCTGATGTTGTTGTCTTAGAATGATATGTAATAAGTCACACATTTGTTTTATGTGGTTTCTACATTTCCTTCCCTTTTTTTTTTTTTTTTGAGACAGGGTCTCACTCTGTAGCCAAGGCTGAAATGCAGTGGCACCGTCACAGCTCACTGCAGCCTCGACCTCCTGGGCTCAGGTGATCCTCTCACCTCAGTCCCCAGAGTAGCTGGGACTACAGATGCATGCTACCACACCTGGCTTTTTTTATTTTTAGTAGAGACAGGGTTTCACCATGTTTTTCAGCCTAGTCTGAAGCTCCTAGGATAAAGCGATCTGCTTGCTACGGGATCCCAAAGTGCTAGGATTACAGGTGTGAGCCACTGTGCCCTTCCATGATTTCTTTTATACTAACGATTTTTCTTTTTTCTTTTTTTTTTTTTGAGACGGAGTCTCACTCTGTCGCCCAGGCTGGAGTGCAGTGGCACCATCTCAGCTCACTGCAAGCTCTGCCTCCTGGGTTCACACCATTCTCTGCCTCAGCCTCCCAAGTAGCTGGAACTACAGGCGCCCGCCACCACGCCCAGCTAATTTTTTGTATTTTTTGTAGAGACGGGGTTTCACTGTGTTAGCCAGGATGATCTCAATCTCCTAACCTCGTGATCCGCCTGCCTCAGCCTCCCAAAGTGCCGGGATTACAGGCGTTTGAGCCACCGTGCCCGGCCTATACTAACGATTTTTCAATGGGGATGAACAATCTTGAAGAAGAATAAAGTTGAAGGACATCCTCTACCAGATTTAAAGCCTTAGGATAAAACTAAAACAACTGAGAAACTGTGATATTGGCCTATAATCCCAGCACTTTGGGAGGCTGAGGCGGGCAGATCACTTGAGTCCAGGAGTTTGAGACCAGCCTGACTAACATGGCGAAACTCCGTCTCCACTAAACACACACACACACACACACACACACACACACACACACACACACACAAAATGGCCGAGTGCATTGGCTCATGCCTGTAATGCCAGCACTTTGGGAGGCTGAGGCAGGTGGATCACCTGAGATCAGGAGTTCAAGACCAGCCTGGCCAACACAGTGAAACCCTGTCTCTACTAAAAACACAAAAATTAGCCGGATGTGGTGGTGCATGCCTGTAATCCCAGCTACTCAGGAGCCTGAGGCAGGAGAATCGCTTGAACCCAAGAGACAGAGGCTGCAGTAAGCCAAGGTCGCGCCACTGTACTCCAGCCTGGGTGACACAGTGAGACTTTGTCTCAAAAAAGAAAAAAGAAAAAAAAAAGTGTGATATTGGTGTAAGGAAAGAATAGAGTCCTGAAATATACCCACTAACATATGATGCTATAAGTTGAATTGTGGCCTCAAAATTCGTATGTGCAAATCCCAACCCCTGTACCTCGGAATGTGACCTTATTTGGAAATAGTTACTGCAGAATTAATAAGTTGAGAGGGGGTCACACTGGAGTAGGGTGGGCCCTTCATCCAATATGGCTGGTACCCTTATAAAAGGGGGATATAGGGATACAGACAGGCACACAGGAAAAATGCACATGAAGATAAAACAGAGATCAGGGTAATAGAAAAAAAAAAAACCCCACCCACCAGTCGGTGGTACTTTGTTACTGCAGCTGTTACATTAATACATAAGGTTACCTGACCTTGTACCAAGGCACAGAAGCAATTCAATGGAGAAAGTAAAGTCTTTTCAACAAGTGAGACTGGAACAACTGGACATCCATATAAAAATAACCTTGCAGGCCGGGTGTGGTGGCTCACGCCTGTAATCCCAACATTTTGGGAGGCCGAGGCGGGCGGATCACCTGAGGTCAGGAGTTTGAGACCAGCCTGATCAACATGGCAAAATCCTGTCTCTACTAAAAATACAAAATTAGCCGGTGTGATGGCATGTGCCTGTAATCCCAGATACTCGGGAGGCTGAGGCAGGAGAATCACTTGAACCTGGGAGGTGGAGGCTTCAGCGAGCTGAGATCGCACCACTGCACTCCAGCCTGGGCAACAACAGCAAAACTCTGTCTCAAAAAAAAAAAAAAAAGTAATTAAAAAAAAACACACCTTGCCCCCTACATTTCACTCACACCCAAACATTAGTAAAAGATGAATCACAGACATAAATTTGCAAGCTCAAACAATAAAGCATCTAAAAGAAAATATAGAAGAATATCTTCATGACTTCTGAGCAGGCAAAGGTTTCTTAGACATAAAGGTACTAATCATAAAAACATATATTTATGTCTCTATGTATCCAATAAAGAACACTACAAAATAATCATAATAAAACGACAAACAACCCAGTTGTTAAATGAACAACAGCTGGGCATGGTAGTGCACTCCTGTAACCCAGGCTACTCTGGAGGCTGGGGCAGAAGGATCGCTTGAGCCCAGGAGGCCGAGGATGTGGTAAGCTATGATCACAGAACTGCACTCTAGCCTGGGTAACGTAGTGAGACCCTCTCTCTATAAATCAATCAAAATGGGCAAAAGACCTGAACAGGGGTCGGGCGTGGTGGCTCACGCCTGTAAATCCCAGCACTTTGGGAGGCCAAGGTGGGTAGATCACGAGGTCAGAAGATCAAGACCATCCTGGCCAACATGGTGAAACCCTGTCTCTACTAAAAATACAAAAATTAGCTGGGCATGGTGGTGAGCGCCTGTAGTCCTAGCTACTTGGGAGGCTGAGGCAGGAGAATTGCTTGAACCCAGGAGGCGGAGGTTGCAGTGAGCCAAGATCGCACCACTGCACTCCGGCTTGGTGACAGAGCACGACTCCATCTCAAAAAAACAACAACTGGCCCCCCACCCCCCAAAAAAAAGACTTGAAAAGGAACTTCAACATATATACGCAAATATATCTGAAGGTCAATAAGCATATGAAAAGGTGCTTCATCAATTTACTCACCAGGGAACTTCCATTTTTTTTTTTAAATTTCTTTTCTCTCTCTTTTAATTGAGACAGAATCTCGCTCTGTCGCCCAGGCTGGAGCGCAGTGATGCAATCTTGGCTCACTGCAACCTCTGCCGCCCGGGTTCAAGCAATTCTCCTGCCTCAGCCTCCAGAGTAGCTGGAACTACAGGCGTGTGCCACCACACCTGGCATTTTTTTGTATTTTTAGTAGAGAGAGGGTTTCACCATGTTGGCCAGGCTAGTCTCAAACTCCTGACCTCAGGTGATCCACCTGCCTCGGCCTCGCAAAGTTCTGGGATTACAGGCGTGAGCCACCGTGTCTGGCAAAGAGGACAATTTAAAATGAGAAAAAAGGCCAGGCACGGTGGCTCATGCCTATAATCCCAGCACTTTGGGAGACCGAGGCGGGTGGATCACCTGAGGTCCAGGAGTTCGAGACCAGCCTGGCCAACATGGCGAAACCCCATCTCTATTAAAAATACAAAAATTAGCCGGGTGTGGTGGTGTTCGCCTGTAATCCCAGCTACTCAGGAAGCTGAGGCAGGAGAATCGCTTGAACCCGGGAGGTGGAGGTTGCAGTGAGCCGAGATCGTGCCACTACCTTCCAGCCTGGGCAACAAGAGCGAAACTATGTCTCAAAAAAAAAAAAAAGAACATGAACAACCCAAGTGTCTGTTAACAGGAAAACAAATAACTTTTAAATTCAGAAAATGTAACAGAATACAACTTAGCAGTAAAGAAGAGTGCACTGACAGCAGCACCGTGCTCAGTGAATGCCTACGCTCACGAAGGGTCCTCCTACAACTAGCCCATCTACATGGAACTCAACAGCAGGCAGAATTAATTATGGTGACAGAAGTCATAACGGTGGGCCGGGTACACTCCTGCAGTCCCAGCCACTCAGGAGGCCGAGGCAGGAAGATCCCTTGAACCCGTGAGGTCAAGGCTGCAGTGAGCTGTGATCGTGCCACCGCACTCCAGCCTGGGCGACAGAGCACAAGCCTGCGCTGTGACCTCATAAAAGAGGTCACTTCTTAACAGTAGGTGTAGGTGTTAGCTGAAAATAAATACAAGCAAAACTTTTTGGGTTTTAGAAAAATGTTCCACATTTTGATTTGAGTGGTAGTCATATGGGTGAACAATGTGTAAAATGTCACCAAGTATACAGTTAAGATTTATGCATTTTACTGCATTTCTATTGAAGATTATGTTCAATTTTAGAAAATAAAATTCTGGAAGAAAATATGACTGGAGGCCAAAAGCCTTTCAAAAATTTGATTTATAAAAGTATCTAAGATAGGCAACAATGACACAACACACATGTAACAGGGAATCCCAGAGAAGGCTTCCGAAGTCATGGGGTACTGAAATGCTATGACTGAAAAACAAGGTCTCTTGAGATAAAACAGAATTGACGCAAATGCTGAATGCGCACTCTATGGACCTGGGGGGGAAATCAACTCAGAATAGCCAACACTGAGACACAGTAAAATTTCCGGTTTTAAGATATAAAACAGCCTGTAATCCTGGCATGCATGCGTGTGTGTGTGTGTGTGTGTCTATATATATGCAAAGGATTTATATATATATAAAAATCCTTTGGGCATCTAGGCAGAAAAGACCAAATCATATATAAGGAAAATCCCAGTCAAATCAGATAGTCATCAATGAGTTATCAATAGCAGTAACAGATTCTAGAAGACAAGAAAGCAACATATTAAGATACCTCAGACTTTTATACCCAGCCACTTAAACTGAGATGGCCTGGTGTCTAACACAAGAAACAGCTCTCTGGACCATGGACTGAAAGAATGACATGCAGGGACCAACCACGGCCTCAACTTGCAATCATGTTCCAATATTTTCATTGAAAACTTGATGACTTCTGGCTGGGTGCAATGGCTCACGCCTGTAATCCCAGTACTTTGGGAGGCCAAGGTGGGAGGATTGCTTGAGCCCAGGAGTTGGAGACCAGCCTGGGCAACAAAGCAGGACCTCATAACATACCCACAAAAATGGCTAAAATTAAAGACCAACCAATGTTGGTGAGGACATGAAGCAATAATGCTCATAAGCCACTTGTGAGACATAAGGTGTGGGGTATAAATTGGGGTATAAACAGCTACTTTGGAAAAACAGAAGGGTTTATCTATGCAACTTGAACACATACATACTTTATAACCCAAAATTCTACATCTAGGTAAACACTAACTGTGTAAAGGACAAATGTTAATAGTGGCTTATGCATTAACAGTTAAATACTGGATATAGCCATTTACCCATCACAGGCAAAATGAATCACTGTAGTAGATAATTCACTGGAATCCTTCACGGGAGTGAAAATAAATAAGCTGTACTATATGTATAAATTTCACCAAGAGAATACTGAGGAAAAGAAGCCAGATACAAAATTATTTACACCATACAATTCTCTTTGTACAACATCCTGAAACAGCAACACTATCTTCTATTGTTAGAAGTCACCCCTTCTGAGGGACTTGAGAGTGCCACCCCTGGGTGTTGTCAATGTCCCATTTCTTCACCTGGTTGGTGAATAAATACATAGGCTTACTGTGTGATTATTCATGAAGCTGAACAGTTAACGTGTACATTTTTCTGTATGTGTATTATACTTCAAATAAAAACAATTAAAAATGACATAGACGGCATAGATGCCCATCTCACTTCTGTAATCCCAGCACTTTGGGAGGCCAAGGAAAGAGGATCACTTGAACCCAGGAGTTTGAGACCAGCCTGGGCAACATAAGTAGACCCCATTTCTACAAAAATACAAAAAAACTGGCAGAGTGTGGTGGTGCACACCCGCAGTCCCAGCTGCTTGGGAGGCTGAGGTGGGAGAATTGCTTGAGCACAGGAGCTCAAGGCTACAGTAAGCTATGACTGCACCACTGCATTCCAACCTGGGTGAAAGAACGAGACCCTGTCTCAAAACAAAACAAAAAATGACACAGATGTATATGTGCTGATGTTAAAAGTTCTCTAAGATATACTAGCAAGTGAAAAAAGCATGTTTTGAAGTATGTCATTTGGTTAAAATATTTCCTTGCGTACATGCATTTGTACATACGTAAATGCACAGAGAAAGAACTTCAAGGAAAATGAAATATGGGGAAAACAAAGTGAACGCTGAAAAGCATAAATGTGATTGATGAATTAACAAAGGGAAGTTGAGCATGGTTAATCCCATGAAATGTTGAACTTCTGAATGGAAAAACCCATCTCTAACAAGAGCATGGGCACTAAGAATTCCACTTCAGATGCCAACCTCATCAGGTAAATGGGGAGAAGAGCACCTGCCTCAAGGGTTACTTCTACCACCAGAGGCTGAGTGCATGCTGCTGACGCAGATGCTTTACTTTCTGTGGGGCTGCCACACGCCCCATGCCTCTGAGGCTCCCTTCCCCAAGGACCACTGACCAGAGCAGCCCCTCTGTGTGGAAGCTGCAGGCGCTCTCCTCTCAGGCCCTCCACAGAGAGCCTGCGCTTCTCTCTCTTCCCCTCCAGAGAGCGGGCGCTCCTCTCCGGGCCACTCCACAGAGAGCAGGCACTCCCCTCCCAACCCCTCAACAGATAGCCTGCGCTTCCCTCCCTTCCCCTCCAGAGGGGGCGCTCCCCTCCCAACCCCTCCACAGAGAGCTGACGCTCCTCTCCAGGACCCTCTACAGAGTACTCCACACAGAGCGAGCGCTCCCCTCCCCGCCCCTCCACAGAGAGCCGGCGCTCCCCTCCCAGCCCCTCCACAGAGAGCCCGCGCTTCCTTCCCAGCCCCTCCACAGACAGCGGGCGCTCCCCCCCCCCGCCCCTCCACAGACAGCGGGCGCTCCCCCCCCCGCCCCTCCACAGACAGCGGGCGCTCCCCCCCCCGCCCCTCCACAGACAGCGGGCGCTCCCCCCCCCCCGCCCCTCCACAGACAGCGGGCGCTCCCCTCCCCCGCCCCTCCACAGACAGCGGGCGCTCCCCCCCCCCGCCCCCCCTCCACAGACAGCGGGCGCTCCCCCCCCCGCCCCTCCACAGACAGCGGGCGCTCCCCCCCCCGCCCCTCCACAGACAGCGGGCGCTCCCCCCCCCCGCCCCTCCACAGACAGCGGGCGCTCCCCTCCCCGCCCCTCTACAGAGAGCGGGCGCTCCTCTCCCAGCCCCTCCACAGAGAGCCCGCGCTTCCTTCCCTGCCCCTCCACAGACATTGGGCGCTCCCCCCCCCGCCCCTCCACAGAGAGCGGGTGCCCCCCCCCGCCCCTCCACAGAGAGCCTGCGCTTCCCTCCCAGCCCCTCCACAGACAGCGGGTGCTCCTCTCCCAACCCCTCCGCAGATGGCGGGCGCTCCTCTCCAGGCTCCTCCACAGAAAGGACGCTCCCCTCCCAACCCCTCCACAGAGAGCGGGTGCTCCCCCTCCCCGCCTCTCCACAGAGAGCCTGCGCTCCCCTCCCCACCCCTCCACAGAGAGCCTGCGCTTCCCTCCTTTCCCCCCCACAGAGGGGGCGCTTCCCTCCCTGCCCCTCCATACAGAGCGGGGCGCTGCCCTCCCAACCCCTCCACAGAGAGCCCGTTCTCCCTTCCCTTCCTCTCCACAGAGAGCCTGCGCTTCCCTCTCTTCCCCTCCACAGAGGGGGCGCTTCCCTCCCAACCCCTCCACACAGAGCTGGTGCTCCCTTCCTTTCCCCTCCACAGAGAGCCTGCGCTTCCCTCCTTTCCCCTCCACAGAGGGGACACTTCCCTCCCTGCCCCTCCACACAGAGCGGGTCGCTGCCTTCCCAACCCCTCCACAGAGAGCGGGCTCTCCCCTCCCCGCCCCTCCACAGACAGCAGGCTCTCCCCCCGCCAGCCTCCAGACAGCCCACCACAGCACCACCCTGGGCTCTGAAATCTGGGCACGCCCAAAGCAGCAGGACTTCAGGCTGCTTCTGCTGGGGCAAGGGCCGCTGAAGGTGTCCTGAGGTGCCTACACCTGACTCTTAACCTGGTGACTTTCGCACTGTGGCCCCGTCTGCCCCGTCCTCCCTTGGCCCTGCTGCTTTCTCTTTTTTTTTTTTTTTTTGGAGACGGAGTCTCACTCTGTTGTCCAGGCTTGAGTGCGGTTTAGCCATCTCAGCTCACTGCAACCTCAGCCTTCTGAGTTTAAGCAATTCTGCCTCAGCCTCCCAAGTAGCTTGGATTACAGGCGCCCGCCACCACGCCAGGCTAATTTTTTTTAATATATATTTTTAGTAGAGACGGGGTTTCACCATGTTGGCCAGCCTGGTCTTGAACTCCTGACTTCAAGTGATCTGCCCGCCATGGCCTCCCAAAGTGCTGGGATTACAGGCGTGAGCCACTGCCCGGCCGGCCCTGCTGCTTTGTCACGCTGCTTCTATATGTCCCAGAACTCTATGTGACTCTCTGGGTGGCTGCTCTTTGCAACCCAGCAGCTGACTGGTAGTGAACCTCAGTACAGGGGGCAGTGCGCCGCTTCTGAAAGGGCAGACAGAAAATATTTTAGGCTTTGTGGGTCACATGTGGTCCCTTTGTTTGCTTTTATAACCCATTAAAGATGTAACAACCTCCCTAGCTCATAGGATGAGCATGGGCAGGCTGCAGGGCCGGTGGGCCATGGCCACTGTGCACTGACCTGCGGAAGAGCCACGCTGGAAACCACAAGCTCACTTGTGAAAAATGGTATGTTTTCAGGCTTATCACTAATCACTTCAATTAGCCTTAAGGATGGGTGCGGTGGCTCACGCCTGTAATCCCAGCACTTTGGAAGGCCGAGGTGGGTGGATCAGGAGGTCAGGAGATTGAGACCATCCTGGCCGACATGGTGAAACCCTGTCTCTACTAAAAAAAAATACAAAAGTTAGCTGGGCCTGGTGGCGCGCCCCTGTAGTTCCAGCTACTCGGGAGGCTGAGGCTGGAGAATGGTGTGAACCCGGGAGGTGGAGGTTGCAGGGAGCCGAGATTGCGCCACTGCACTCCAGCCTGGCGACAGAGCAAGACCACTAAAAAAAAAAAAAATTAGCCTTAAAACAAGGAAACGTGAATTTTTTTAGTCTAATTGCGAAGAAACCGTCACACATATGTAAATTGAGGGACATTCTACGAAACAATTGGTCTCCTCATCTCTTAAAAAGAGTAAAAAGGCTCCTCTTGGGCAAACAAGTCTAAGAGACAACCAAACTAAACCAAAGTGTGTCTTTGAATAGATCCCAGAATGAGCTAGAGCAGTGGGCTCAGGGATGGCTGTCTTAGGCTCTGGGAACCCTCAGAGGCATGGTCACCTGGGGAGTGTGGCCACGCATGGTGTCTGCAGCCAGCTGTCAAAGCAAGTGTGAGCCACCATCATATGGCGAAGGGTAGAAAGGTACCACCCTTGCAACTTTTCAAAAAGTTTAGAATTTTGCAAAATAGTAAGTAGGGAAATCTTTCTAGAGAATTCAAAGCAGGATGGTGCTTTCACTTAGAGGGACACAATCTGCCAGGACCTGCTCCATCCTGGACATGGCCAGGGGTGGCGGCCAGGCTAGCATGGAGGCACTCACCAGCTGAGTTGATGACATGTCTGACCACCTGCAGGGTGCCCACGCGGGTCCTCTCATTGCTGGTGTCCAGCCTGGGCAGCAGGAAGGCCAGTAGGCGGTCAGGCGAGCTGCAGGCTACAGGGCAACGGGTACAGATTAGGCTCCATGTCATCTTGTTCATCCCTATACACAGCGTCCACCTACTCTCCAGCACAGGGGAGGAGCCAGAGGAGAGTTGCTGTGTGAAGGTGAGAAGCTGGGGTCACCTAATCGCTGGGCCTGGCTCCGATGCCCCTGTCTAAGGCAGGGTTGGAGCACATGTAGCCCTTATCCCACGGCGCCAGCACCACCCGAGCATGCCGGGACTTAGATCTTGGCCAACCCAGCACACCGGTGCTTGTTTCAGCATCTCCAGCTCACAAGGGGGCCCACAAGAGGGCCATCAGTAGCCCCTCTTGACTCTCTTGGCTCTAGGCCAGTCTAAGGCTCAAGGGGACTCGAGCTGTCAAGCACACAGACCCCCAGCCCAAGCAGGGCTAATGCAGCCCAAGCTCCAGGAGCCCTCTGGCAACGACTGCAGCAGTTCCCTTACCAGTACTTCACGGACCAGAGCCATCCCCATTCCAGGTGGGCTCTGGAGGCCTGCTCTGCCTGGGTATCAGACCTGTGATCCATCTGCCCACCACAACCCTGCCCCCAGCCTGGCTGCAGTCAGTCTCCCCACACCCCTCCTGCGGATCTTGTGTAAGGGTAGATGCTCATGTAGGTGGGGGGCCTGAGGCCCCGCCTGCCTGACCAGCTCCAGGGAGATGTTGATGCTGTGGCCCCAGCAGGGTGACAGCCCCAAGTGCAAGCAGGACCCCTCCTCACACCATCTGCTGCCCCTCCAGGATGGCTATGAGGGCCTGTGCAGGGCATAGGGACAGCATCCAGTGGGGGTGGTGACAGGATGCATGGCACCTCCAGGTGGGTCATGGGAGGCTGGCAGGTGACCAGGGCTAGCAGCCACAGGCCCCCTGGGGGAGCAGAGAGCAGGCCATGGAGCCAGAGATTGGGTGTGGAGAAACAGGTAGGCGGGGGGCAGGTAGGGAATGTGCAGACTGGACGGTGAGTGGAGGCCCCCAAGGATTTGGGCAGGTCAGCAGCACGCTCCTCGGAGGTGAACAACGTTCCAGGCTGCAGCCACTGCCCAGGCCCTGGTTCAGAGGCCTCTGGAGCCACAGGTAGGCCCAGGAGAGGTGGAAACAGGGGCCTCCTCATCCCCGACCAGTACCCCAGCCACCACCATCCTCCACATACAGCAGGCAGTGACCCTGTGAGTGTCCACAGATGCCCATGGGCAAAGCTGGGCCCACCACTCACCCAGCACAGTGAAGCAGCGCAGCACCTCCTTCTGGTTACTCATCACCAGGGGGCTTGAGGACTCCACAGGCACACAGATCTGCTCCAGGAACGGGGCCGAGGTTATAGACCAGAGAGGCCAGAAGGAAGGATTCCCGCCCTCTGACAATTCTGGGCCTGGGCAGCTGGGCAGAAGGCTCTGGGTTTCCACCCCATGCCTACAGCATGCAGCGGGCGCTCCAGGCTCTTTCTCACCCAAGCCCTGGATGCAGGACAGTCTCATCCCCTGTAATCAGAGGCCCTCCAGGGACCAGCCCCATCTCCTTACGGTGGGGGAGAGGAGGGAGACAGGCAGCAACAGGCAGACACACAGCTACTGTCAAGTCTCCAGGGACACATCCTGCTCCTGCCACCTTCCACCTCTCCTACCAGCAGCAGGAAAAGAGATTCCCAAGAAATATTTCTTGACTAAAGAGGAGAGTCTCCCATGCCCCAGGCATGAGGCCCAGGACCCAGGCTGGAAAGCATGAATCTCTAGGACACATAAAGTACTGGAACCCAAAACTTCTGGAGTCCACTTGTTCAAAGTTATAAGGAAAAAAAAAGTCTTATTGGTAAAAAGCAAAAACTAAGGCTGTTGGCTGGGCATGGTGGTGCATGCCTGTGGTCCCAGCTACTCAGGAGGCTGAAGTGAGAGGACTGCCTGAGCCCGGGAGGTTGAGGCTACAGTGAGCTGTAATGGTGCCACCGCACTCCAGCCTGAGTACAGAGCAAGACCCTGTCTCAAACAAATGAACAAACAACAATAAAAAACTAAGGATGCTGGCAGATGCATCTCTGGGCTCCATGGTACCTTAGTGGGTGATACAGAAGCACACCCCCACTAATTCAGGTGTGACATCCTAGGTCCCCACTCGCAGGTGTCACAGCAAAGGGCACTGACAGGGTCTCTCTGCACAAAGAGCTCCAAAGCAATTCTTCAGCAGAGCCCTCTTATGAGCCAGAAGAGGTAACCACAGCAAAGGCCCCAGGCCCACAGGGCCACACCCCAACCTGGGTTCCTAGAGAACTGTCAGAAATCACTGCGAGGTGGAGGAGCTGGCCCCAGGGCTCGGCTCTACGTTCCCAGGTAGCTCCTTGTTATTTATTTTTCTTTCTTTTTTTTTTTTTTTTTGAAACAGTTTTGCTCTTGTTGCCCAGGCTGGAGTGCAATGGCGTGACCTTGGCTCACTGCAACCTCCGCCTCCCGGGTTCAAGCAATTCTCAGCCTCAGGTGTGTGCCACCACACCTGGCTAATTTTTGTATTTTTAATAGAGACAGGGTTTCTCCATGTTGGTCTGGATGGTCTCTAACTCCTGACCTCAGGTGATCCGCCCGCCTCGGCCTCCCAAAGTGCTGGGATTACAGGCGTGAGTCACCGCCCCCGGTGTGCTCCTTGTTATTTCTACTGTAAAGACCAAATATGATCATAAAAGATGCTGCAGTTGGCTGGGTGCAGTGGCTCACGCCTGTAATCCCAGCACTTTGGGAGGCCGAGGTGGGCGGATCCCAAGGTCAAGAGATGGAGACCGTCCTGGCTAACACGGTGAAACCCCATCTCTAGTAAAAATACAAAAAATTAGCCAGGCGTGGTTGCAGGCGCCTGTAGTCCCAGCTACTCGGGAGGCTGAGGCAGGAGAATGGCGTGAACCGGGGAGGCAGAGCTTGCAGTGAGCCAAGATCGCGCCACTGCACTCCAGCCTGGGTGACAGAGCAAGATTCCGTCTCAAAAAAAAAAAAAAAAAAAAAAAAAAAAAAAAAAAAGATGCTGCAGCTTCCTGCCCACTCTTTCAGATCACTCACCCTGCAGGAAGCTAGCCACCATGTTGTGGGGACACTCAAGCGGCCTTATGGAGAGATCAATGTGGTGAGGAACTGGGGCCTCCAGCCAACAGCCACATGAATGAACAGCCTTGGAAGCAGATCCTCCAACCCCAGTAGAGCCTTCAGATGGCACGGCCCAGGCAGACCGCATGAATGGGTGTAAACTAACAAGGGACCCTGAGTTGGAGCGACCCCCTGAGCTGCTCTCACCTTCTGGACCCACTGTGAGATAACAGATGTTGTTGTTGTTGTTGTTGTTTTTTGAGACAGAGTCTTGCTCTGTTTCCCAGGCTGGAGTGCAATGGCGCGATCTCGGCTCACTGCAACCTCCGCCTCCTGGGTTCAAGTGATTCTCCTGCCTCAGCCTCCTGAGTAAGCTGGGATTACAAGTGTGTGCCACCACGCCTGGCTAATATTTGTATTTTTGGTAGAGACAGGGTTTCACCATGTTGGTCAGGCTGGTCTTGAACTCCTGACCTCGTGGTCCACCGCCTCGGTCTCCCAAAGTGCTGGGATTACAGGCATGAGCCACCGCACCGGCCTAGATGTTGTTGTTTTAAGGTGGTAAGTTTTGTGGTAATTGGTTACACAGCAATATATAACTAATGCAAATGAGTATTCATCTGGAAAAAAGATACAGTTGGATTCTCATTCCTTCCCTAAAATAAATCCCAGACAGATTAAATAATAAAAGCATAGGGGGCTGGGCACAGAGGCTCATGCCTGTAATCCCAGCACTTTGGGAGGCCAAGGTGGGTAGATCACTTGAGGTCAGGAGTTCAAGACCAGCCTGGCCAAAATAGTGAAACCCTGTCTCTATTAAAAATACAAAAATTAGCTGGGCATCATAGCATGCGCCTGTAATCCCAGCTACTCGGGAGGCTGAGGCAGGAGAATGACTTGAACCTGGGAGGCAGAGGTTGCAGTGAGTCAAGATCGCACCACTGCACTCCAGCCTGGGCAACAGAGTGAAAGACTCTGTCTCAATAATAATAATAATAACAAAAGCGTAGGGGAAATTGGGAGAACTGAGAAAACAAAAATTACTGAATTTTTTTTTTTTTTTTGGAGACGGAATCTCACTCTGTCACCCGGGCTGGAATGAGGTGGCGCAATCTCGGCTCAATGCAACCTCCGCCTCCCGGGTTCAAGCAATTCTCCTGCCTCAGCCTCCCGAGTAGTTGGGATTACAGGCACCCGCCACCACGCCCAGCTAATTTTTTGTATTTTCAGTAGAGACAGGGTTTCACTATGTTGGCCAGGCTGGTCTCAAACTCCTGACCTCGTGATTTGCCCGCCTCGGCCTCCCAAAGTGCTGGGATTACAGGCGTGAGCCACTGTGCCCGGCCACTAATCACTGAATTTGAAAGGGTTTTCTATGCATAACAAAACCTGAACTATAACATAAAAGATGGATAAATGATAATGTAAAAATTAAACAACTTTGTATGGCCAAAAAATATCATAAACAGAGTTAAAAGATAAAGGACAAAGTAGCATGATTTGTGGTCCCAGCTACTGGGGTTTGGGGAGGGGATGAGGCAGGAGGATCGCTTGAGCCTGGGAGGCCGAGGCTGCAGTGAGCTGTTACTGCCACTGCACTCCAGCCTGTGTGACAAAGCGAGACCCTGTCTCAAGAATGAATTAATGACTCAATGACAAAGTAGGAACAAATATTTTTACATATATAATACAAGGTTATAAATAACTGCTATAGGCCAGGTGCAGTGGCTCACATCTGTAATCTCAATACTTTGGGAGGCTGAGACAAGAGGATCACCTGAAGCCAGGAGTTGGAGACCAGCCTGGGCAACAGAGTGAGACTCTGTTTCTTTTTTTTTTTTTTTTTTTTTTTTGAGACAGAGTCTCACTCTGTTGCCCAGGCTGGAGTGCAGTGGCGTGATCTCAGCTCACTGCAAGCTCTCCCTCCAGGGTTCATGCCATTCTCCTGCCTCAGCCTCCCGAGTAGCTGGGACTACAGGCACCCACTATCATGCCCAGCTAATTTTTTTGCATTTTTAGTAAAGACAGGGTTTCACCGTGTTATCGAGGATGGTCTCGATCTCCTGACCTCGTGATCTGCCTGCCTTGGCCTCCCAAAGTGCTGGGATTACAGGCATGAGCCATGGCACTCGGCCTTTTTTTTTTTTTTTTTTTTTTTTAAAGACACAGTCTCGCACTGTCACCCAGGCTGGAATGCACTGGCGTGATCACAGCTCACTGCAGCCTCAACCTCCTGGGCTCAAGCGATCCTCCCACCTCAGCCTCTCAAGTAGCTGGAACCACAGGCATGCGCCATGACACCTGGCTGTTAATAAGTTTCTGTTGCTATTGTAGATAGTGTTTTCATATACTTTCTAGCTGGTCAGTGCTGGTGTAGAAAAATGTTCTTGGCTTTTGTAGGTTGGTCTTGTAACTGGCAAATTTGCAGAACTTTTTTTTTCTTTTTCGAGACAAGGTCTTGCTCTGTCACCCAGGCTGGAGTACAGTGGCATGATCATGGCTCACTGCAGCCTCAACTTCCTGGGCTCCAGTGATCCTCCAACCTCAGCCTCCTGAATAGCTGGGATTACAGATCTGTGCCACTGTACTCAGCTACATTTTTTCTGTAGAGATGGGGTCTCCCTATGTTGCCCAGGTTGGTCTCGAATTCCTGGGCTCAAGCAGTTCTTCCTCCTCAGCCTCCCAAAGTGCTGGGATTACAGATGTGAGCCACCACGCCTTGCAGGAACTTCTGATTAGTCCTAATAGCTTGGCCAGAAAGGTGGACAGGTGATGAATAATGACCATCTTCCCTTCCCTCCTGGTTCTTTTGTTTCCCTATAGAACCAGCAGAGGACCCGATCCGCATTGAGAGGCAGGTCCTTCCTGTTATTGACCTTACAGGGAATTGCCTAACACTTCCCATCAGTTATGATGCAGACTGAGGGTTCGGGTATCCATACTTTGTTAACTTAGGGAAGTTCCTTTCCAATCTTAGTTGTTAAGAATTTTAGGCCAGGCACAGTGGCTCACGCCTGTAATCCCAATACTTTGGGAGGCTGAAGCAGGGGGATCACTTGAGGTCAGGAGTTCGTGACCAGCCTGGCCAACATGGTGAAACCCCATCTCTATTAAAAATACAAAAATTAGCCAGGCGTGGTGGTGCGTGCCTGTAACCACAGCTACTTGGGAGGCTGAGGCAAGAGAATTGCTTAAACCCAGGAGGCGGAGGTTGCAGTGAGCCAAGATCGCACCATTGCACTCCAGCCTGGGCAACAAGAGCGAAACTCCATCTCAGGGGAAAAGAAAAAATCATCAAAAGTTTTTTCTGCATTGATTGAACTCAGACACTATTTTTCTTTAGTCTATTACTGTGATGAAGTGCACTGACAGCTCCTGCATGCTGGATAGGCCTTGCGATGTGAGCTAAGCCCTCCCGCATAAGGTGTTTTGAAAAGCACGGTCTTGGCTGGGCTCCGTGGCTCATGCCTGTAATCCCAACACTTTGGGAGGCCGAGGCAGGTGGATCACTTGAGGTCAGGAGTTCGAGATCAGCCTGGCCAACATGGTGAAACCCCATCTCTACTAAAAATACAAAAAACTAGCCAGGTGTGGCGGTGGGCACCTGTAATCCCAGCTACTCAGGAGGCTGAGGCAGGAGATCGCTTGTACCCGAGAGGCAGAGGTTGCAGTGAGCCGAGATCATGCCACAGCACTCCAGCCAGGGCATCAAGAGCGAAACTCCATCTCAAAATAAATAAATAATAAATAAATAAATGAATAAATAATAAATAAAAGTATGGTCTTGGGTTCAGTAACCTGCTACTTTATGCAAAACCTCACGTCTATGCTCATCGTTACACATCTGCATTTCCTTATACGGCTCTGACTGGGATTTGACCAAGGCCTCACAGAATGAAAGAGGTAGCTCTGGATCTTTTCCTATTTCCAAATGTACTTGTACTGGACAGGAATTAATTGTTCCTCAAAAGTTTGGAAGAACTCAGTCGTGAAACCATTTGGGTCCCAGGCTTGTTTTAAGGAAGAAAGGTCTTAGAATATTATTTCCGTTGCTTTATTGGCTTATTCAATTCTCTGTTGCTTTTCGTACCAATGTTGACATTTTAATCTTTCTAGGAACCTAACCATTTCATACAGTTTTAACAGTTTGTTACCATGTAACTGTTCACAGCACTTACATTATGTTTACTAGCTCTGTGGCTGCCGTCCCCTCTTCCCCTTTGTTTCTGGGATGCAGCCAGGACCATCCAGGCGGTGGAGAGTGGGGCCCAGCTGGAGTGGGCCAGGTGAGGGGCAGAGCCAAGCAGTAAACCCACCTCCACACTTCTTTTCAGAAAGTTTCCTTGCAGACTTCACCACACCACCCTCTCTAGCTCCCTGCCCCTCTCCTCTCTCATCCAGAAAGTCCCATGGACAGATGACCCCCAGTGCCAAGGTCACGGGTGACCCGGCACCTGCATCCCTCAGTCGTTCTCAGCCTCATTCACCCGACCTGGGGAGGGGTCCCAGCTGCCCCAGCTGCTCAGCCTCCTCCCCACATCACTTCCTCTCCAGCAGGGCCTTCAAGACCCCCGTCCTGCAGCCCAGGGCCTCTCCTCTGCTCCTCTGAGCTCAGTCCCCAGAAACTCAGGGCAGTCTCCCCCAGCTGGCACTTCAGCTGCGCTGACCTTTCTCTGGGACCACCTGTACTGGGCCTGCACTGGGCCTGGGCACCCACTCCTGCCACCTCCATCCTGGGGGCTGCTATGTCACCTGCATGTGCCACTACTGGGCAGGGCAAGAGCATCGCCACATCGCTAAGAAGTCACCCGAGTGACCTTCAGGGAATGCCCAGTCCTCAGCCCCACGTGGCTGAGCCATCCACCCCAACTTGCTTTCTGCACCCCTTGTCCAGCAACTTCCCACGGAAGGGTGTGCAGAACCTGGACCCGCCCCCTGACGCCCGCCTCCTACCTGGGAGTGCAGTGCAGCCAAGAGGGCATCCAGCTGGGTCTCCAGTGTGCGGCTGCCCACACTCACAGCTGCCTCGAGGATCTGGCCCAGGCTCTGCTCCGGGTAGGGAGAAGAGGCCGTCAGTCCTACCTCCAGCCGCCCGAACTGACTAAGGTCAATCAGAGCCTCCCAGTTGGGCCACAGGAAGACATGGGCCAGGAGGACATGGGCCCCACCTTGGGGCTCAAATGAGGAGGCCTTTCGTCTACCTCTAGAACTCAGAGCCAGGGAGGAGGGTGGGGAGGGCCCAGGAAGGGGGCTCCCTAAGCCACAGGTGCCATGGACCAAGAGGCCCAGGTTCCTGGCACCGTCCAGGGCAGAGCGATGGGAAAACTAAGCTGGTCCCCACGAGGGCCCTGTCCTTCACAGCCCACCACTGAGCCTTAGCAGAGAACTCAGGGCCACCCCCACCCACCACTGAGCCCTAGCCGAGGACTCACGGCCACCCCCGGGGAGTCTGATTGGAGGGGTCCTCGGGGACAGTAGACCTGCCCTGCCTGCAGATACCTTGGACAAGTAGAAGGTCTCTGCGTGCTTCTTGTAGAGGGCGAGAATCCCAGGGAGGAGCTTGGGCAGCTGCTCTTCCAGCCTCTCACTGGGCAGCAGATGGCTCATAGGCCCCAGAGCCTCCACCACGGCAAGACGGAGCTGAGAGGGGACAGTGGGCGGGAAGCTTACGCTGCTCAGTCAACACCGACTGCTCAGAGCATGTCCAGCAAGCACCCGTGACGGACGTGAACGAACACTGGGCTACCAGTGGGTGCTACGGGGGCTGGGACGTGAGCCTAGCACCCAGAGGTCAGCTGTGGGGAGACCACAGCAAGCCAGATGCTGGCCAGGCCCAGGGGGTTTGTAGGAGATGCTCAGTGCCCCGCCAGCAGCACTGGGCCTCTGGGCAGAAGGAAAAACCCACAGTGACTAGGCCCCTCTGGCAGAAGTCACAAGTATGGGGACTGCAGAGGGGGCCCTGTGCAGGTGTGGCAGCCTAAAGGTGGCCAGGCACGGTGGCTCACACCTGTAATCCCAGAGCTTTGGGAGGCCAAGGCGGGTGGATCGCCTGAGGTCAGGAGTTCGAGACCAGCCTGGCCAACATGGCGAAACCTCATCTCTACTAAAAATACAAAAATAAGCCGGGAGTGGTGGCAGGCGCCTGTAATCCCACCTACTCAGGAGGCTGAGGCATGAGAATCGCTTGAAGCAGAGAGGCGGAGGCTGCAGTGAGCCAAGGTCATGCCACTGCACTCCAGCCTGGGTGACAGAGTGAGACTCTGTCTCAAAAAAATAAATAAAGGTGAGCCACCTCCCATTGGGCACCTCTGCTTGCCAATGCAACACCACCACCCTCTGATCAATTTGCCACGGGCAGGGAATGTGGGGAGGAGAGAGCCCTGGCATCAGGCGTGGACTGATGCAGCCACGGGGCATACCTTGGCTTCTCGACTCTGCAGCCACTGATGGAAGAGAACATCGTAGGCGCTGAAGATGTCGGTGGCAAAGGCGTCCTTCCTGACCGTGGGGTCTGGGGCTCGGTCCAGGTTGGCTAGGTACTCCAGGGCACCCTCGCTGAAGCGCTGCAGAGCTACAAAACCGGCCAGTGGTAAGTGGCTGCAGGCCATGGGTTTGTGACGATCCTCAGCACCTATGTCTGCCTCCTGCCCCTTCCAGAAATCCCACGGCCTGCAAGATGCCCTCCCTAGAACACCAGCCAAGCACACAACTCCAGGACTACACAGGATGAAAAGTGTCCCTCCAAATTCATGGCCTTATTGGAAATAGGGTTTTTGCAGATGTGACTTTTTTTGAGACAGAGTCTTGCTCGGTCTGTCACTCAGGCTGGTGTGTTGTGACACAGTCTTGCTGTGTCACCCAGGCTGGAATGCAGTGGCTTGATCTCAGCTCATTACAACCTTTGCCTCCCAGGTTCAAGCAATTCTCCTGCCTTAGCCTCCTGACTAGCTGGAACTACAGGGGTGTACCATCATACTTGGCTAATTTTTAGAAGAGACAGGGTTTCACCATGTTGGCCAGGCTGGTTTCAAACTGCTGACCTCAAGTGATCTGCCCACCTTGGCCTCCCAAAGTGCTGAGATTACAGGCATCAGCCACCGCGCCTGGCCAGATGTGACTGTTAAAATGGGGTCATAGCAAAGTAGGGTGGGCTGTAACTCCAACATGACAACATCCTTATAAGAAGAGATGCAGAGGCAGGAGGAAGATGGCCATGTGACATGGAGGCACAGACTGGGGCGAGGCAGCCTCAGGCCAAGGACACCCAGAATCCATGGCCCCACCAGAAGCTGGGGAGCCTGAAATGAATTCTGTCTCTGGGCTCCCAAGAAGGAACCAATCCTGCCAACATCTTGAGCTTGGACTTCCAGTCTCCAAAACTGTGAGAAAATACATTTCTGTTGTTTGAAGCCACCTAATTTGCACTTGGTGCTTGTCACCAAAGAAAACTGGTGCAAGTACCAACCTCCTCCCCAAAATGCCCTCTGCCCACAAGTTCCTGCCCACTCCAGTCTGCCACAGAGACAAGAGGAGCAGTGCCACGCCCACCCATCCTCACAGACAGACTTGTGCCACACATTCTGCCCAAGGCTGCCGTGCTGGGCACAGTGTGGGCGGGAAGAGCCACAGGGAGAACAATGGCAGGGCGGAGGGGCACCAGGATGCCAGGGTCAGCATGAGGCCCTCCCACGGGTGGGCGGCTCCTGACAGTGTGCCAGTGACTGTGGATGTGACTCAGCGGTGGCCTTGGGCTGACCCTGAGGGCAGAGCTGGGAGCGGGCAGAGCTGGGAGCGGGCAGAGGCTGGGCAGGTGGCCACCCAGGCTTCGAGTGGTATGGACATCTGGGTGGAGAGTCAGAAAACACTGGCTGTAGGGCCTGGAGCCCAGGACATGGGCCGAACTCAGGTGATGTGCAAGTGGTCAGTGGGGCTGGGCCCCGGGTGAAGGGGGAACATGGGGGCACAGGGAGATAAACTGAGGCCAGCACCTTTCACACAGCCCTGCTGAGGACCAGGCGGAGACGCAGAAACTGGAGGAGGAAACACAAAGGGACCATGAGCTTCAGGGCAAAGTCCAGAGCCCTGAAAGGATGCACCCACCGCACGGGGAGGGGCTGCACAAGGCACAAGACCAAGGGGGTGCTGCTGGGACCACCTCAGCTGCCCCAATCTTGAGTTCTTCTGATGGGCCCACTCTCTCCAGAGTGGCTGCCAAGTGCCAATCCCAATAGCTCGCTGCTACAGGCCCTGCTCCAAAGCACAATCTAAACTTGGTATTTTCAAACAATTACTTTTAATTTTCTCCAAACTGCTTAATGTGAGATAACACCGCTTTGCAGATAGTGGGCTAATCACCTTTCTGTGTGTATGTTGGCTGGCTGTGTGGTTCTGGCCTTTTCTTGCCCCATTTTTCTGAGCTGTAGTCTCCCCTTCTGATTTCCTAGCAGTTCTTCCCACATCTGCTTTAAAAGGCAGCTCAGAGGTGCAGGCTGGCCTAGTCCTGGCTCTCCCACTCCCCAGGTGTATGGCCTGGGACGAGTTATTCAGCCTCTTTGTGCCTCAGTTTCCTCACTTATAAAATGAGGCAGTGGCCGGACGCAGTGGCTCATGCCTGTAATCCCAGAACTTTGGGAGGCTGAGGCGGGTGAATCATGAGGTCAGGAGTTCGAGACCATCCTGGGCAACATGTTGACACCCCGTCTGTACTAAAAATACAAAAAATTAGCTGGGTGTGGTGGCACGCCCCTGTAATCCCAGCTACTTGGGAGGCTGAAGCAGGAGAATCACTCGAATCCGGGAGGCAGAGGTTGCAGTGAGCTGAGATCACGCCATGCACTCCAGCCTGGGCGACAGTGTGAGATTGTCTCAAAAAAAAAAAAAAAAAAAAAAAAAAAAAAAAAAAAAATTGGGCAGTGGTAGCACCTGACCCAGGGCTGCTGTGAGGCCCCCCTGGGCTGAAGCACATGTGGTGCAGAGGGCCAGGTTGGGGTGTGAGTGCCAGTTCCCACTGGCCTTAGGCCCCATCCACTGCTGCTCCCAGGGCCATGGGTGAGCCTTTCCACTTCTTATAAAGTAGAGAAAAGTATTTATAGTATCTTCTTTGGTAATTCTTTTTCTTGGTGATGTTCATCTGCAGTTCTGTACATTTTTTCAGATCTTCTGATGAACAAATTCCTTTAATTTGTCATGTCAAACTTGTTAATATTTTCCTTTGTGATTTATACTTTTTTGTATCTTAAGAAATCACTTTAAACCCAGCCTGTAAGAATCAAAGGGTGCAGGTGCTCCCGACAGTCCTGCGAGGCTCGCCGGTCCCTGGCTTTCCATGCTTGGGCAACTGTTTCACACCCTTTTCTCGCCACAAACCCCTCCTCACAATGGGCTGACAACCTCATGGAAGAGGACCCTGAGACCACCGGAACCCGCACCTATGCTCTGTGCTTCCTACACCCCCACCTGGCTCCCGTGTAGCCATCGGTCCCCATAAAGCCTCCCTCTGACACAGACCCTGCAGCAACCCTGCAAGAGCAAAGGCCCTGAGAAGCGCCACCCAGACAAAAAATCTCTACCTGTACCCCTCGTCCCCTTCATGGGGCCACTGGCCACCTTCTAGCACTGCCTTCAGGGTCACCAGCACCTCCAGGCGCAAACCCAATGGTTGACTCAGGCCCTGCGGGACTCTCATCAGAAGCTCACCAGAATCTGTGATGATCGATTCACAGAGGAGCTGGCACCTCTGAGTCTAGTACACAGGAATGCAGATAAGCTTCAGCTGCTGATCCTCCAACAGCATCCTGCTAAATTCTTGTCACCTCTAATAATTTGTGGGAATGTGTTGGGATTTTATATAAACAATTTTATTAAGTGAAGACCAAAAACCTTTGGTTTCTTCCATTCTTTGTCTGTGTGGGTGATTGTAGGATTTTGGTTTTTTTTCTTTTTTTTAAGACAGGGTCTCGGTCTGTCACTCAGGCTGGAGTGTAGTGACACCAACTTAGCTCACTGCAGCCTCGACCTCCTGGGCTCAAGTGATCCTCCCACCTCAGCCTCTCAAGTAGCTAGGACTACAGGTGCGTGACACTGTACCTGGCTAATTTTATATTTTTTTAGAAACAGAGGTCTCACTATGATGCCCAGATTGGTGTCAAACTCCTGGGTTCAAGCGATCCAACCACCTCGGCCTCCCAAAGTGCTGGGATTACAGGCGTAGGCCACCATGCCCGGCCTGAGTTTTGTTTTGTTTTGTTTTTTTTTTTTTGGAGACAGTCTCACTCTGTCACTGAGGCTGGAATGCAGTGGCGTGATCTTGGCTCACTGCAACCTCTGACTCCCAGGTTCAAGCAATTCTCCTGCCTCAGCCTCCTGAGTAGCTGGGACTATAGGCACACACTGCCACACCCGGCTAATTTAATTTTTTGTATTTTAGTTGAGACGGGGTTTCACCGTGTTGCCCAGGCTGGTCTCAAACTCCTGAGCTCAGGCAATCCGCCTGCCTCAGCCTCCCAAAGTGCTAGGATTATAGGCGTGAGCCACCGCGCCCGGCCTAGCCTGAGTTTTTAATAAGAATAAACAAGGGCAGTGGCCATGTGGTTTCCCTTCTTATGTCGATCAGTGTGAGGGCCCACCCTCCCAATGTGGAGCTGGCCTCTCACTCCTGGGGTGACCCCCCCGTCAGGACAGAGCCAGCCCCTATGCCAGGCAATATGGATTTTGTTCCTAGGGTCAGCGATCACAGCGGGGTATGTGAGGTGATAGGAATCTGCTTCGTTCCAAGTTTTGGGATATCAAGGGTCACTGTATCCCAGCAAAGGCACCTGAAACCATCTCTGACTTGGGTTCAGCAGCAGGGGCATGGACGGGGAGGGCAGACCCTGAGTGAGGCTGGTCCCTGGATCTCTTTTGTGGTGATGCTCAGGTCACAAAAATAATTTGGGGCCGGGCGCAGTGGCTCATGCCTGTAATCCCAGCACTTTGGGAGGCCGAGGTGGACAGATCACCTGAGGTCAGGAGTTCGAGACCAGCCTGGCCAACATGGGGAAACCCCGTCTCTACTAAAAATACAAAAATTAGCTGGGTGTGGTGGCGGGCACCTCTGGTCGCAGCTACTCTGGGAGCTGAGGTGGGAGGATCACTTCAGCCTGGGAGGCAAGAGGTTGCAGTGAGCCAAGATCACACCACTGCACTCCAGCCTGGGTGACAGAGTGAGACCCTGTCTCCAAAAAAAAAAAAAAAAATTGGAAACTGTCCTTTTTGCTTCATTTCCCCGGGGTGACACAGCCCTGAGGACTGGGAGAGAGCCCACTGCGGAGCCCACGGAGCACTGCCTGGGAAGTGGCACTCTCCTGGAGCACTCGCTGCTGGGCTTTCAGAGGTGGCTGCACTGGGCACGCGGTCCCCTCGGCGGCCCTTGCTGGTCCCTTGTGGTCCCCACGTCGCCCCTCGCCGCCCCCCCGCCACCCCTCACCATCCCCCCACGGTCCCTGCACTGCCCCTCACCGCCCCCCCGTGGTTCCCACACTGCCCCTCACGTCCCCTCGAGGTCCCTGCGCCGCCCCTCCCCCTCCCCCCACGGTCCCCGCACTGCCCCTCACGTCCCCTCGAGGTCCCCGCGCCGCCCCTCACCGTCCCCCCGCCGCCCCTCCCCCTCCCCCCACGGTCCCCGCACTGCCCCTCACGTCCCCTCGAGGTCCCTGCGCCGCCCCTCACCGTCCCCCCCCCCGGCCCTCACCGCCCCCCGCGGTCCCCGCACTGCCTCTCACATCCCCTCAAGGCCCCTGCGCCGCCCCTCACCGCCCCTCTCACGGTCCCCATGCCACCCCTCACATCTCCCCGCGGTCCCCGCGCCACCCCTCGCTGTCCTCACATCTATTCACCTCCTGTTTACCACTTGGCTTGTTTCTCTCTTTTCTCTTGATGAGGCAGCAGCTTAAGTATTTAATTCACTTATTTCAAAGAACTAGGTATAAAACATAACGTTTTGCCAACTGCTTATTTTCTAAAGCATTAGTTTCTGTGTTTTCTGCCTTGCTCAGGTCTGGGTAGGTGAGACCACAGTAACGACAAAACTTGCAACGGCCTGACACATACAGTGAGATGGGAGGGCTCAGCTCCCACTTCCCACCCTGCAGAAACCACAGAGGCCAGGGAGGGTCAGGCGGCACAGCACGAGGATTCCAGTGGAACCGGCAGGCTGCCTGCAGGAGCGACACACTGCACAGAAATCCTGGGACTGCAACACTGCAGTGGTTTCCCTAAAGCTACAAGACACTTCCCTCCCCGACAGAGAAAAGGGCAAGAGGCTGCCTGCCTCCCCCTCCTCCTCAGCTCCTTTCTTGCTGGCGCGGGGATCCCCTGCACACCTGTCACTCACCAGCAGCACCCAGGGCCTCCACACCCTCTCCAGTGCAGGGGGTGGGGACTCCTGCTCTGCCCCAGCCCCATAGCGTCCTTCTGCCCTGGGTGGAGGTGACAGGGCTCCAGGGAACAGGTCTGGCACTGGCTGTGAAAGTCAGCAGCTCCTGGCGGCCCCTCCACAGCATCTCCCTTTGATGATGCCGGTGAGCCTGGGCCTCTTCTCACCTCTTCTGGACTCGTGCTCTGTAGCTGGGGGTGCTCGGCCAGCTCACCTGACGCCTGCCCCGCACCCCCTTCTCTCTGCCAGCTCAGGGCTGCCCTCCGGGTTGTCCCCAGACCCCTGTCCAGCTGGTGCACTCTCTTCAGTGTCTGCAACCGGCTGCCACACCCACCTCCTTACTCTTTAATGGAAATGGTTACAGTTTTGTTTCTAGACTGTATTTGGTTCTCTTTTCACACTGGCTCTGTCCTTGTAGGACCCTGTCCTTTCTCCCTTTCGCCTCTTTACCTTGCTATTTTTATCCTGTATCTCATCAATCCAAATTATGTGACTTTCTGCTCTAATGCTCCTTTTTTTGTGTGCTGACGTGTGTGCTTTGTGACTGTAACTGATATTGCTGGTCCTGGGTCCGTGGAGAGCTGCTGGCCCCACACCAGAGCCGAGACCCTGCGCTCCAGGGAAGCGCTGCTTCCCACGGCCACACCCCCCGGCCAGAGCCACTGCCATGCAGCCTGACTGGGACGCAAACATTCAGTAGGACACTGGTCACCCCACCCAGGACACTTCAGCCCGGCCCATTTACACGGCTAACGTCTCAGCTTAAGGGCTTCCCAGTCCAACACAAAGAACAACTTTGAACCCTACAACTACATCAGGACAGACCATGGTTACAAATTCTCAGGAGAGAGGATTTAAAAGAAATTCTAAAAGAAAACAGACTACCTCCCAGGGTGCACAGTGGAAGGTTCCTCATCAGTCACTTTTTGCTGAGGAGGGGCCTTGAAGGGTCTGGTACAGGTGGGCTCTGACCCAGTGCAAAGAAAGGCCTTGTCTGGCCAGGCGCGGTGGTCCATGCCTGTAATCCCAGCACTTTGGGAGGCCGAGGCGGGCGGATCACGAGGTCAGGAGATCCAGACCATCCTGGCTAACATGGTGAAACCCCGTCTCCACTAAAAATACAAAAAATTAGCCAGGCGTGGTGGTGGGCGCCTGTAGTCCCAGCTACTCGGAGAGGCTGAGGCAGGCGAATGGCGTGAACCTGGGAGGCAGAGCTTGCAGTGAGCCGAGATCGCGCCACTGCACTCCAGCCTGGGCAACAGAGCGAGACTCCATCTCAAAAAAAAAGAAAAAAGAAAAAAGAAGAAGAAAGGCCTTGTCTCCCATGTGAAATCAAGGCAGGCAGGTGCCCAGGGGCCACTGGAGAGCTCTAACCTCTCACCTCCCCTCTTGACCTCCGTGGGCCTAGGTTTCTCCTTCTGATTGATCAGAAGGATGCTGGTCAACTCATCAGCATTCCAGGTATTCGGCAGTGGGAAGTTTTTTCAGAATAACAGACCACCATAATGCCACAAGCAGAAGCCCACCCCTGTTGTGTTATTAGGATTTTTTTTTTTTTTTTTGAGACAGAGTCTTGCTCTGTCACCCAGGCTGGAGTTCAGTAGCTTGATCTTGGTTCACTGCAGCCTCGACTTCCCAGGGTCAAGCAATCCTCCTGCCTCAGCCTTCCAAGGAGCTGGAATACAGGCATGTGCTACCATACCTGGCAAATTTTTAAAAATATTTTTTCTAACGATGGGGTCTCACCATGCTGCCCAGCCTGGTTTCGAATTCCTGGGCTCAAGTGATCCTCCCATTTTGGCCTCCCAAAGTACTGGGATTACAGGCGTAAGCTACCATGCCCAGCTAGTTTTGATTTGTTTGTTTTGAGACAGAGTCTCACTCTGTCACCCGGGCTGGAGTACAGTGGTGCAATCTTGGCTCACTGCAGCCTCCGCCTCCGAGGTTCAAGCAATCCTCCTGTCTCATCCACAGTATCAGGGATTACAGACATGCGCCACCACACCCGGCTAATTTTTTTGTATTTTTAGTAGAGACGGGGTTTTGCCATGTTGGCCAGACTGGTCTTGAACTCCTGACCTCAAGTGATCAGCCCGCTTCGGCTTTCCAAAGTGCTGGGATTACAGGCATGAGCCACCGCACCCGGCCACTAGGGCATGCCTTTGCGTCATCTCTTGACCTCCCATCTCTGTCCATTCTTTCTAGGGTGCCTCTGATTGGAATGCTGGCTTCAGGGTTCAGCCTGCTAGTTCATTCTTCTCTTTCTCTCCTACTTTCCATATTTTTGCCTTTTTCCTCTATTTTCTGGAAATTTCCACAACTTTCTCTTCCAATTCTTCTATTATTTTTCCCATTTCTATTATGGCATCTTTAATTCACAGAAGGTCAGTTTTATTCTCTCAATGTGGCTTCTCCATGGTGACACCTCTTGTCCCGTGAATGCATGATGCCCACTTATTTTCCTGAGGATATTAATCAGAGATTTTCTTTCTCTGTTATTTTCTTCTCCCTGAACCATCTACATCTCCAATTAGTGTCTGTTTCTTTTGTTGCCACCTTTCCTACTGGAGGGGTTCCTTGGCCGGGAGGAATTACTGGATGCCTGCCCTGCTGGACGGCGTGGCCAGGCCAGCCGTGCCTCCACCACTGGGAGTCTTCCCTGAGGCTCCTCGCCTCCTGGCTGCAGTGCCCTGAGGGCACTCCTGTCCTTGGCACACTGCCTGTCCTGGCTGGACCTGCACCCTCCCGCAGTGGACGCAGGCCTGCCACCGCCCCCACCACTAGGCCTCACCCGGTTGATACGGCTTCCTCTGGCCCCAGGCTGCTCCAGCCAGCAGGACCACCAACCCCTCCAGATGCAAACAGGGAACGTTCCATTTGTGGTGGGGAGCACACGTCCCACACGAGGAGGTCCCATGGAATCTTCGCTGGCTGAACCCATGTGTTTGACACATGGAGGAAAATGCCAGCATGGTAGGGCCCAGAGGAGCCGCAGGTCCCCTATGAAGGGGAAGGTAAGCAAGAGGTGTCAGAACTGCAAGTCCGTTTCTGCTTAGAGCCTCAGCAGCTGCAGGGATCAGGCCACTTCCCAGAGGAGTGGCGGGAAGGGGCGATGTGCGTGCAGCACAGAGACAGGCGCCCCAGCGGCCCCGTTCTGTCTCCGCCCTGCAGCCTGGATGGCACGTCCTGCGCCCCAGGCACCTTAGCTGAGTCCACACCCACACCCACTTCCACTCTCTGCTCCTTCACACCTGGCTCAGTATGCAGCTGCCCCCATCCTGTCACCAATCCCATTTTTAGCCAAAACTGGGTCACATGGAGTTACTATCCCTTCTACCCAAGGGGCCCTGCCCTCATCCACAGGTGAGAAAGAGCCTGTGAAGGAGTGCCCCAAAGATGAAGGCATTTATCAAAGAGCAGGGCCAGGAGAGACGGAGCGCAAGGGCTGAGGAGAGGGTGGCAGGAGCCCTGTGATCTGAACCCAAAGTCACCAGGAGCAGAGCAGGTGGGTCCAAATGCTCCAAACCAACCCTGCAGTCTACAGAGCCCAGCCCAGCCCTGTAACCACTCCCTCCATGCTTCGAAAACATGCCCTGCCCGGGCCCCACCAGGCCCCTCCCCCATCACCGGCCCCTCCCCCATCACCGGGCCCCTCCCCCATCACTGGGTCCTCCCACACCTGCTGCCTGGAACTAACGGCCCCCGGCCCCAGAGGGCTGGCTCTTTACGAGGGCTGGTCCCCTGGGCACGAGGGTCCTGTTCTCCTCCCGGCCAGCTACCAGGGCTGGCCGTCTTCCTGACATGGGACACCGGGAGCACGAGGCCGTGGGCTGTGAGGGCACTAAGGGTAGCTCAGGATCTCTAATCTCCACACCCCCTTCTAACAGAAATGCCCTCCAATCCCACCAACCACTCCCCCACTGTCAGTGGCAGGGGAAACCAAGGTCCAGGCCCATGACATGCCCGCAGTCCCCTGCCAGGCACACAGAGGGCTGTGGGCAGTGCTGCCAGGAATGGGGCTCCTGGCAGAGGGTGGGGGTGAATGAATGTGCCCCCATCCCCTGGGTCCTGGGATGCCCAGAGAGCGGACACTTTTCTAGCCTGGAGTGGGGAGGAAAACAAAAAGTCATGGCTTCGAGGAAGTCTCTTCCTACCCCCCAGGCACGTCCAGCCCTCAGTGGACCCACAATGTAAGGTGGGGGGCTCTCCAGGAGTAGAGAGAAACAAGAGACAGAGGCTGTGTCAGCCCCACATGGGCCCCCCAACCAGCCAGCAGCCTCAGCCAGGGGGCCCCTCCCTCCAACAGCCCCCCTTCCTGCAGCCTAAAGTGCCCACCTGTCCCCCCTAAAACAGGCATGCCCGGGAACAGCCCCCCACAAAGGGGCACTTGAGACAGAAGGTGACGAGGCCGCCTCTTACCGGAGCAGAAGGCCACGCGCACCGTGTCCTGCTTGGCCACGCCCAGCACGGGCAGCAGGGAGCTCAGGACGGATGGCAGGAAGGGGACTACGCCGAACGCTGTGAGAGAGGACACCGTCAAAGGCCTCCGCCAAGGCTTCCAGCGCCCCGTGCTCCTCCTGGGGCAGGCCGCGCGTCACCTACCGTTGGCCACCGAGAGGCTGGCGAGGGTGTGCAGCACGGCGCAGTGTGGCAGGGTCCCAGGGTGCAGCCTGCGCAGCAGCTCCTCCATCACCTTGCTGATGAACTGTCTTCCCACGGCCACCAGGACGCCACTCGCCGCCTGCTGCCAGTCCCAGACCAGGTCCTGAACCCAAAACACCGGCAGGTAGACCAAAAGGCAAGACCAAGACATTCTGCCCTCAGTCGCTGCCAGCCTTGGACAAGCGCACGCTGTTTTCAGCGTCCCCAGAAAGTGCAGGTCAGGGAAGGTGGCGGGCACAGCCTCCTCTGCTGAGGGGCTGCTGAGGAGACCCCACACGCAGGAGCAGCAGAGCCCTGGTGAGAGGTGAGGGGCTGCTGAGGAGACCCCACACGCAGGAGCAGCAGAGCCCTGGTGAGAGGGGGCTGCACTCAGTGCCCTGAGAGTTAGGCCCACCAGAGCCCTGCACCAACCCCAATGCCGGGCACAGCCTTTGGCCCCAGCTGCACGCACACCACGGTCCTGCGTGTGCTGAGTTCTGGCAACTTGCTCTCTGCTTCAGTTGCTGCCTCTGAAAATCACAGGGGACCACCCCCCACCCCTGCAGGGTGATGCATGAGACCGAAGGGCATCTGCCAGCCCAAGGCAGCCAAACACCACCCTATACTCTCAAGGCTGCTGGGTAGAAAGGCCAAGAAGCAGCTTCCCTTCCCAAGCTAGGCCTGAGTCTGCGAGGCCAGAGGGCCTGCTGAATACCTTCGTCTTGGTCATCTCGCTGGAGGCCAGGAGGATGATGGTGCTGGCTGTGTCCTTGTCCAGCTCACTGGCGCGACTGCTCAGGACCCTCTCCATGGCCCTCAGGACCGCTGCTCGGTATGGGTGTGCCAGCTGCGGAGAGACACCGTCCAGGTCGGTCCCAGGTGAGCCCCACACCCAGACACTCTGAGTGCCTGTCACTGTCTCTACAAGATGAAACCGCACAAATCTCTCTGCCTCAAGTGCAGGAGGGGAGGGGTACACCTGATCACTCCTCACGCCCTAAAAGCCGGCCTGCAAGCCTCACACTCACGGCCCATCTCCAGAAGGGTGGAGCGTTATCCTGCGCCAGACAACCAACATGCAGAGGGCGAGGCGGGGGGCTTCTCTCCTCCAGGGGTAGTCAGTAGGGTCTCCCAGTCACATGACACTCCCAGGACCCTTCCACCTCCTTGCCCTGCCCTCCCCTGTCAGAGGAGGAGCACACTCCTGTCCCCAGCTCAGTGGTCATGGCCTCAGTCTCTGCCGCTAGGCTAGTGCTTGTATCCAACGGCCCCTCCCCAAGGCTGCTAAGGAAAAACGCCACCCACCACACCACCTTCTGCCACGCCCCCAAGCCACCTCCACCTCCCAGGTTAACCCTCCGCAGAGTCCAACCACCTGCCTTCATCCTCCCCCTAAGCAGCTCTCCTGTCGACCACCACCTCCACTGTAAATCCAAAGAGCACACACTGTCCTTGCCTCAACTGGGGACACACCAAGGACTGGGACTGAAAGCTGGGACCCGCGGGGGCACACAGCAGAGTAGGCTACTGCCCAACCCAGGAAAGGAACCTGGGGCACCCAGCCACCCTGTGTTGACAGCCCCTCCCCAATGATGCACCCACCATGGCCCCTCCCTCCACCACCCTGAGAGCAGCCTGCACCAGGCAACATGGCCGGCACAGGGCGGCCCAGAGGCCCACAGGCTCTGTCGTCCATTCTCACATGGCTATAAAGAGGTGACCTGCAAAAACCCGAACAGGCGCGGTGGCTCACGCCTGTAATCTCAACACTTAGGGAGGCCGAGGCGGGCGGATCACCTGATGTCAGGGGTTCAAGACCAGCCTGGCCAACATGGTGAAACCCTGTCTCTACTAAAAAAAAAAAAGTACAGGCCGTGCGTGGTGGCTCACGCCTGTAATCTCAACACTTAGGGAGGCTGAGGCGGGCGGATCACCTGATGTCAGGGGTTCGAGACCAGCCTGGCCAATATGGTGAAACCCCGTCTCTACTAAAAATACAAAAATTAGCCGTGTGTGGTGGCGCACACCTGTAGTCCCAGCTACTCGGGAGGCTGAGGCAGAAGAATCGCTTGAACCCGGGAGGCAGAGGTTGCAGAGCCGAGATCGCGCCACTGCACTCCAGCCTGGGCCACGGAGCAAGACTCTGTCTCAAAAAAAAAACACAAAAAACAAAAATTACCCAGTCACAGTGGCCGGCACCTGTAATCCCAGCTACTTGGGAGGCTGAGGCAGGAGAAAAGCTTGAACCCGGGAGGTGGAGGTTGCAGTGAGCCGAGATCACACCACTCCAGCCTGGGCGACAGAGCAAGACTGTCTCAAAGAAAAAAAAAAAAAGAAGAAGAAATACCGGAGACTGGGTAACTTACAAAGAAAAAAGGTCTAATTAGCTCAAAGTTGCAGGCTGTACAGGAAGCATGGCTGGGGAGGCCTCAGGAAAACACAATCGTGGTGGAAAATGAAGCAGAAGCAGGCACATCTCACATAGCCTGAGCAGGAGGAAGACAGAGGAGGAGGAAGAGAAGAAGCCACATGCTTTCAAACAACCAGATCTCCTGAGAACTCTATCATGAGAACAGCATCAAAGGGGGAAGTCGCCCCCAGGATCCAGTCACCTCCCACCAGGCCCCACCTCCAGCACTGGGGATTACATTTCAACATGAGATTTGGGTGGGGACACAGATTCAAACCAGATCAGACACTGATGGTCACAGGGTCTGCACTCCCCTCATCCACTCTGACAGCTATGGCCGCCACGGCAGGTGGAGGTGGGCCCACATAGGAGAAGTGCTACCGGCTCAGTGAAGACAGCCACGCAGGACATTTGAAGGAAAGCGTGACAAGGTCGTTTGGAGGAGAAACAATAGTAGGAAGGATTGGGAGCTTCGTGAAAGTCTTGGTTTTGTTCAGAAACTATTTGAAGTTGACACCCAGCCACTTGACACGCACTTGGCCCTGGCATGCAGCAGTGCCAGTGACGGGGCAGCGCCAGGCAGCTCCCAGGCCCACATACACGTGCCGCACGTGGCTGTGGCATACATGTTCAGAATCACGCAACTATCTCAAACGTTGAGAGTCCCAGCATCAGTAGCAGCAGACAGACTTGCTCACTGCCACTCTGCGAAACCAGTTACAAACTGTCATGGTTTAGCCCCAGGCCCACGAGTGGGAGTGATTTTTGTTCTTCAAAATAGCCAATGTAGGTCACAAGCCTCAGCACGGAACACTAAGTTCACGTGGAACCTGCCAATTCTCCAGGGGAAGAACTTCAGCTGGGGTTGATTTTCACTGTTAGATTTCCCATCCGTGAGTGTTGGCGCCGCAGTGAGGCAAGAGTGAGGCAGGTGGGGAATCAGTCTCACTGTACCAGCCACCTCCACCCACCGGCTACACATGACTCCCTTTCCCTTAAGGCTTCTGCAGGCAGACTGTATTTAAATTCTGTATTAGAGAATCATTTCTTTTTTTTTTTTTTTTGAGACAGAGTCTCACTCGTCGCGCAGGCTGGAGTGCAGTGGCACAATCTCAACTCACTGCAACCTCCGCCTTCCGAGTTCAAGTGATTCTCCTGCCTTAGCCTCCCGAGTAGCTGGGACTACAGGTGTGCACCACCATGCCTGGCTAATTTTTGTATTTTTAGTAGAGACAGGGTTTCACTGTGTTGGCCAGGCTCCTGACCTTGTGATCCGCTTGCCTCAGCCTCCCAAAGTGCTGAGATTATAGGCATGAGCCATCATACCGGGCCAAATTTCTTTTTTTTTTTTTTTTCTGAGTCAGGGTCTCACTCCATCACCCAGGCTAGAGTGCAGTTGTGCAATCATAACTCACTGCACCTTGAACTTGCAGGCTCAAGAGACCCTCCTGCCACAACCTCTCAAGTAGCTGGGACTACAGGCACACACCACCACACTCAGCTAATTTTTTTTTTTTTTGAGATGCAGTCTCGCTCTGTCACCCAGGCTGGAGTGCTGTGGCACAATCTCAGCTCACTGCAACCTCTGCATCCCAGGTTCAAGTGATGATCATGCCTCAGCCTCCCGAGTACCTGGGACTACAGGTATGCACCACCATTCCTGGCTAATTTTTTTTTTTGTATTTTCAGTAGAAATGAGGTTTCGCCACGTTGGCCAGGCAGGCTGGTCTTGAACTCCTGGCCTCAAGTTATCCACCCGCCTCTGCCTCCCAAAGTTTTGGGATTACAGGCATGAGCCGCTGCACCCAGCCCTCGATAGTTATTTTTATTTATTTATTTTTTTGAGACAGAGTCTCGCCCTGTCACCCAGGTTGGAGTGCAGTGTTATGATCTCGGCTCACTGCAACCTCCGCCTCCCAGGTTCAAGCAATTCTTCTGCCTCAGTCTCCTGAGCAGCTGGAACTACAGGCGCGTGCCACCACGCCTGGATAATTTTTGTATTTTTAGTAGAGACAGGGTTTCACCATGTTGGCCAGGTTGGTCTCAAACTCCTGACCTCGTGATCTGCCCGCCTCGGCCTCCCAAAGTGCTGGGATTACAGGCGTGAGCCACCGAGCCCGGCATATTTTATTTTTTTAGAGATGGGGTCTGTGTTGCCCAGGCTGGTCTCAAACCCCTGGCCTCAAGCGATCCTCTTGTCTCAGGCTCCCAAAGTGCTGGGATTACAGGCGTGTGCCCTGGCACCCAGCCTATTGTTTCTGACTTTCATAATCTAGACACTCTTCCCAGGTAGGAGACAATGTAGTCCTTGAGAAGCCCATCCCCACCTGGGACGTCGCAGAGCTGAGGCTCTAAGTGGGTGGATTAACTGCCGGGGCAGCACGGCCGGTATAGTGCAGGAACTGGGGAGGAAAGAATTGAAAATCAGTGTAAATTGGTCTGGTTCTATCTAGTCAGAGCATGGCTGAGCTGGGAGCAGCAGCTTGGGTACAGCAAGTGGGCATTTATACCCATCCGACCAGACCTGTTGCTGGGAGGGGGGGAGGGGCAGCTCAGGTGTAGCAGGGCATTTATACCCATCCGACTGGACCCGTTGCTGGGAGGGGCAGCTTGGGTGCAGCAGGGCATTTATACCCATCCGACCGGACCCGCTGCTGGGAGGGGCAGCTTGGGTGCAGCAGGGCATTTATACCCACTCGACCAGATCCGCTGCTGGGAGGAGAAGCTCAGGTGCAGCAGGGCATTAATACCCACCTGACCAGACCCACAGCTGCCATCTCCTCTGGTTCTTGATCTTGGAAACACATCTCAAGTTGCATTATGCTTCCATCTTTAGCTACTAATTCTCTTCATGTATATGAGGAAGTTTGAGGGAAATCTTTGCTTTTTTCCAGAGGAAAACAATAGGGAGAAGTGAGTCCTGGGACTGAGTTCTCCAGATTCCACTCACAACTGTGGCATCTCCATCTGTCACTCTGTGTCCTGGTGATTGAGTGCTCAGTGCAGGGTGACAGGCTGACTCAGCAAGTCTGCAATGGGTTATGCAACTGGAAAACATAGGAACCCATGAAAAAGGCATAGGAATCTACATTTTACAAAAAATGGATAGGGCCAGCCACAGTGGCTCACACCTGTAACCCCAGCACTTTGGGAGGCCAAGGTGGGAGGATCACTTGGGCCTAGGAGTTCAAGACCAGCCTGGATAACATAGTAAGGCCCTGTTTCTACAAAAAATAAAAACAATTAGCCAGGTGTGGTGGTGCGCCTGTGGTCCCAGCTACTTCGGAGGCTGAAGCAGGAGGATCACTTGTGTACGGGAGATCAAGGCTGCAGTAAGCCAAAATTGCACCGCTGCACTCCAGCCTAGGCAACAGAGGGAGTCCATCCCTGAATTTAAAAAAAAAAAAAAAAAGGTTATGTATTACTTGTGTTCCAGGGTTGGTTTGAATTGTTTGATTTTATGGTATAAGTACCATACTTTTGGCCGGGCATGGTGGTTCATGCCTGTAATCCCCATGATAGTGACAGGAGGCAGCCAAATGCCTAGGTAGAGAGGGGTGGGTCCCCTGAGAAACCCCACCTCCAAGCCAAAAACAGTTTAAAGCCTGAAAGCCAAGCTACAAGTAAAATCCTGGGACCAGATTGAGAGCCTGTCTTCCTGTCTGGTGTGCTTTCCTCTGATTGATCCCCACCCTTCACCTATTTTACATATACCTACCCTTTTCTAATTGGCTTTCTATACCATCACGCCCACCTTTGAGTGGTGTCTTCACTTTAACCTCTTTTGCAGACTTACAAACCAATCAGCATACACTCCTCATTCTGTGCCTATAAAGACCCCAGACTCAGTTGGCAGAGGGGAGGTGGCCTAACTTGGGCGAAGAGACAGCCTGACTTTGGGGAACATGACCTGTCCTTCCTGTCCCCTCTCCAGCTCCCCTCTCCCCCAAGAGCCATTTTCATCGCTCAATAAAATTCTTCTCTGCCCTCCTCACCCTTCAATGTCCACTGTATCCTCATTCTTCTTGGGTGTGGTGTAAGAGCTCAGGAACCGCCAAACACAGTTACAAGCTATAATGTAGGCAAGTTGAGGCACGCCAGCATGGCTGGGCAAGGCCCAGGTGGGGCATCGCTAGGGCTTGCAAAGGGACCAAGAAGAAGAATCCTATGGCTGGGCGGAGTGGCTCAGGCCTGTCATCCCAGCACTTTGGGAGGCCGAGGTGGGTGGATCAGGTCAGGAGTTTGAGACCAGCCTGACCAACATGGTGAAACCCCACCTGTACTAAAAATACAAAAAAATGAGACAGGTGTGGTGGCGTGCACCTGTAATCCCAGCTACTCAGGAGGCTGAGGCAGGAGAACTGCTTGAACCCAGGAGGCAGAGGTTGCAGCGAGCCGGTTTGCGCCATTGTACTCCAGCCCAGCCTGGGCAAGAGTGAGACTCTGTCTCAAAAAAAAAAAAATAAAATAAAAATAAAATAAATAAATAAATAAAAAAGAAGAATCCTACATCACCAGCACTTTGGGAAGCCAAGGCAGGTGGATTGCTTGAGGTCAGGAGTTCATGACCAACCTGGCCAACATGGCGAAACCCAATCTCTACTAAAACTACAAAAAAAAAATTAGCCAGGAGTGGTGGCACGTGCCTGTAGTCCCAGCTACTTGTGAGGCTGAGGCACAAGAATTGCTTGACCCAGGAGGTAGAGGTTGCAGTGAGCTGAGATCACACCACTGCACTCAAGCCTGGGCAACAGAGCGAGACTCTGCCTCAGGAAAAAAAAAAAAAAAAAAAAGTACCATAACTTTCACAGCCCTGCCTCCATTCACAGTTGGAAAAGGCCCACTTAGGAAAGTTCTTCAAGGAAAGCAAACACATAATAAGCCCCTTTAAATAAAAATACTGTTGACAAAAAAGCTAAACTCTAAAATACCTAACAAGGTTTATTCTGTGCCACTATGACTGACCACGGCCCAGGGAACATCTGAGAAAGTACACCCAAGATGGTCAGGTTAGTTTGGTTTTATACATTTTAGGGGACAGAATTACAGGCAAAGACGTAAATCAATACATGGAAGGTGTACACTAGTTCAGCCTAGAAATGTGGGACATCTCAGGGAGTGCTTATAGGGCGTAGGTGGATTCAGAGATTTTCTGACTGACAACTGGTTAAAAGAGTTAGACTGGCCGGGCACGGTGGCTCGCACCTGTAATCCCAGCACCTTGGGAGGCCAAGGTGGGCAGATCACAAGGTCAGGAGTTCGAGACCTGCCTGACCAACACGGTGAAACCCGGTCTCTACTAAAAATACAAAAATTAGCTGGTGTGGTGGCACGCGTCTGTAATCCCAGCTACTCAGGAGGCTGAGGCAGGAGAATCGCTTGAACCCAGGAGGTGGAGGTTGCAGTGAGCCGAGATCGCGCCATTGCCCTCCAGCTTGGGCGACAGAGCAAGACTCCCTCTCGGGGGAAAAAAAAAAAGAAAAAAAAAA